>NC_000018.10:50327243-50627909 GCF_000001405.40 Homo sapiens | reverse complement strand
TCACATGAGAATCTAAGACATCAGGGAGAATGCTGCTGTCGCCAGACTTGCCTCACAAATCCCATGAGGAAATTTGGAGAGGCTCCTATGCAGCCAGGTCTCGGATGTGGCCTAATCAACACCATCCAAACTCACAGGCATGGGAGACCCTGCATTCTGTGTCATCTCCTGGGCAGGCAGTACCAGCCAAGGGATCTGTCTCAAGTCCTGGGCCTCACCTCTGCTCTCTCAAATGGGATCGTAACATAGGCTCTGCCCTCCTTGCCAGGTTACTGTGAGGAAGTTTGTTCAATGCTGTAAGAGCTAAATGCAGGCAAGGGGTCCTTATAAGCAACAACTTTGGTTTGAAGACAACACAGTGGCAGGGTGTTCAGCTCTGCTTTCAAGTCAGAAGGATCTCAAGGCTCGGTTTGGCCTGGAGTGGGAAACAGCTGCAGCCTCTCCTTCCTCCAGAGCTCGGGCCACCCCTGAAGCTGGTGGTTGGGATGTGGAAGGAAAGTTCCAGATGGGAGTGTCTGTGGCCTCAAGGAACTATTGCTATCCATTGTAACCTCTTCAGATAATTGCTGTCAGCTTCTTGCTTTCAGAACCTTCCCCCTGAGGGGAATCCTTCCTTCGGAATCCTTCCCACCTCCAATGAGGCCATGGGACAGACTCCCTAGTCCACCATGAGGCTCGATGTGCAAGGACAGCAGATGCCATGACACCCAAGCCATTCCCCAAGGCTGGTCCAAGTCCGCCTCTCCCAGGAAGCCTCCTCTGACCATGTGGTCCACAGGAAGTCTGGGCAGGAGCCAGCTGAGGAAACAAAGCAGGAGCGGAAATGGAGGCCATGTGGCCAAGATGAGTGGGCGGGGGGCGGGGTGGTAGGGGGGACAAAAATGCCAAGCTGGAATGGTGATACTCTCCCTTCCCTTCACAGTGACAAGGCCTAATGACAACACCCATTTGTCTTGCAGATTAACAAGGGACAGGAGATAGCCAGGAGGCTGGTTTCCCTGTGCTGTGAGCAGAGGGGCTCCCTTGACAAAGTACACCTGCATAATAAATGACACCACGTGCAAGCGCAAAGAGTCACTAGGGCACAGGGTTGGGGAACACACTACAGAGCCCCCTGAACATCTTGAGGATTTGGGTGTGGGACAAGCTGTGTTCATGCTGAGGATTTGGATGAAGCACATCTGCTGGAGACACCTTGTGACTTCCTGGGAGCCTGAAGGGCCTGGTCTCGTTCCAGGTTTAACCTGAGGGAGGAGACGGGAAGAAAGGGTGATGAGGAATGGGAGGGGAGAGGGGACGAGAAAAAGGAAAAACAGGTTCCCAGAGAGGGACAGTGTCGGAGCAAGTGGGCCACATGTGACACCTTGATGAACCCTTGGGCCAAAGGTTACCAACCCCTTCGGCCATCCCAGAATCCTTCCCGCCTCCAACAAGGCTATGGGACAGACTCCCCGTCCACGCTGAGGCTCAGTGTGCAAGGACCGCAGACGCCATGATGCCCAAGCCATCCCCAAGGTTGGTTCAAGTCCACCTCTCCCAGGGAGCCTGCTCTGACCATCTGGTCCACAGCATTTCCTCCCTCCACAGACCTCACGTTCAGAGATGGATTTGCCAGGTGTGAAGGTTAATTTTATGTCAACTTGGTTGACCACGGTGCCCAGATATTTGGTCAAACATTATTCTGGATGTTTCTGTAAGGATGTTTTTGGATGAGATTTGCATTTAAATTAGTGGACTCTGAGTAAAGCAGATGACCCTTCATAATGTGGGTGGTCTTCTTCCAGTCAGTAGAAGGCCTTAATAGAACAAATGAAGGACTTCCCCTGAGTGAGAAGGAATTCTGCCAGTGGATGGCCTTCAGGCTTCAATGCAACCTCAGCTTATCCTGGGTTTCCAGCCTGCCAGACCACCCTGCTGATTTTGGACTTGTCAGTCTCCATAATCACTTGAGCTGAGTCCTTAAAATAAATGTCATTATATATGTGTGTGTGTGTGTGTGTGTGTGTGTGTGTGTGTGTGTGTGTGTGCATACACACACCCTATTGGTTTTTCTCTGGAGAACCCTAATACACCAAGAAACTAACAACACTTAAGCCAAGAACTCCTCACTAGCAAGAGCCCCTTCCAGAGACCTGGGAGGGGCTCTAGCTATTTTCTATCTCTTCTTTCTATGAGGATCTCCCAATGCTGTATAAACTTCAGACCTCACCAATCCTGGGTCCAGCCTGGCTTTGGTATGGGCATGTGCTACCCCGAGTCTACAATGGTATTCAGACCTTATACTTTGTTTTGCCCACTGAGCATGTCTTCCCTCTCTAACTGAACTGGAAGCTCCATGAAGGAAGGGGCTGTCTTCTACTCCTTGGCCTCCTCTGCCATCTGTGTCACAGCCCTTGCATGTGCTAAGAGCCCAATACACATTTGCTCACGGAATGGGGGTTTGTGACTCCTGCGGTCTTTGGAGGGAGGAAGCTAGAAAAAGGCTCTCAAAGAATGATGCTGAGGACCCAGCAAAGGAGAAAAATAAAGTGCAAGGATAAAGTGAGGAAGGAAAAAAATCTTGCCATAATTCATGCCCAGCGCTTTTGCCATCTCTTAGCATCCCAAGATTCTGGTCACCAAGGCTCGGTCTCCTGGGGTGATGGAGGCCATCCATCCCTGATGCAGACCCTGCATTTTCCAGGACCAGCTTTGGTTCCTCCTTGACTTGTTCTCTCTCCCATGCCTCCCCCTGTGCCCTGAGAAAGCTCGGGAAAGCACAAAGCTGGCTGAGTTTTCAGGTCCTGGGCCTCAGCTTCTCCCCACCAGTGTCCTGGAGCAAGTGCCAGTCATCAAGGATGTCTTTCATTTCCAGATAGTCCTCATCTTCCAGGTACCCCAGAGAGTGAATTAGAGTGGAATTCAGTGCCACAGGCTGAGGGACAAGATAGGCTCTCTTGGTTGGGTCCTGTGTTTTGACAAAGCTTAGAGCTGACCCAACACTCTTTAAGCTTGCTGCTGGGTGCTCTCAGGTGTCACTTTCTGAACACAGCAAGTTCTCTAGATCCCAGGCAGCCAAAGCTTCCCAGGCAGCTGTACCAGGCAGGCATACCAGGCAGGGCCCACCAAGAAGAGCAGCTGTGTACCTTAGAAGAGATCTGTCTTAAAACAGTATGTTCACCAATGACACCATCACCATCACAAAAGGATTCACCAATGGTATTATTAAAAAACAAACTTATACTTTGAAAAAATTGTAAA
Organism: Homo sapiens; assembly: GCF_000001405.40. Lineage (NCBI taxonomy): Eukaryota > Metazoa > Chordata > Mammalia > Primates > Hominidae > Homo > Homo sapiens. The sequence continues at coordinate 50,624,669 of NC_000018.10, read as the reverse complement.
TTCATCATATAAACATCAGATAATAAAGAAAAGAAAAACAAAATGGAATAACCCTAACATCCAGGATAAGTCTGGCTAACACTTTGGTAACATCCTTTTAGTCTTTTCTGCTTATAATAACATTTTCAAAAGTCAAATAGGACCCTACAGTATATACTATCTTGTAAGTTATATACTATTAACAATATTAGGTGAACAGGAAGACTGCAACATCATGGAATAGCTCCACAGCATCGCCATATACAGTACTACACTGCCCACGTGTTGATTTCCTTTACTCTTCTGGAACCAAAAATAAAATATTTGCAAATTATAACTTATTGTACAAATATCTAGGAATGTAATTGGGAAATTGTAATTTGGCTGGTACTCTTGTATTCTGCTTCCATTTGTGCAACAGGCCATACAAAGCCCATATACTCATATATCCATTCATACTTTTGCCAAATGCTGATTACATCCTGCTCTGTCCCCAGCATTGTGTTAGCCATAAACTAGTAAACAGGTCCTTGCTCTGGTGGAATTTACACTGCAGTGAGAGAAGACAAATACCAAGGTAAGTAAACAGAGATAAAATAAAATCAGCAGGAATAAATAGGGACAGGTGATGTGATTGCATACGTCAGGGGAAAAGATTATTTTGGCCAGAAGGTGTCTCTGAAAAGAAATCACGTGGCCTGAGACCTGAAAGGTAAGAAGGGGCCACCCATGTAGCCACTTGAGGAAGAGCAATCCAGGCAGTGCACACAGCAAGTGCAAAGGCCCTGGGGCAGAACACACTTGGTGTATTCAGCAAAGACACTAGTGGGGCTGAATCCAGAAGGGCAGGGTTGGGGATGAGGTTGAAGAGGTGGACAGAGCAGGACCTTGTATGTTAAAACGGTAAGAGGTTTTGACTTTATCCCAAGTGCACTGGGAAACAGCAAAGTGTTCCAAGCAGGGAAATGATGTAGTCTGATTTGCACGTTTACAAGTTCCCTCTGGCTGATTTCCTGAAATGCAAAGAATGTATTGCAGTTCCCCACAATAATTGGAACAGGGAGACAGTAAGGAGGCCACCTGAGGTGGTCCAGGCAGGTGATGATGGTGGCTTAGACTTCAGTGTCAAGGATGGGGTTGGGGGTTCAGAGGGATGCGAGATGCATTCTGGAAGTGGAACTAATGGGATCTGCTGACAGATTCACTGTGAAGACTGAGGACAGGAAGGGCTAAAGAAGATAATTATTTTGCTGGACTGGGTGTTGAAGGTTCCATTTACACAGACAGGAAAGTGGGGACAAGCTGATTTGGGATGAGTCTAAATGAATTTGTAGAAAAATCTACACTGCTGCACAATGTTAATAATTCTTTTGAAACCAGCCCCGCTGGCTCGCAGGAGCTTGATGCATCAAGAGCTGAGACCTGACTGGGACCAGGTTCTAGTTCTGAATTAACCACTCCCCGCCTGAGACTTCAGGGAATTTACCTCACTCTATGGAGTTTCCCCCATCTCTGCCAAAACAGATAGATTAAATACTCCCTTCTGAACTCCTACAGCTCTCTTACAGCCTGACAAATGATACCCAAAGAGCTACTTCGACTCCTGGAAGGGAAGCACACTATAAATTATTTTGTTTCCTTAGCTGTCTCCTGAATTAACTAACAGTTGCGTCCACATGTGTACACAGGAGATAGTTATCTTACTTCAAGGGCTCTGTTCCTGAAAATAAAAATCTTTTGGAAAGAGTATGTGAAATGAGACTATGTATCTGACTGTACAGGTCACTACTTTCTCCCCGACAATCATTAATTGGCTTGGGCGCACTGGCTTTCACTCTCATTACAGAAGATGCTCTTACAGTAAAGTCTGAAACCCATACATTTAGCAGTTTGTGGTGGCTGCTATACAATCATTCACAAAATGGTCTTTTGCAGCCTGGTTCATTATTATTCTTTAAACAAATGCTGTAGTTCCAAACCTATTCTGCCTGCGTCCAAGTCACAAATCAGGGACCCTGTGACATGAGGGAGAGAGGTGTTCTCAGCCCATGTGTCAATGTTTATTGAGTGCCTCTCTGAGGGCAGTACATGAGGCCCAAATCCTCCTTGAGGAATGAAGGCCTCCTTGCCCTGGCTGCTGGGAGGCTGTCAGCAGACTCAGTGGCAGCCCCCTCCAAGGACTGACTTGGCTGAACGGAGTCACCTGGCCAGGGTTCACACCTCCTGTCCAGGGCAGCCCGCAGCCAAGGATAGGAAAATACAAAGGGCCTCCAACTAGGGGCAACTCTGAAGGACCTTTTTGGCTGCAGAAGTCCCCACACATCAGAGGAAGCTAACACTGTGCCTGCAGCCCAGCCACCCTTCAACCCTTCTTCCCTCTTCCCCCTTTCCCAAGCCTTAACCCCAGAAGCACCCCTTGGAATAACAAATGCCCTTCAAGTTAATCTTGGCGCAGACTCTGCTTCCTAGGGAACCCACCAGCACGTGTGATGCCCCAGGCCAGGCCCCTAAAAAATACATGGTTGAAAACCCCATCACCACCTCAGGGCTTCTCCCTCTGCCTGTCTGACCCACTTTTGATTTGTCCTCTCAATGGTTGCCCTACATCCTGCTTCACCTTATAATAAAGTCTACTGAGATCACAGTGAACTGTAAGGGCTGTTAATAGGCATTAAGATGTGCCCTGTCTACCCAGAAAGGCTGTACACACCCAGTGGCAGAGACTTACAAATGTCTTCTGTGCCTGGCACAGTGCAGTGCACAGGTAGTAAATGTCATGGAGCGATGGTGATGGGCAGCACATGAAATGATGGCATTAGCTAATGCTAAGTGCCAAATGCATGGTGAAGACAGAAAGTATCGCAGGTACTTGGATATGGGAGACCCTCAAGAAACTCCAGGGAAATCATAAGCAAAGCTTTTAGAACTCAAACTCTCTAGCAACAATGGAGGTTTCATTTCTGGAAAAAAGTTTTGCTCCTGGTGGCATCTGCACTTACTCAGAGCTTGATTCTCTAGCTTGTCACCCCTTTTTCCTACCATCTGGGATCCTGTCTGTGCTGATTATCAGCTCTGGAGAGAAAGAGTCAAATCTGAAATGTTTAGTGGATCTGGCCAAGGGTCTGCTTGGAGAGTCAGCTAAAATGGATGGCTTCTTGGCGGATTGTGGCTCTCTGTGACTTTTCATCTCACCAAGTAATTCTGCTGGCCCCAAACCTATAATAGCAGCCTCTGCCATTAGGATCGTGTCCCATTTTTCTCCCTTGTATTTAAGGTTTCCTGCTCACATAGATATTGCCCCACTCTCATTCCCTGCAGCACTATGTATCTTTAGGGCACATTTTTGTGCTTAAGAACAGTTGTTATTTTTGTCCTTTAGTTGTTTCCTGTGTAGTTCTCCCTTCTTCATGGGGATGAAGAGCTGCAGGCCAAGCATCTTCTGTCTTTTGTCTGCTGTCTAGAAGGCAGTTTGGAAAAGAAGAGCATATGTTTTGGAGTCAGAAGATTTATGATTTGGTACAAGCTATTAATCCTTTCTAAGCCTCAGTTTCCTAATCTGGAAAATGGGGATACTAGGACCTTCTTCATAAGGCTGATGGGATTAAATGAGTGAATGTATATAAAACCCTGAGCACAGTGCCCAGTAATGTAGCAAATGATCGATAAAGTTAAGCACTGTTTTTCTTCTTTAATAGCATTCAAGGGCCCTGTTTCTTAGCAAGTCAAATAATAAAGAGGATACTTGGCCAAAAGAAGTAAAAATAAGATAAAATAATTATTAGGTTGATAGTTATCTAAATACAAGGATAACCTCTCCAAACATGGAAGGGAAAGTAGATAGATGGTTTGATGGAGCTCTGGGCCATGGGTGGATTTTTTTTCTTTCTGCAAGTTTATTTTAATGTTTTTATAATGTTCTTTATGCTATATATATATATTTTTAATTTTTATAGAGATAGAGTCTCACTATGTTGCCCAAGCTGGTCTTGAACTCCTGGCCTCAAGCAATCCTCCCACCTCGGCCTCCCAAAGTGTTAGGATTATAGGCACAAGTAACTGCACCTGGCCTGTGCTATAATTTTAAAAAAATGAGCAAGAAGATATGATGGTTTTCATATTTAACTGTCTGGCAACACTCCCATCCCTGGGTGAGTATAAGCAGAAAGTAAATGTTGATGGGCCAGAGTGATCTCATGCATAGAGATGGTATCTCAGTTCATGGCCACATGAAGATACACATTAAACAGGCAGATTCTGCGTCAGAATTTCTAATGAGGAGAACTAAAAATCTGCATTTTATTAGATAAGTTCTTCATATAATGATATGCTCCTGAAAGTTTGAGAGATTCTGGCCTTCTGGAAAGAACACTGGATTTGGAGATCCAAGTTCTAGTCAGCTCTGCCGCTGTCTTCACAAGTCATGGGTCCTCTTGCGTCCCATTTTGCTCTTCTCCTATAACACTTCCACTTCCAGCTCGATGGTCATTATGGCCCCTTTTGAAGGGAGAAAGGATCAGTCACATTCCCCACTGGGAACCCATGCCAAAGGAGAAAACTTGGCCAGAGAGCCTGGATTCCTGAGGATAGCTAAATAATCTTTGGGACAAATAAATATTCAGCAAGTGATCAGGCCTCAGCAGAAGCAAAGTGCATGCCTATTGTTGCCAACCCAAATAAAGAAGTTGCACAGCCTGCATTTCCTTGGGGGAGCCAATATCCTATTTCTGTTTCATGGCTGGCAGCTCTGTAACTCAGTCCAGCATCTCTACTTACGCCAGCCTCCCTGTGGACCCACATGAGGCTGTGCCTCCTCTCTCACTAGCACCGCAGAGAGAAAGGACTGCAGAAGGGAAAGGACAGAAACATCAGTCAATTTGGCTTAGCTTTGGTAAAAGAATGAAATGGTTAAAAGGAGGTTTAGCATTATGAGTAGGTTTCCATGGAGTGTGAGTGTGCTCTCTGAATTGAGAAAGTCTTACTGAAAAGACGCAGGAACAAAGAGGCAGTCATCAATGACACTGAAATTTGCTTGTCTCACTGGATGAAGGCCCATTTGTGTCCAGGCCCAGTGTGGTGGCTCACGCCTGTAATCCCAGCACTTTGGGAGGCTGAGGTGGGAGGACTGCTTGAGGCCAGGAGTTTGAGACCAGCCTGGGCAACACAGTGAGACCCTGTCTCTATTAAAAAAAATAAAAATAAAAACAAAAAAATTAGCCAGGTGTGGTGGCACATGCCTGTAGTCCTAGTTACTTGGGAGGCTGAGGTTGGAGGATCACTTGGGTCCAGGAGTTCAAGGTTACAGTGAGCTATGTGGTATCACCACACTGCAGGCTGGGGAACAAAGACCTTGTCTCTAAAATAAATAAATAAATAAATGATTCTGGGTCCAGTTTAATTTAAACTGAGCTTTGATGTACTGGGTAAACCCTTCACAGAAAAACAAATCATGGCTGATCACTTAATTTTTCCTGATGAAAAGTCTCATAATTGCAGACTAGTCAGTATATAATATCAGGACTTCCTATACCTTTAGCCTGGAATCTCTGGTTGGCACATGTTAATCCAAGTTTATAGAAATTTGGCTCTTCACAAAGGATCTTTCACATAGTTTTCTTTTTGCAAGGAGACGGCCTAATTAAAATGATACATTTGACCAGTTCTCAGTTTACATTCACCTTCTTGCATAAGTAGCATGTAATGACTTTAACCAATCTAGGTCGTAGAAAGATATTCTATAGAAGGCAGTTACCCGGGCCAGGTACCTGCATCTTGGAGGGCTTGAGTGTTTACCATACTGACTTTCAGATAGTATTCTCGGGGGCACAGTCTGCATTTTCTCTTTAGATTTGGGATGCTCTTACTTGCCCTGATCCATCCTTTCAAACACCTGCCCCACTCCATAATAATGGTCACGCTTTTACCAATGAAGCCAGTGCTTTCTCATTAAGCTTGTAGATGGTGTCTAATTGCATGTGGTCTCTAACATTTCTAAAGATAGAAATAGATATAAACATTACCTTCATACATTTTAGAGATAATGCAAAAACACAAACATTCTCAAAGCCAAGGGAAATGTAGTAAAGACAAATAAAAGATGCAGCGTTTACCCCTAGTTTTATCTGAAATACAGGAATAGTCACTGGAAAAGGCCTGAAGGTCTTGGTGAACCCCAGATTTTATATATACATTTTTACGGTGGAACTGTTTTTTAAAAGCTGTGTTGATACAGAAATGTATGAAGAGACATAGAACTTAGCCTGTATATATTCTTCCTCTTTTCTCCAACATTAATCAAACTATTATTTGGGGGTATCAAGTAGAGCTTTACAAGCAAAATGGGGAGAAATGGAAAAACAGGTACAGGGCGTAGTAACTAGTTTGGGTGAACTGACTTTAACAAGCACGCTTTCAACAATACCAGGGAAGCCCAGAGGTCGATGAGCAGATAGGTGAGGGATCACCTATCATGAGGGATCAGAGATGATGGGAGAGCTCAGTAGGTTAAGCCTGGAGATGGAGGTAGGTTAGCTTCAAGTATTTGCCAGGCAGCCTGGGGAAGGGGGCTAAACTTTATGTAGGCTTGATCCAGACGGTTAAAAAAGGCTAAGTGTATACATACACATATGATAGATATATATTAGAAAACCAGTTTTAGGGCAAAAGAAGAAAGTTTTCAAATAAGTTGGAGCTCTCCTCCAAAAGAATGGCTGATTCCTAATAAAGCAGTGAGTTCCCTGTCATGGGACATGTTCAAGAAGAAGAACTGACCATTTGTCAAGAACAACATGGAGAAGATTCTGGCTTTAGATAAACTCTGAGCATCAATTCAGTGCTCAGGCTGAAGACTTTTATAAGCAAGAACAGTCACAGAGATAGAAAATGAGATGGAAGAGGGGTGGCTTAAGGTCTTCTTACAAGTAGTAGTAAAGCTGTAACAGGAATGTTCTAGAGAAGATTTTAAATCATGAGTGGGAGGATCAGAAGCCTGTCACATTTCTCTCATTTGATTCTTCATATAACACCTGATTGGCCCATGAAGAGAGTTATAATCAATGATCTCCAGCTCTCAGCTCTGGGATCCTACAGGTCGGTACAACCACCTCATCGGCTCTGCAGCTGAGATGGTAACATGACCCTCTCCTGTGGGTGGAACAGACTGGAATTTGTCAAGGGTTTACCAAACTAGAATGAACAGGGGTCTAAAATCAAAGTCTGGTTTAGTCCCTGGAAAGTCATGTTTGACAAAACATAATACCATGGGGTTTTCCTTCTTCCTTCCTGGTAAGAAGGAAATAAAGTGCTGTAAACTTTGCACTTTATTTTCCTGCCATGTGCAGCATTAAAATTAAATAATTTTCCTCCTTGATTTAAAAGATTAATTTTGTTTCCTCTGTTAAGAAAAAAGTTGTTTCAATAATGCCTTTGAAATTACAGACCCCGATGTCCCGATGTCTTCTGTTCAAATTGTTTTACCTGCAATGGGCTGGCTCTACTATGCCTTATTTTGAGAAAACCTGCAAAAATCCAAGAGCAAAGGGAAAAATCCAGTAATAATTATTCCCTCATCAAAGGGTCCTCCATCTTGCACAATAGTTCAAAGAAACATAAAGCCTTACAGCCAAAAGCTGGAGCCTTAGAGATAAAGTTGATGGTGGTGGTAATGATAACAGTCATTGCCATTTATTCAACATGTCCTTTATGCCAGGACATGTGTTAAGCCTTGTGATGGTTAATACTGTGTCAACTTGATTGGATTGAAGGATACAAAGTATTGTTTCTGGGTATGTCTATGAGGGTGTTGCCAGACGAGATTAACATTTGAGTCAGGGAACCGGGAAAGGCAGAACCGTCAGTCTGGGTGGCACCATCTAATCAGCTGACAGCATAAAAGCAGGAATGAAAAGAGCAGACTTGCTGAGTGTTCTGGTCTTCATCTTTCTCCCATGTTGGATGCTTCCTGCCCTTGAACATCAGACTCCAGGTTCTTCAGCTGTTGGACTCTTGGACTTACACCAGTGACCTGCCAGGGGCTCTCAGGCCTTTGGCCACAGACCGAAGGTTACACTGTTGGCTTCTCTATTTCTGAGGTTTTGGGACTGGGACTGGCTTTCTGGCTCCTTAGCCTGCAGATGGTCTATTCTGGGACTTCACCTTGTGATCGTGTGAGTCAATACTCCTTAATAAACTCCCCCTCATATATTTATCTATCCTATTAGTTTTGTCCCTTTAGAGAACCCTAATACAAGCCCTCTTAAATATATTATTTCATTTAAGCCTCAGGACAATCCTGAGAAGTAAATAACAATGACCATATTTTATGGATGAGGAAATCCCATTCCAGAGGCTGAGGAGAGTTGAGTACTTCAGCCTGAGGTGCCACAGAAGCTAGGCAGCAGAGCTGGGATTTCAATCCAGGCAATCCGACGTGATGCCAAGCTGCCTCCACTAGGTATCACACTGTCCAGGCATCTTTCAACTTTCTTTGTAGCATTAGAAGCCCCACCCTTTTATCCCCCCAAAGGAAGATTTACACAGACCCTTAAGACATATACCCAATCAAAATGGAGTTTCTTTGGCAAATAAATACACAGGGAAGAAGTGTTCAAAGCCAGTCCCCGACACCTGAAGTGACACTGAGGAATCCTAAGGTCCCCTGGAACCCAGTTTGTAAACCAGAAGTTTAGTCCAAATCCCTCATTTTATGGAAAAAGAAGAACTGAAGCTGAGAGCAGTACTGTAACTGGCTCGGTCACCTTACTAGTTTGTGGCTGGTTGTAGATTTGAACCCAGTTTTTCCCCAAGGTATCTTGAAAGAGTTAGGGACCTCAGCTTCACCTTTCAGGTAGCCTCTGGCCTGCAATGTGCTTAAAACCATTCAAAGCTCTTTCCTATCTGTCTGTTGTTCTGAAAAAGCAGAACTGAACTTGGGCAACCTTGTATCCTTGAATCTAAATTATCATTATCCCTCCCAAATTTATATTTAAAAAATACACCTGTGGCAAAGATTACCAGTTGTCACCCAAATGGCGTTCTCCTCTTCTTCCACAGAAATATAACTTTGAGTTAGACCCTAGGCCACCCATGGAAAACTCCATCTCTCAGCTGTTTATGACCAGCGGGATGTGTGTAGAATTGATGTGCGCAGCTGCAGGATCAGGTCTGGAAAAAGAGGGGCATGTCCTGCCTTTCATCCTTTTTTCCTTCCTTCTGGCTAAACTGCAGGCACAATGGGAGCCATTCTGAGCCATGCCCATGAGGACAATATCTCAGGAAAAGTGAACAACAAGATAGAAGGAGCCTGGGTCCCCAAGGCTGTGGAACTGCTGTGCCATGGTGGACTGCTTGTCCTGTAGTGCTATATGAGAAGGAAGTAAATTTCTGAATTGTTTAAACAACTAATATTCGGGGCTGCAGCTTCCACCACAACTTAGACAGAAGAGGGCATGTGCACTGGATCCCTTCATCAGGAAGCCCTGGATCTCCCCCCCCAACACAATTATGAAAGAACACATGAGCACCCAGTGGCTCAGGACCCAGTGCTGGGCACCGACACAGCACGAGCGAGTGGGCACCTGAACATCCACTTATGTGACTAATGTTCAGCCTTCAGGGAAACATTTCTCCACATCTCTTGCCCTAGTCCTCAAAACAAAAGGCTACTGTGTCCAAATGTTGTGAAAGATTGGGGATTGTGACATCGCCAACATCAGAGACAGACGCAGAGTACAGGGAGAATCTGAGCAGTGCCAGCCCTTAAGTATTGACTCAACAACTCCTCCCTCAGAGACCAGCAATGTAACAGATTCCTGAATAACCAAGAAGTATTGCTTCCCAGAAGGGAAGAATCCTCATTTTCTTGATTCTATTCATATTCCAATTCTTGATTCTACCAGTACCACTGAAGTAGTGTGATAACCACAAGAGTTACATATGAAAGTTATGGAATAGTTTGCAATATTAAACAATTCGTAACCTTTAAATATATACACATCTAGATAGGTCTAGAGATAATACGTGTGACATGTGAAACTGATTTTTTAAAATTTTTAATTTTTGTGGGTATGTAGTAGGTGTACATATTTATGAGGTATACGGGATATTTTGATACAGGTGAAACTGATCCTTTATATTGGCAACTACATATACTTGAAAAGCTAGAGTTAAAAATGGTTTTATTTTTATAAAAATATGATTCAAATAAGTGTTTTAAAAATTAAGTAACAATTTCAACCTTATTTAAATTTAAATTTAAAATTTGGTATTATTCATGTGTTTTGATCTTAAATTTTAGATATTTAGATATTTTAAATACTGTTTAAAATTTTTGAAAAACATTAATTTAGAATGTTTTAATTTTGATTTATTAGTTTAAATTTACATTTTGATAGTAATTCATTCAAATTTGACACACATTTAATTTTTTAGTCTTTTAGGTCCTTACTGACAACTGAACACTAGTTATATAAAGCAACATTAATTAAGGATTATTCTGAAATGAAGGCAAGAAAATTTGCTATAGTATATATAATTTATGAATTATATGTATATGTTATTGTTTCATCCAAACATTGTCCATTAGCAGAATACCCAACAGGCATAATAATAAATTCTATTACCTTTAACATTTTGCCAACTTTCAATGATATCAAGACCATAGCTTTCCACATGTCACTATAAAGATATATTGTCAATATAGTTGAATAGAATATATTAAACAGCAATTTATAACTTTTAATTACTTAGACATGGTATTTCATTCATTTGTCTTCTTGTCCTGAGCTCTACAAATGTTAGAAAAGGGGCTGATTTAGGGTCTCTCTTAGGGCAATTAAACTTATGTCCTAAACAATGCAATGCCCTGGCTTACTTCCTAGATAAGTCAGAGCCCACAATAGTATAAAAGTAAAATGCTACTTCAAATCATAAAAATAATTCATTGGTTATTATTCTACAGCCTATGTATGGTGTATATAAGACTTACAATCTCTGTAGAACTATGTGTCACACAAGGATTGTTTTGAGACAATCAGTGTTTGCAGATACGTGCATGTATTAGTTATCTATTGCTTTGTAACAAATCACTATAAATTTAGCAGCTTAAAACAACACATATTAATGATATCCCAGTTTCTGTGGGTAAGGAGTGTAGACACAATTTAGTTGGGTCCTCTGCTCCGGGGTCACAAGGCTTCAATCAAAGTGTCAAATGGGCTGCATTCTCATCTGGAGGCTTGCCTGGGGAAGAATCCAAGCTCATTCAGGTTGTTGGCAGAATTTATTTCCTGGCAGCTGTAGGATTTAGGGACCCAGCTTCTTACTGACTACTGGCTGGAGGCTACTCAGGTCTTAGAGGCCACACACAGCTTCCCGCCATGTGGCTCTCTTCACAGGCCCTCTCACACACGGCTGTGTGCTTTTTCAAAGCCAACAAGAGACACTCTCTTCTGTCTGCTAAGACAGAGTCTTCTATAACATAACATGATCATAGGAGTGACACCCCATTACTTTTGCCATATTCTATTGGTTAGATGCACAGGATCTGCCATGATCAAGGGAGAGGATTATACAGGGGGGCTACTATAAAGGGGTTATATTCATTGCAAGTCACCTTAGGATGTGTTTGCCACAATGTGTTTTCTAATGTCCTGTAAGGATGAAAAAAAGTCTTGTAAAAGTTCTCACTTGCTTCACCTAGAGAAGCAAGTTGGCAGACACGATTTTCAGAGATTCATCCAGGGCCTTATGTTTCTCCGGCTACAAGGTTCCACACCAGGAACTCTGCAGAAACTGGCATTGTTGTTTGCCAAAGATCTTTATAGCCTTTCTAAGTATCTAATCAAATCACTCAAGATGGGAACCTGTCACTTTCTGCTTTCTGTCTAGTTAGAAGATTCTAGGTGTACTACTCATGCCCTTAGAGAAGACATTTCACAATGTTTAAAGGTTGTAGGCTGTGAATTCAGCAATAATTTCCTGCTAGCTCCATGACTGCAGGGTGCTATAGGATGTACACAGAAGATGACCCCAATCCTGTCTTCTTAGAATTTGCATCCCTGCTGGCAAGAAAAAACAAGAAAAATGTCCAAGAATGCAATTCTGCTCTAATGTCATCCCTTCCATGATGAGCCCTCCAGTCACAGATTCCTCCTCTCAGTATGCACATAAATATACAGCTCTTGTTCTATGCCCTCACAAGTCCTGTTTAATTATCCACCTGAAATCTTTCTCTCCCGCTATACTGGGAGCTCCCTGAGGGTAGGGGTGACATACTCATATCTATATGTCCAAGACCTAGAATTATCCCTGACACAAAGCCATTGCTTATGATAGGTTTAGATGAATGGAGGTATGCATGGCTGGATATATGGATTATAGCGAATTAGCTGTGAAATGGAAAATATTATAGGACTGCAGGTGTAAAACCTTGTTCAGGCCATAACACTTCTCTGAACTTGTATCCAGTCTCTCCATCAGTAAAAATGAAATTGTACAATATTCAGCAAAAGATCCAGACATAAATGAGTATTCTCTTCTAAAATCCATAAAATATAAAATTCAAGATCAGACAAAACTAATCTAAGGTCAGAATGGGAGGGTGAAGAGAGCTTCCTAGGAGGGAGCCTAAAGAAGTCTTCTAGGGTACTAGAAATAGTCTATGACCTTATCTGGTCACATAGTGTAAACATGTGAAAACTCTGTCAAGCTATGCATTTCAGGTTCCTGGGGTTTGTTTTATGTAACTCATACTTCGATCTTTAAAGATTATGGAGTGTGCCTGAGGGCTCTATGTAAAGAACAGCCCCATTCCTGCATAAAGAGTCAGTATTCTGATCAGGGAAAGTGATGTCAATGGTGTGATCATCTCAAAGAATCCAGCAAGCACCAGAGTACTTCTCAGTTGTTCAATCCAGTGTTCCTGCATCTTGCTGACGTGGGCAGGTGACTCCAGAGGAATGTTTTCATTTCCTCTGGGCCATTTTATCTTTCTCTGCAAACCCTGAAGATCAAACGCTACGTCATTAAATGACTCCCTGAAGCCTTCCCTGAGGCCAGGGAACAATGTTCCCACTGTCAGAGAGATGGGCAGCTCTCCCATGGGATCTTATCTGCAAGGTTACATTCTGGCCTGGGCCTAGATAAGGAGCTCAGCGACACCTTCTAGCAAAAGGTCAGCTGTGCTCACTCATTTGGTGAAGATGCACCCAGGGCTGCTCCTAAGGTGATTTCTCTGTTGCAGATTTTCTGCAGCCATGAGCAAGTAACTTCTGAATGTTCTCTTGATATCTCCACCTTAATTTTTTAAAACATGATAAGTTGCACGTTATTGGGCTCATGACGGGAAGAAGATGCCAAGGAAGGCACAACACTGGGAGCCTCTAGAGATGGCAGAATAAAATAGCTTTTCCAAGCACACATACTTTTGGAGAAATGGTGTCTCTAAGTGAGTATATTGGAGGTTGGTAAGAAACAATTACTCCAAGTCATGTGATCATGCTCCCTTTCCTGAACTCAAACTCTACCTGAACCTACCCAAATTTGAGACATTTTGTCACGTAAGCGAGAACCTGCTCTTTGCTTGTTGGGTTCATGTCACTCATGTAAGAAGACTGTCAGTTCATTCACAGCCAGTCAACACCTCAAGCATGTCCTTCTTCTCTGCAGTCCCTGGCCCAGGGCTGGACACACCCTCGGTGGTCATTAAATAGTTGGTGACCTAAGTACATGTCCAAATCTGGTAGTTATATAGTTCAAGCATAGAATAGCAGCCCTCACCAAGAACTGTCCTTTGCACTAGACAATTACTGGGAGAAGTAACATATTAGGCCTCAAGATGCTCACTGTCAAGTGGAGAAAGGGGAGAAGGAGAGGAGAACTTGATCAGTTATATCTTTTTGCTGTGATAGAAGCCCAGGAGAGGGGGTAAATGGGAGTATCATTCGCTCCCTGCACACCATCTGTTCAGTCTCATCGTTTTATCAATAAAGAAATGGCAGCACAATAACGTCTACCATTTATGAAGCTCTTGTCTCTCAGCCCTGAACGATCCCTTCTAGTCTCTGTTCAATTATACTGGGCTGGAAATCAGAAAATCTGCAAATCACAGTGCTCCTTGACAGCTGGCTCTCTGTTGTTTCTGCCAACAGGGGGCACTAGAGGGAGGCTGCAAGGCAGGAGGAGGGCTGCTCCTGCAGCTCACCCAGTGATGGCTCTTCACCCTGGCGTTGAACTTGGTTGTGGTTTCCCATTTTCCCACACTCCCAGAACCAGCCTCACCATACCCCTCAGAGGTACCAGCAGCCTCTGGGCAGTGCCCAGTTCTCCAAGGTCTGAGCCTCTGCTCTGGGAGGCCCTCCTGCAAGGACCTAAGATACCGACACCAGCCAAGTGATGGTCCCTCCTCTGAAGGCTGAGCTGTAGTTCTATGAGCCCCACTTCTCCAAGCTTCTGTCCTCTGTTCCCTTGGCCTTGGGGGTGGCGGCTGCTTCCTGTGGTTATATCTCTATGTTACCTCAGGGTAGGCCTCCCATGCCTGTTTAACCAACTCCCTCCTTAAACTCTGCTAAAGTAAATGGTGTGGTTCTGGTCTTCTAACCATGACCCTGGTTGGTACAGAAGGGAGGTGACAAGATCGTAGACAAGTTAATTCACCTCTTGCAAAATTCCATTTTCTTTTTCTGCAAAAATGGGTATAATAACAGTACCCATGTTATATGGTTGTGAGAAGGAATTATTGGAGCGATGTTGGTAAAGTCCTATCTGTACTACTTGGCACATAGTATCTGGCAGAATGGGAACCAGGATCCAGGCTTCATGACCCAAGATCTTAATTTTTCTGTCTGATATATCCACCATATCTACAGACCAATATGACCAAAGAGAGTACAGCATAGCAAACAAGTGGGCCTTAGAGCCAAACTGTCTAGATTCAAATCCTCCCTCCACCATTTACTACCTATGTGACCTATGGCAAGTTACTTAACCTCTCTGTGCCTTGGTTTCCCCATGGTAAAATGGTGGTAGCAGAACCTATCATAGGGACATTAATACAATCAAGCACTTAGAATAGTACCTAGCATGTAGAAGAACAGTACCTGACATCCTCATGATCATCAAGAATCGATAGTGGCAAAGTAGAAGGAGTGCATTCTCGTCACAAACACCTGTGTTTAAATCTCCTTGACTGTGTGAGCCTCTCCTTGACTGTGTGTCCTGGCAAGTCACTTTACCTACATGAGCCTCAGTTTCCCCAGCCCAAGAAGAAGACATATCTCGCCGCCCCGTCCGGGAGGGAGGCGGGGGGCAGCCCCCGCCCGGCCAGCCGCCCCGTCTGGGAGGTGGGGGGCGCCTCCGCCCGGCCGCCGCCCCGCCCGGGAGGTGGGGGGCGCCTCTGCCTGGCCGCCCCTTCTGGGAAGTGAGGAGCCCCTCTGCCCGGCCGCCACCCCGTGTGGGAGGTGTACCCAACAGCTCATTGAGAACGGGCCATGATGACGATGGCGGTTTTGTCGAATAGAAAAGGGGGAAATGTGGGGAAAAGATAGAGAAATCAGATTGTTGCTGTCTGTGTAGAAAGACGTAGACATAGGAGACTCCATTTTGTTCTGTACTAAGAAAAATTCTTCTGCCTTGGGATGCTGTTAATCTATAACCTTACCCCCAACCCCCTGCTCTCTGAAACATGTGCTGTGTCCACTCAGGGTTAAATGGATTAAGGGTGGTGCAAGATGTGCTTCGTTAAACAGATGCTTGAAGGCAGCATGCTCGTTAAGAGTCATCACCACTCCCTAATCTCAAGTACCCAGGGACACAAACACTGCGGAAGGCCACAGGGTCCCCTGCCCAGGAAACCCAGATACCCTTGTTCACTTGTTTATCTGCTGACCTTCCCTCCACTATTGTCCTATGACCCTGCCAAATCCCCCTCTGTGAGAAACACCCAAGAATGATCAATAAATACTAAACAAAAATAATAATAAAATAAAATAAAAAAAAGAAGACATATCTCACAGGCTGGAGGGGTAAACATAATACAGCATGCAAAATGGGCAGTATAATGTCTGGCAAGCAAGTGCTTGATAAAAAGCATCTGCTGCTGTGACTAATTTCATCAAATCTGATGGCCCCCAAAATCTCTCTTTTGGATCATTGGTCCCTGCATGAAGTGAGTTTAGAACAAAGATAACACCTTGAGTTGTCATTGTAAAAAAAAGGAAGTGGATCTGTATCTTCAAGGTATCCCACACTGAGGGATGACACTCTCAGATGATAAACAACAAGAACTCTCAACCAGGATGAGGGAAGCAGAAGCTCGGAATGTTAACTCCACTCTACTCACTGACTTGCTATCACATGGCCTAGTGAAGTTATAAATTATAATTGACATCTTATCTACTTCCAAGAAGGATTTTCAGTGACCTACAATAAAATGTTATACATTTAAAACTTAAAGTCAGAAACAGATATCTGAATCCTCAGGGGTGAAGGAGGAGCAGGGGGAGAATGAGTAAACATTATCCACCATGATCCTCAGTCAAAACAGTTATATTTTCAAGTATCAAGTAAATCCTGGTTTCCAACGGGCAAGGTAAAAAGGGAAATGTAATTGGTTATGTAATGCTCATTTTTGATTAGGGAAAGGTATAATTTTATTGAAAAAATTCCATGATACTAAATAGAAAAATTAATTAAATGAGACTTTAAGTGAGGGATATTAAATAGCATAATGGATAGTGTCTTCAATGGTAGCTCTTGCAAATTATAAGAACTCATTATGTGGCTTCTTATTATAGGGTCCAATAGATGAAGGCTGTTGCAATACAAGATTGGTAAATTGTCTTTAAACCCATCAGAGATGACAGTCACAGCTTATTCAGGCCAGGAAGGGGAGTAGCACAGTTTCTTAAGACAGTTCCAGAATATAAATGATTTTTTCCTGTCAAAAAAGACATGAACATGGCTGAGAATGGAAAGATGACAATTGGCCTTGGATGACTGATGGAAATACATGGGTACATGACTGAGAGTGGTTCCTAAGGATCTGCCAATCACCACGTGGCCTTCTTACTGTGTGCGTCAGAACTGGTAACCCAATTCGTCCCTCCAGGCTATTTCCTCTCACCTCCACTGCTCAGAGCAGCGCTTTTCTGGAGGCAAGATTCTTCATTCTTGCCCTGTCACAGGGCCACTGTGGATCACGTCAAAATAACACACACAGCCAAGAACAGTGATCAAAGTAGCAAAGGGGACAAGAGATAAAAGAAAAAATCCAAAGGCCTGGACCTGAGGCAGGATACACAGAGCTGAAGAACTTTAGATTTAGAATGAGAAGATCTGGGCTCATATCCTACTTCCTCCACTTAACCATTTGTGAGATCGTAAGCAAGTTAATTCACCTCTCGAAAATTCCATTTTCTTTTTCTGCAAAAATGGGTATAATCACAGTACTCATGTCGTGTGGTTGTGAGAAGGAATTATTGAAATGATGTTAGTAAAGTCCCCTCCCCCCTGGCCCCATTAGTATTTGGCACATAGTAAGTGTTTATTAAATGTCAGCTGTAATGATGAGGACTAAGAGAATGGTGATGTGATGCTTTGCATACAAAGATGATACTGTATCATTCCGCAGAGAGAGGTTATGCTGCAGTAAGAAACAGCATCAAAATCGCACTGGCTTAACACTGCCAGGTTTATTTCTTAACCACGCTATGTGTGCAACATGCATTGACAGGGACTCGGCTCACGTAGTCACTTGGGGTCCCAGCCTGACACAGGCTTTGAACTTTCACATGTGCCTCCAGGATTACAGCAGCGGCAGTGAACTGGGCACCAGCTCTTAGAGCTTCTGTCCAAAAGTGTCACTTCTGCTCACACACATTGGACAGCTGCCTGTTTTTCTACATGAAGTTTTACTGCCACACAGCTATGCCTGCCCCATTGCACAGTATCTGTGACTGCTTCCGTACTTCAACAGCAAAGTTGAGTAGTTGCAAAAGAGACTGTATGGCCCATAAGCTGAAAATATTTTCTACCTAGTCCTTTAAGAAAAAGTTTGCCAATCCCAGCCTTGGTTTAGGTAGGTCACACAGTCACACCTAACTTTGAAGCAGACAGGAAAATGCAATGCTATGTTCCCAGAAGGCAGAAAATTAGAAATATTTGGTAGATAGCACTGAAGACCACCGTTAGTCATCCCAGGCTACCAATAGATAGGGCAGCATTTTTGCATTACTTTTCTAGATGCAGGCATGAATGTAAACGGAATGTAACATTGCTAGGCTAATCTCACTCAAGCACTACTTTGAACAGGCAACATCCCTGCTCACTAGTGTATTAAAGACAAAATCCCTAGTGTATTAAAGACAAAATCCCAACTCCTCTGCTTGACACTTAAGACCCTCAAAAATCTGGCCCCTTTCACCTGGTCTATAATATTCCCCCACTGTTCTTTGCCAGGATTCCTTTGCTTATATCTGTCAAATCGCCATCAAAAACTAAGACCATGTCCACAATCACACAGCCAGTGGCAGGCGGGGTTCTCCCCATGTCTGTCTGACTCCAGGGCACGTTCCCATTCCCTCTGCAGTGCTCTTGTTTTATCATGATACCTGTTATTTCTGCCACCCCCGCCCCCGCCACCTCCTTTTTCTTTGACTCCATGAGAAATGTAAGCCCTTATTTTCTGCTGCAGCCCAGACTTTCCTGTGGTTCAGGATGCCTTGCCAAAGCATGTGGACCAAGCCAGAGTCTGCCCTCATGACTCTTCCCCTTTGAGTTCGTGATCTCTTATCTTTCCCTCTGACTGCCACTAACCTAAAGAACAAGAAGATCCAGGAGGAAGTGAGACCAGACTGAGACATGGGACAGAGGCTGCCATGTTCGCTGGAGCAGGAGAGTGGCAACCAGGTGAGCTGTATGGAGGAACGAGCGCAGGCACTCTGCTAGGGAAGGCCTGCCCCGGAAGGAGGCTGGGCCATGGGTCCTCCTCCCCTCTACCTCCTGCTTCTTGTTCCCTGGAAGGAATGACAGCTCAACTGCCCCTCTGAGAGACATCCCAAATGAAAACCACCTCAGGCCTGAACTGAATATCTAAGGAGATCGGCAAACTGCCCAGTTAGAAGTGACCCTGGAAAAACTTTTGAGGACAAACACGCTGGCCATAGGAGCAGGGGCATAAAGAGTTTCTCTTGCAAGGTGGAAGCAGCTTCCACTGCTGACTGGTTTTGTTGGGCCCTAGAGCAGAGGACCCACCTCTAGGAGAAGTAATATAACCCATGTTTCCTCAAGATCCCTTCCAAATGGATCCAAATCTTTGTCCCTGACATTTCTCCCTCAGAGCAGTACCTGAATCTTCCTGGGAGCCCTCTGCTGCCTCTTTACTCTGCACAAAGACCAAGGCTGAGCTGGTCCCAGGGAAAAGATGTTTCCCCAGTGCCCATCCAGTAGTTAAAAGCATGGCCCAGAGAGGCAGACAGATCTGGATTTCAACTTGATCTCCTCTGTACTTAGTTGTGTGACTTTACATAAGTCACTTAACATCTCTGAGCCTCAGTTTCCTCATTATATAAAGCATCTGCCTTGTAGGGTTGATGGCATCTGCATCAAAGCGTTGATGTGTGCACAGGGCCTGGTACATAGTGAGAGCTCAGTAGGTGGCAGAGTCTATGGCAGTAATGTCAGGCTGTAACTACCATCCTCCTGCACCCTCTGCTCCTTAATAGAGAAATATGTTCAATAATTTAAGGCTCTGTCTCTTGCACTATCATTTGTTACAGAGCCTCAAATCCCTTAGCTGTTGATGAATTTATGTGTCTCTGCACAAGACAAGTCAGAGTCCAGACCGGATCACATCCTAGTCACCAGTGGGGCAAAGCCCCCTGCTCCAGGCCATTGCACTCTTGAGACTGGCAGCTGTTAACAGCCAAGGGAAACTTGAGCACAGCAACGCAGTGAAATACCCATGCTCTTTCCCTCATACTAAAATATATCTGCTCCAAACTCAGCAAAACCTAACAGTGGATAAGGTCTTTTAGACCAAGACAAAAAGTAGAAGTTAAACATAGAACTTAGAAAAGGGGCTGCTTTATTTACAAGTATCAGTCTCTTTCTCAGATCGATTATTCTACACGCTCTGTTCTCACATGTATCTATAAAACTGTTTAGGATTTAGCAAGAGTCAGATTTGGGAGTTGTTTTTCTAAAAGAGTAAGCAAGCTTATACCTCATGGATTAGGGGTATTTTGCAATTACTAACCATGGAAAGTGATGCCTTATTTATCCGGTATGAAGTGAGAACTGGATATGTTATATAAATTATATAAATTGCTTTAACAAATAACAAGAGCATGATTGATCACTCTCAGCATCAAAACTTTAACATTCACCACTATGTTGGAAGTTCTAAAGCATATCACATACTTTCCTGCCTCATTAAACAAAGCATGCTAAAAATCAGTTAATAATCTCTCAGTAACTCAAAATCATCACTATAAACATCAACCGTTACCCTAGGCTTTAGAACAATGACATGGTTTGAGAAGTACTGAGGCATGGGGCTATTTTTTCCTACCTAAATGATCCCAGAATTTGAGTTTTTTTTCTTGTCTTGTCCTTATACTTCTATGACTCTTTCTTCACTATCAGCAGTCACTCCTTGATGGTTTGGGTATGCCTGCCTCAAATTCCTTCTAATTTGTTTGTTCTAATCCTCTGTTAAGTAAGGAAGCAAATCAAGCTTATTAGAACTCCTTGTAAACCAAGAGCAAATAAGTTCCAAGTAAAGGCCCCAATGAGTAAAGGAGTGAACATTAGTGCATGGTCTTTGTGATATCTATCTCTTTGTGACATCTATCTTGGTTAATAGAAGGCTATTACAACCTCCAGAATTTGTTCATTTCACACCAGTGCAATGAACCCACCTGTTAAGACAAAGCTTTGATAATAATTTTTTAAGAAGAAAGAAAGATAAAAGGAATAATGAATACTTAACAAGTGCTTACAAGATGCCAGGCAGTGTTCTAGACTTTGTATATACAAACTAGTTTGTACATACAGGCCCATGAGGAGATACTGCTTTATTCCCATTCTGCAGCTGTGGACTCAGAGGCAGAGACAGGACTGATGACATTGGGCTAGTGTGGAAAATCAGTGACTCTGGAGGAATGACAGAGTCACATTTGCTGGTATAGGCATGGATCCTGCAGGAACCCCAATAATGTGTGTGTGTAGACATAGGAGAGTTTAGGAGGATGAGGAGGGCAGGGCACACGCAGGAAATTGGCATGACAAGAGCCCCTCTTTGTTGTGGTCACAGGGTGAGAGGAGATGTGGATGTCCCTTAACCAAGTACCTTAGTGGCTTATAGGTCCCTAATGCAGCCACTTTGACTCTGGGACAGAAGACACACCAGGGAGATGGAAGCTGGTAGAGCTGGCTGAGCTCTGGGGTGGCTGATGACTCCTCACCCTGGTCAGCATCACCTTGAGAACAGAAATGACAGGGGAGAGGCCTGGGCCAGTGGTCATGGCCCATGGGGGACTGACCTGTCTGCTGACCGGCCACATCTGCTTGCCAGGTTCTTGCAGTAACTATCTGTAACCTCCAGATTAGTGGAGGGTGATGCAGCCCCTCTCCACTACCTCCTTACCAGGAGGTAAGACACAATTTAAGCAGGTCTTGGATGAAATTTATTAGCAAGCCTGCACAGTCATGTGAGCAGTTTTTGTAGCTCAGGGAAGTCCCCATCTTGGCCCTCTGACACCTCAGCCCACACCCAACATCTGAGGAGGCTGCAATATTCCAGGATTATAGGGGACTCAGGCACCAGAGGTCTTCCCTGAAGCAGGGTCCTTGAGACCCTCAGGCAGTTGGCCTAGAGCACAGTACTGAACCCAGGGAATGGGGTTGCTGATTCTTGTATCTCCTTCATGCAGGGAGTGTGGCCTAGACAATCGTTCTAACCAATCACTGATCTTGAACATCACTCGTCACACCAATGAAAATTCATTTCTCACATACCTTATGCTAATTTACAAACCCTCTGGTATAGATTTCAAGCATACTTAGAATGCTGAATAACTACCTCTGGAATGTTGATTCCTGATTAGGATATTTCAAATGCTAAGCGCTTACCCCTTGTGGACTGGAGTTCAGTTATGCCCACATCCCTGCTGCACTTTTTAATGTGGAAATATTTTAAAGTAAAGTATCACACAGTCACCATCTGAGCTAGGCTCAGGGGGCAGGGCTGGTCATTCTGATAGACAAAGATAGCCAGGGAGGATGTTCCAAGTAAGGAACCCCAAAAGCAAAGGCTTAGAAGCAGCAAAGCCCAAATGGGTTCAGGGAAAGGTAAATTCTACTGGATCAGTTTCATAGGCTATTGAATAGACCTTGTTGTGAGGAGGCGAAGGGGAAGCAGAGGTGGAGGGCATTATAGTTAAATAAGTTAAACAGTTGTCTTTATACAGGGTTTATTGGGACCTACGATGTACTTGCTAATATGCATGGTGACTCTCTGGGAAGATCTGCGGCATTTCTCAAATTACATTGTCTATGGAATCATATTTCTATAGAATACCTTTAGGAACTATATTCTGAGAAATATAATTTAAGAAACACACTATAAAAATGTGTGAGATAAAGCTGGATCATACCAGCTAGGAAATACTGAGCTGTTGACTGGAGAGAAAAAAGAAATTTACTTACTGGCCTAAGGTTTGCAATATCAAAATAATGGGTCCTTTCCATAGGATGGAGGGAACACAAGCATGAAGTGTCCACTAGAGATGAGAAAAGAAAGCTATTCTCATAAAGCCCTTGCAATGAGCTGCCACGGAAGGCAAGAGGTATGACAAAGGAAGAAGACTAAGAGTACAGAATGTGCCCAGTGACCCACAGCAAGAAAAAGATAGGAAATGGTGAGAAATTCCAGGGCTTGAAAGCCTATGGACATCACACACAGAGTCTCAATAGGAAGCAAAATAGTCATAAATTGATACTATACTGCAGCAAACAGGATCTCCAAGAAAGAGCCAGGTGAAGCTTGCAGTACTGGAGAGGTGCATCCTATTCAAAAGACCCAGGTGGAGCTGACCATGCATCTGGGAAGACACAGCTCAGTGGACAACCACCTGCAGGAGGACACCCAAAAGAGAAAGAGGAAGAGAAGTGGTGCAGCCGTGGAAGGAGGGGTGGAAGGAATTGAGACAAAATAACTCTGGGTAGAGAAAGTTGCATGTGTTTCAGAGGAGGCTACAATCTATACTGTTTCATGGTTTCCAGAAGCCAGGCAATTTTCACACTAGGACAAAACAGATCAATCAACGGCACCCTAACTTTTTTTTTTTTTTTTTTTTTTTTTTGACATAGAGTCTTGCTCTCTCACCCAGGCTGGAGTGCAGTGGCACAATCTTGGCTCACTGCAACCTCCACCTCCCAGGCTCCAGCGATCTTCCCACCTCAGCTTTCCATGTAACTGAGACCACAGGCACGCGCCACCATGCCCAGCTAATTTTTGTATTTTTAAAAATAGGAACAGGGTCTCACACTATGTCTCTCTCTCTGTCTTCTTCTTCTTCTTCTTTTTTTTTTTTTTTTTACAGAGATAGGGTCTTACTATGTTCAAAACCTGAATGGTTGCAAATCCCTGGGCTCAAGTGATCTGCCCACCTCGGCCTTCCAAAGTGCTGGGATTACAGGAGTGAGCCATTGTGCCCACCACTTTTTTATCTTCAAATCGTGAACAATACTAAAGTTTAAAATAACATTTAATGTGCAAGTTTATGAACAAGGAATGAACAGGAATAAAAACCACATATTTTTAAAAAATTTCTATCTAGGATGAAATTCCTTTCCCAATCAAAGTGAACTAGTGATTTTTTTTTTTCACTTTTTAAAAAGCATCCTCTTCTTTCTAAGAGGTTCTTTGACACTAAAATCAATCAAATAAAGACACTTATTGATAAATGTATATCACCAAGGAAGTCTTTGACTGCAAGTAACAGGAAACTGAACTTAAAACAGAAAGTACATTTATTACAGTTTCACAAATGGGAAGCCTCAGCTTAGCACAGGTCCGTGGTTCTCCTGACATTCTCCTGGTTTTGTGCCCTGACTGGAGGTGGGCAGCTCTAGTGGCTCTGATGGTCATGGCTATGCATGAGTGTCTATAGGTAGAGAAGCCACCTCACCACTCCCGTCATTTTGTCTTAAGATGAAGAAAAATTTCTCAGAAGCCCCCAGCAAGCTCCTTACATGGGCTGTTTGGGGCCATGTGCCCCTTCTGAGGCTAATCATGAATGAGGAGGAGGAATGCCTTCAACCAATCAGACCTGCCCCTGGAGCTATGTGTCGGTTAGTTTCCCCTGAGATGCCTGGTTAGGGAGAGGGGAGAGGTTCCTGAATAAATTGGGATTCTGTGGGATAGAAGGAAAGGCACACATCAATGTTGGATAAACAACCAACAACTCTACAAATGCCACAGGCTAGTCACTGGGAGACAAAGCTGGAAGTCGCCGACTGTTCTCTCCAAATATTCAGTGTGGTTGGGGTGAAGCATAGATGCATATACATACGGGGAAATGATTAGAATACACAAACTATATCAAATACAGTGGCTTCTACTCGGCAGAATTGAAGGCATCTGAAACTAAACCCTGTTCTACTAGAAACCAAGTCATAAGGAGACTGGGGTTTTTTGAGAATGCAGATATTACCTAATTATATGTAATAATTGGCTTTGCACCCCTTAGAGTAAGATGTTCCATTTAGAGGTTGTAATATAACATATAGATTAAAATCCAAGCTATTTTCACAAACACATTTCTCTATAAATGACTTAGATACTCCTCAGGAAAGCAGAAAACACAAAGTAAAACATTTGTGGAAAGTTACTCAGGCTGAGGCTCCACAGATAACCTGTTTTAAATACATTTATAGTATCTAATTATTATGTGTCTATTAAAAATAATAAAAGCAGGCCAGGCACAGTGGTTCACACTTGTAAACCCAGCACTTTGGGAAGCTGAGGGAGGTGGACCGCTTGAGCCCAGGAGTTCAAGACCAGCCTGGGCAACATGGCAAAACCCCGCCTCTACTAAAAATACAAAAAATTAGCCGGGTGTGGTGGCACATGCCTTTACTCCCAGCTATTAGGAGGCTGAGGCACGAGAATTGCTTGAACCCAAAAGGCAAAGGTTGCAGTGAGCCGAGATTGTACCCCTGTACTCCAACCTGGGCGACAGCGGGACTCCGTCTCAAAATAATAATAATAATAAAAGTAAAAAATGAAATATGTTCATAGACATAGATTTCATGGATTAAGCATATATTGTCACTTTTAGCTATATAAATCTTAGCTTAGAAGTGAGGTAAAAAGACTGATAGGGTTTTTAAAAATCTGTTCTATTTACAGATTAGAGAAGTAAGAGTTAGTGAGAGCCTGTTATAATTTCTAATTAGGATTAATTAGCTATTGTTCTCAAGGTACACAGTGAGAATGACCTGTAGTGTGAAGTTCAGTGGTGCTGTATGGAGAGGCTAAATATTAATTCTGTTCAAATCATATTAATCTAAATAACACATGCAGATACACCCTGCTGCAGGAGGTAAAACTTAAGGTGTGCTAGACTTAGTGACTCTCTTCCAAAGAACAGAGTATGGAAAGAGAAAAATAATAACTTCAGAGGGGAGAAACCTAGCAAACACTACACCTTAACCAAGTGATCAAGGTTAACATCACCAATCATGGGGATATCATGTATCCCCTGATATGACATGACAAGAGGGTCATTTCACCTCTGTGTTGTTTCTTCCCCCAAAAACCCACTAACCCCAATATAATTATGATAAAAATAATCAGACAAACCTAGCTTCAGGGACATCTGACTAGTACTCCTCAAGACTGCCAAAGTCATGAAAAAACAAGGGAAGACCAAGAAACTCAGAGCGGAGGAGACATGACAACTAAGTGCAATGCTAAACTCTGGACTGAATCCTGGAACAGAAAGCGGTCATTAATGAAACAGTTAGTGAAATCCAAATAAAATGTGAAGTTTAGTTGTAAAGAAGGGACAGCCTAAGGCATGAATTATGAAGATAAAGGCATATGGACATGTTTTAAACCAAAGCTATCCATAAACTGAGAACAGAGAATCATAGTATACTTATGATTCCTTCAAAAGACACAGTCATTTTGTTTTTTGTTTTTTCTTAGAAGTTCTTGAGATGATTTTTTTTCCTAGCCAGGCCATTGCTTATTGTAGAGAGAAAACTCCAGAATTAATTATTTAATGTGTGAAAAGGCAGGGACAAGACAGATCAAGGTAAACTGGTAAGAAGACCAGTAGTGTTGGTTAGTGAATGAAGCGGGAGGACTGTTTGTCTGGGATTCTTCTCCTGTTGTAAGTGATGTGATCGAGTTAGAAATTCCTGGAGGACAGCCGCTATTTCTTGCTTATTTTTATTACCTTCACAGTGCTTGGCATGCAGTAGGTATCTAATATTAAACCCAGCTGACTCCATTCAGAAGATCAAGTTTTAAGGTCTAACATATCTTGGAGGTTTTAGCTGGGAAGAAAGGGGTGTTGTGGTAGTGGTTGGAGGGGCCGTGAAGGCCCAGGAAGCTTTTAAAACCCAAAAGGATGAATGTGTGAGAGTGAATTTTTAAACACAGAGGGACTAAAAAAGTTGTTTCATTGTCCCAAATCTCACTACTTGTTTTTCCCCCCAGCTCAGCTTCTTCAAAGAGATAGAGATGCTTTAATATGTGATCCTTCCTAATGCTGTGCCACTTTTATATATTTTCAGAGCTCTAACTACTTAATACCTCATTTAACTTTCTCCATCATCTTGCAATAGAGAGATGGCATTAATCTCAATTTTCAAATGAGGATTTTGCAGCCCAAAGAAGTGTCTATACACAGCTGAACTATGCTGGAGCCCCAGAGATAATCTAGGTATGGTTTCTCAAACAAGCACATATATTAGGCATTTCCCCCATATCTAACACTATGCTATGTCCTGGGGGTGCCTCCTGGTCCAACATGATCAATGTCTTCTTTCTGTCCCACTTACAGCAACTCAAGGGTAGCCACCAAAGCCAATTTGACACAAGCCACTAAGAAAGTAGATCACTGTAAAGGTCTAAATAAGATTTATAAATCATCACCTGGAACTTTCTAGTTAATTACATGCTCATGGCAGCTTTCTTTGGGATGTAAAACCAGAAACCTATGTTTTGATCTAGCAAGACTCCCTGGGGCCACTAGTGTAGAAACAAGATGAGCAGGACAGAGTCATGATTTCAGAGACAGGTGAGCATCATTCAGGACTGGCCGCTGGGAGTGGAAACTAGCTTTTAGTGTTTCCAGTTGGTAATATCTCTGGATCTGTCTCTGCAACAAGCTGTCTCCAGACTATGCCACCCAATTCCAAGAGACCTTTCCTGTGGGTTTGTGACATGTACAAAGTGCTTAGTAAAGGTTAGTAAAGAAAAATCCCAATCTGGTCCAGAAGGCTTCTTTTCTCTAGGGATCAACATATACTTTTCATTGGGTTGAATGGGAATTGACTGAAGGGGGACATGACAAAACTTTTAGGGATAACAGAAACATTCTATATCTTAACTGGGGTAATGGTTATATGGGTAAATGCAATTGTCATAACACTTAAGATCCGATGCCAAAATCTGTGCTTTTAAATTGAACACTTAAGATCTGTGCAAATTCTACCTACAGGTTAAAAAATAATGACACCTGACATTGAACATGCTAAGATTTACTTGAAACAGTAATGAGTGCAGTAGAGCTGTTTACTCCCATGATTTCAACTTTCGACTTCCATTAACGTGGGCTGAGACTGTGTGAAGTTTTGTTTGGTTTTGATCTTGTGTTTAACAGCCTCATCACACTCTTGTCATTTACAGAATCTATGGCTAATGATAATTGCCAAGTTTCTCTTCCTTTTGGA
This sequence comes from Homo sapiens, assembly GCF_000001405.40. Lineage (NCBI taxonomy): Eukaryota > Metazoa > Chordata > Mammalia > Primates > Hominidae > Homo > Homo sapiens. The sequence goes on along the minus strand of NC_000018.10, from coordinate 50,596,727 downwards.
CATGAATTGCTACCAAGCAGTGCTTCCCTTATCTGACATTATACCACTGATGTTGATTTTGGTGGATACATAGAATAGCATCATGCACCTTATGGCCAATGGATGCTATTTAAGGAATTCTTTGCACTTAGGTGCATCAAGAGAGACTGCAGAGAGGACTGTGCTGGACCTGTAATGAGGTCTGGAGCTCATCAGGGCCACTCTTCTAATGAACCCAGTGTTGTTCCTTCATAAACAGGTTCTCCCACAAGAGAATTCTCATGAAGGATTCATAAAATGCTCTGGGTATGATGTTCCTTAGGGGAGTGACCTAGGCTCATGCTATTGTAAGAGGATTAACCAGAGACAGATCAAATCCCAGGTCAATTACAGTCAACACATCAAACAGAAGAAGCAAACCAGGGGCCAGGCATAACATAGCACAGGCGGAAGAAGCACAGATTTTGGCATCAGAGCTGCCAGGACTCAAACTCCAGCTCTACCCGCACCCCTTACTGGCCATATAACCTTGGACAAGTCATTTAACCTCACTGTACCTCAAGTCAGCCCATGGAGAAAATGCGGATGACAATAGCACCTATCCATGGAGTTGTGAGAATTGAATGGGTGAACATGTGTGAAGCCCTAGAAAAGCTCCCAGCGCTGAGTACTATTTAATGGGAATCTGTTCTTATTATTTACAGCATTACTCCTTTCAGAAATCCCACCTTTGTTTATCTGAGTTCTATTCATTCCTTCAAGGCCTGCATATAGACACCCACTGAGACAAACGAAGCAGGTATTTCATAAAGGAGCCCTGCTTGGCAGTAATTCACGTCTAAAAAGAAGAGAAACTTGGCAGTTACCATTAGCCACAAATACAATAAATGGAAAGCGTGTGATGAAGCTGCCAAAAAAGAAAAACACAGCTAACGTAATTTCAGTCTACATTAATAGAAGCAGAAAGTTCAAATCATGAGAATAAAAAACTACTGTAGTCACTGTTCATAATAAGTCATAATATCTTCTATTTCACATGTTACCATTTATCTCTTAACATGTAGGTAGAATTTTCCCAGATCTTAAGTGTTCAATTTAATGAGTCTTGAAGACTGTGTCTACCCATATGACCATCACCACAATCAAGATATAGAATGTGTCTGTTACCCCAGAAAGCTTCCTCATGCCCTCTTCCAGTCAATTCCCACCCACCCTCGCCAAAGGCAATGACGGTTCTGATTTCTACCACTCTGTATTAGTTTCGTTTGTTCTTGAACTTCTTGTAAATAGAATCATTTGGAAGGTATGTTTTTTTCCTGGATTTTTCATTCACTATTATGTTTTGGAGATTATTTTGCATATCTTGGGTTTTTAATCCTTTGTATTGCTGAGTATTATTCCATTTTTCAAAATCATACCACAGTTTGTTTATCCATTCTGCTTTCACGGAACTTTGGGTTGATTTCAACTTGGGATTATTATGAATAAGCTGCTATAAACATTCTCATATGAGTCATTTTATGGACACGTTTGCATTTCTCTTGTGTAACTAAGAGTAAATTGGTTGGGTCATAGGGTATGTATGTTTAACCTTATAAGAATTGCCAAACAGTTCTCTAAGATAATTGTATCACTTTATACTCCCACCAGTACTCTAGAAGTGTTCCAGTCATTCCATATCCTTGCCAACATCCGGCGTTGCCAGTCTTTCTGATTTTAGCTATTCTAGTGGCTGTGAATAGTATCCCATTGTGGTTTTCATTTATATTTCCCTTATGACAAATGATGTTAAATCCTTGACTGGCCAATTGTAGATCAAATGTCTTTTCAAGTCTTTTGCCATGTTTTTCACTGAGTGGTTCATCTTTTATTATTGATTAGTAGGAGTTCTTCAAATATTTCATTTTAAGGCCTGATTTTTATGTATTACAAATATTTCCTGCTAGCCTATGGATTGCCTATTAATTTTCTTAATAACAGCTCTTCATGAAGAGACATATTTGGTTTTGATAAATTCTAATTTATCTTATTTTCTTTTATGATTTGTACTTTTTGTACCCTAATCTCTAATCAAAAATCTTAAAAATATTCTGCTTTGTTTTCTTCAAGCTTTTTGTTTTACTTTTACATGAAGCTTATGAACTATCTCAAATTAGTTTTGATGTGTACAGAGCTAGGTAGGATCAAGGATTGTTTTATTTACAGATTAATATCCATTTTTTTCTAGCACCACCTGATAAAGGCCTTTCCTGTCGAATCAACTGTGTCTGTCAAAAATCAATTGACTGTAAATGTATGGGTGTGTTTCTAGACCCTCTTTTCTGTTTCATTGATCTATTTGTCTATCTTTATACTATCTTTATTACTGCAGCTGTGATGGTTAATATTAGGTGTCAACTTGATTGAACGATGCCTAGAGTTGGTAAAGTATTGTTTCTTGGTGTGTCTGTGAGGGTGTTGCCAGAGGAGACTGACATTTGAGTCAGTGCACTGGGAGAGGAAGACCCACCCTCAGTGTGGGTGGGCACCATGCAATTGGCTGCCAGCGCGGCTAGAATAAAGCAGGCGGAAGAAGATGGGATAAGCTGCCTTGCTGAGTCTTCCGGCTTTCATATTTCTCCCATGCTGGATGCCTCCTTCCATTCCTCCTGCCTTGGACATCAGACTCCAGGCTCTTCAGCCTTTGGACTTTTGGAGTTACACCAGTGGTTTGCCAGGGTCTCTTGGGCCTTTGGCCACAGACTGAAGGCTGCACTATCAGCTTCCCTGCTTTTGAATGGACTCAGACTGAGCCACTACTGGCTTCTTTCTTCCACACCTTGCAGACAGTTTGTCGCGGGACTTCGCCTTGTGATTGTGTGAGCCAATTCTCCCTAATAAACTCCCTTTCATATATATATATATCCTATTAATTCTGTCCCTCTGGAGAACCCTGACTCAGGTAGTGTGAGTCCTCTAACATTTTTCTTTTGCAATATTGTTTTGCTATTTTGGATCTTGTGCATGTTCATACAAATTTTAGAATCAGCTTGTCAATTTCTTCAAATTAGCCTTCCAGGGTTTTCACTGGGACTGCATCAATCTATAGGTCCTTTTAGGGGAGTGGATTTAGTTGTCATTGCTTATAACAACAACAGTAATAATTCCCCTTTATGGAGCTCACACTACAAGTCCTGCCCTTTGCTTATTCTTCACAATGAGCCAGGGAGTTTAGGATTCGTTCCACTTCACAAATAGAGGACTCTCTGCTCAGAAAGACTGCGGGTTATCTGCTGAAGCATATACAGCTAGGAAGTAGGGAAGCTGGGACTCCAGCCCAGGTAGGGCTGACTGTAAATCTCAGGTGTTTTTCACAGCCAGAGGAAGCACCTGGAGGATGGAAATCATGCCACATGAGAAACTGTTGGGAGAACTAAGGATTGCCAGCCTGCAGATGGAAAGACGATGGGAAGACACAATGATGTGTCTGACAATAATGGATGAATCATGACATGAAAAACTCTAGGGTAGAAATTGCAAGGGGCCAATTTTGATGACGCAAAATAAGAAAGGAAAAAAATCTTAATTACTAGAGATGTCTTATCAGAGAGACAACAAAGCTGGTAATTAAGTGCACAGTTTGGAGGCTGGTTGCCTGTGTTCCAGTCCCATCTCTGTCGCTTACTAGCTGTGTGGCCTCAGGCAAGTCACTTAACCTCTCCATGTCTCAATTTTTTCATCTGTAAAATAGGGATAAAATTAGTGTGGGACGAATGACTTAGTGATTGTAAAGGACTCACACCAGTGCCCACTACACAATAGGTGCTATATTATGGTTAACAGGTAAAGAGTTTAGAATTCAAATGGACAATGCTGCGAGATGCTAAGTTTTAACTCTCTGAGTGTTCCAAAATTGTCTGAATTGTCCTCTATTTGGGTACCTACCTGCATTAGATGAAAAGTTGGACTACACAGCCCCTAAGGTTCCTTTTTTCAATGCTAAGATCCAATGATTCTAAGTCAACTTCTTTAAAAGTCATGAACAAAAAGCAACAGACATGACAGCCTTCTCCCCTCCATCAGTCAATACATTTTTACTTTGATCAATCAATAAATTTTCCCATATTGCTTGGCAACACAAGCCTCTAATTCGGGTAAGGAAATCTACATCAGTCTGTGCCTTCAGTCACACAAGGTTGATAGAAAATAAGCCAGAAAGAAAGAAGACAGACACCAAGCGGGGGGGGTTGTAATTAATTGGTTCACGTGAGTTGGCTGCTTCTGCTGGGCTGAGGGCCTAGTGTCTTTGATTCTCTTATTGAGATCTATCAAAGATCCTAGCGAGGGGGAATGGCTTTGTTCTAACAGAGAGAAAGTGAGTATTTTTGTGTCCTCAATTCCACATCAGTGACTGTTTCTCCTCGAGCCCTGTTCTTTATAGATTTTTATTTGTCAAAAACTCCTTGCCCCTCAAGTACCCACTGCTTCAAATAAGGAACCAACACAGTTTCCCAATAGAAGGAGGTTTGGCATGTCCTTGAACCCTCTTCTGGCTGTTTCTTTATCTTCTTTAACCTCCGTGAGCCTCTAGAGTTCCCAATCTCATTTCTTACTCATGACAGGCAAGGTCTACAAGCTTTCAAAACACTTTCATTCCTAAGTCCTTTCCCAGTCTCTAATTGCCTTCTGCCAGCTTGGCTCCATTCAAAAATGAGCTCCTTAATTAACTTCCCAGGACTTTTTGGTCTTTCTGGCCATTAAAATAGTCAATACCATGTACAAAGCTGCTTCATTTTTAACCACTGCAGCAGTCAGAGACCATACTAGTCCCCCTTCATAGAGGAGTCAGCTCAGTACTTCATGAGGTGCTTATGATGAACCCGGCGGGCCCTAGAATCAAATTTCATAGCATGGTAGAGAAGCCCCTTGAAATCAGGAAAGAGGACCCTTTGGCAGACCAGATAGCAGAAGTACATGGCCTTTAGCCATGTTCTTGCATTTACTAAATATGTGACCTTGAGCAATTCACTTAATCTTCCTGAGCCTCTTTCCTCCTCTGTTAGGCAAAGAATGGTGATAGCAAGACCTCTACTGCTTACCTGTGCCTTACACTCCCAATGCTTCAAGCAGATGCCACAAACAGACACTGCAAAGAAAACATTTTGTAAACCATAAATGCACTAAACAAATATAAGGCTTGTTTCATGAGGCTGCCCCTCGGCCACACTAGATGAATAAACTGGCAACAATGCATGTTTTAGAGTAAGCCAATTCTGCACCATCACCTCGGTCAGCATGCTAATTCTTCATCAGTTTTACTGGTGCTAAAAAAAAGTCTTAAGTCAACATAGATACTTCAAGATACAGCTGTTGGGAACATCTACAAGAGGCAGGATTGATGGAAGAATGTAGAATGAAAAGGTGGGAGGCCCAGGTCCCAGTTTCAGTGATATTCTCTAATTAGTTGTGGATCTTAAGCCTATTCCTAAACTTCTGTTACATCTCTGGTCCCTGAGACTGTCCCACTTAATAGGGTTGCTGTGAGAGAAAATAAACATGTACAAGAAGAAATAATTTACTAAGTTAGAGACAATATTAGTGATGATGATTTTACTGATTTATGCAGAAGAACCAGAGACCCCTTTCCTCATTTGCTCAACTGAATCCAAAGCCTGCAGAAGTCAGGCCAATTATTGTGCCAATATGAATTTGAATAAGCATTATCACGTTTAAAAAGAAGACCTTCATTGAGGAAAATGTCCTGATTTCAACTTCTACTGTCAAGAATAGGTTCCTTAAATGGACAAAATGCACAGCTTGTGTGGCTATTTCCCAGCAGATATTATTGACTTGTCAAGGAAGAGAACTAACCTTTCCTAAATGCCTATGATATGCTGAGCTCTGTGCTTTGGGAGACTGTATGATTTACCAGCCAAGCGGAACACTTATGAGAGTGAAAAGGGACATAGTAATTATGTAAGGACGACAAGCTGCACTGAGACTGTCCCTGGCGAAGCAGAATGCATTGTCCCTCTGTCTCTGCACAGCTCATATTAGGGCTTTGATGAACTCCAAGGGCAACAGAATTGCTAATGCACACTCAAATTTTTGCATATATATAACATTATTATTCCATTCCAGTGATATATCTGTGTTTACCTTTCAGCTCTAATTTTAGCACAGCAGTAAAGCTCATTAATTGCTATTGAGAAAGGTTCCTCATTAACTTGTATAAGGTGTGGTGAGCTGGACTGACAGGTCCACCTTCTGATCAGCTCTGATCCAAGTGCTTCCAGTCATGGAAGTGCCTCAGCAGCTGAGCTCCTGCTGGACTTATCTCTCTCCTACATGATGCTCAGGTCCAGGAGTGAATGAGCTCAAATCCTCCTCCAAGGAGAAAGTCACTATCGGGGTTGGGTAAAAACATATTTCCTAGGTAGTCCCTCAGTTGGCTAGAAATAGTATGTTTTTACACCGTTAACTGAAATTCAATTAAAAAATATGTGTATCTCTGCATCTTACCTTCATGACCAAGGCCATTATTAAGCTACTGACAGAGGCTTTATTCCCAAGAACTGCTCCTTCCTCATCACAGCTAGTCAGCCTGCCCTGGGCATCAAGATAGGCCTATTATAGGCTGAAAAATGTGGAAGACAGGGAGAAACACTGAAATAGAGGAACTGGATCTGGATTTGCCATTTCTCAATCAAGTTCTTAACATCCTGGACTTCAGTTTCCTTCTTTTTGCAGGGAAGCAATCTTATGCAGTGTTATCTTATGGAGTTGCCATGAAAATTAACTATAATGATGCATCTGAAAGTTCTCTGGAAACAACAAAGAGCTACATAAATATATTGGCAATGCAAATTTGCAGGTGAGAGGACTAACTAAACGCACAGGACAATGGAAGCTCCAGCTGTGAATTTTCTGTTAATTACAATTTGAACTCTTGTACCCAATTCTCTCAGCGCAATTAAGAGCTAACAAAAGCATGCTCAGGAAGTGAGAATGTGGTTGGATGGACTGAAACTGAAAGAGAACCATTTCTAGCCACAGCCAATTGGTGAAGTGCCTCTTTGACCAGATTATTTAGATTTAAACGATAATTTGCCTTCAAAATGTTCTAGATACACCACGGTCATGCATTTAGAGTTAATTTTTTTTTTTTTTTTTTGAGACGGAGTCTCGCTCTGTCGCCCAGGCTGGAGTGCAGTGGCGCGATCTCGGCTCACTGCAAGCTCCGCCTCCCGGGTTCCCGCCATTCTCCTGCCTCAGCCTCCCGAGTAGCTGGGACTACAGGCGCCCGCCACCACGCTCGGCTAATTTTTTGTATTTTTAGTAGAGACGGGGTTTCACCGTGTTAGCCAGGATGGTCTCGATCTCCTGACCTCGTGATCCGCCCGCCTCGGCCTCCCAAAGTGCTGGGATTACAGGCGTTAGAGTTAATATTTTTTATACCATCTAATGGGCTAATTTTTTGGTCATTTCTCCAAGTTTTTTCTGTATCCATAAATGCCTGTATGAATTGAGTTTGGGTGAGATACACCAAATAATCTTTAGGACCAGGGCCATGATTATTGAAGCTATGGGCAGTCCCAGAAAGGAGCCCAAATGTGGACCTAGACTGTCAACAGCCAGGGACCCACGTACCAGAGCTGTTTCTCAACCATATTTTCACCTTGGATTGAACTTGCTATTCCTGAATTTTAAAAAATCCATCATGCATACTTGATGGGTTTAACAGGGTCTTCTTTTATCTGTGGATGCTACACGCTAGTAAAAAAGTCTGAGTTTCTCTTAGCAAGTGGACACACGAATGTTATTTTGGTAGACAGACTCCTAACATGGCTGCCAACAGTTCTTCCCATTACCGTATGTTCACATCTCCCCTCACATTAAGAGGTGGAGTCTAACAGCCAGGTGCAGTGGCTCACACCTATAATCCCAGCACTTTGGGAGGCTGAAGCAGGTGGATCTCCTGAGCCCAGGAGTTCAAGACCAGCCTGGGCAACATGGTGAAACCCCATCTTTACTAAAAATACAAAAAATTAGCTGGGCATGGTGGCTTGTGCCTGTATTCCCAGCTACTTGGAAGGCTGAGGTGAGAGAATCACCTGAGCCTGGAAAGTTGAGGCTGCAGTGAGCTGAGATAGCACCACTGGTCAGCCTGGACAACCGGAGTGGGACCCTTTCTCAAACAAACAAACAAACAAACAAAGATGGAGTCTATTTCACCTCCCTGTGAATCTGGGCTGGTCTTGTTAATTGCTTTGACCAATAGAAGGTGCTAGAAATGATGCTCATTCTGGGGCTTTTGAGCCCAGGGTCTTAAGAAAACTAGCAACATCTCCTTCTGCCCTGTGAAGCCAGTCTCTATGAAAGATGTCCAACTACCCAGAGACCACCATGCTGTGAGGAAGCCCAAGCTAGACACAGAGAGAGGTTACAAGGGGAAGCACAGAGCTGTGAGACATGACAGCAAAGCCTTCTCGGTCCTTCTGGCCCAGCCCAACCCAGTCAGCAGCTGACAGCAGCCAAATGAGCAACCCCATTTGATGCCACATGGAGCGGAAGAATCGCCCTTCCCAGCACTGCCCAAATTACAAAATTATGAGAAATAATAAATCATTGTTATTTTAAGGCACAAGTTTTGGGGTGGTTTGTTACATTAGCAATGCCTCTTCGTTCTACCACGACAAAAAAGACACTGAGAAATACTGGCATAAACAACATCATTGAGGCCAGGCATGGTAGCTCATGCCTGTAATCCCAGCACTTTGGGAGGCTGAGGTGGTTGGATCACGTGAGGTCAAGAGTTCAAGACCAGCCTGGCCAACATGGTGAAACCCTGTCTCTACTAAAAATATATAAAAATGAGCTGGGCGTGGTGGTGGGCGCCTGTAATCCCAGCTACTTGGGAAGCTAAGGCAGGAGAATCACTTGAACTCGGGAGGCAGAAGTTGCAATGAGCCGAGATCGCGCCACTGCACTACAGCCTGGGCAATGAAGCAAGACTCCATCTCAAAAAAGAAAGAAAGAAACAACATCATCGACCATCTAGACAGAGAATTCCAAACCCTGCTGTGAAGTAATTAGCTAAAATCTCTTATCCAGCAGCAGTCTTGGGAAGTTAGTCTTTAATGTGCTCCTACTGAAGCACCTACCACACCTTCATGGAGGGGCTGCCCCTACTGGGATGTCAGAAAAGGACTGGTGGTGGAGACCTAGGAGGCCTAGGCTCCAGCTCTGACTCTTGCCCTTTTGAGTCACCCCAAACTTTGGACAAGACATTTAACCCCTCCCTGTCTTACTCCATTTGGGCTGCACAACAAAAACTTTAGGAAGCTTATAAACAACATAAATTTATTTCTAACCGTTTTGGAGGCTGGGAGGTCTGAAATCAAGGCACTGGCAAATTCGGTGTCTGTGAGGGTTCCCTTCCTTGCAGATGGCATGTTCTAGCTGTGTCCTCTCACAGTGGAAGGCGCAAACAAGCTACCTTGGGCCTTTCTTATAAGGGCACGAATCCCATTCAAGACCTAATTATTAATATCTCCCAAAGGCCCCATGTCTTAATTCTATCACACTGGTGATTAGACTTCAACATACGAATTTGGAGGGGACACATTCAGACCACAGCAATCTCTTCTGCCTGATTCTCATTTATATGATAGAGATAATAACACCTACTCTACAGACTTCTTGTAGTAATCAAATAAGGTAGAGTATGTTAATGAGCTTTGAAAAATATGAAATTGTTTTTTACCAGCTGTCATTTCATAATTTTATTTTCTCAGATTGAAACCTTAAAAAAATTCATCCCTCTAAAAAACCCTGCAATTTGAAGGTGTCACCACAAGATGGCAATGGTATATAAATCAGAGCCCCCAAAATCCTAAAAGTAAAGATTAAATGAAAATTGAAGAATGTCTTTAATATTACCAAGCATATATGAAAGTATTTGCCTGGAGTGACTGTTTTCAGAACATTTTGAGGTCTTGCCCTGGATCAGTAGGAAAAAAGACCCTTTTTTATTTTCTACACAGGTAACAATAGAAAGAAAACAAATATATCCATAAAAAGGGCTAATGTACACTCGGAGCTTACCATGAGCTAAGCAGTTCTCCAAGTGTTTTATATGGATTATCTTATTTTCTCCTCATAAAAGTTATATCATTATTACTCCACATTTGCAGATGAGGACTCTGAGGCCTAAATACATTACGTTTTCTGCCCAACTCTATGTACCTAGTAAATAAATGCATGGCTGGAATTCACACCCAGGCTGGCTGACTCTACATCTAACAGTTTTCAGCACTTCAGCACCAAGAACTCAAATACTTTTAGATCTGTTATCCTCAAGCAGAAGAAGGTAATTTTCCACTTTAATTTTTTGGTGACCCTACCCCCTTATAATTTGCATTTTTATAGGATGTCTCTTTCAGAATACTTTGTTCAAAATCAGTGATACTGGTAATATTGAAGGTCTCTTAGCTAAGTTGAGCTAGCCAAATCACATAGCTTTGACAAACTAATGTCAATTAGAAAGTTGCTCAGAAATTGTGTTTTCTGACATAGAAAGTCATAAATTAAATTTTAAAAGCCTCTTTTGTGCAAACATTGTAAATAATTCAAGTTCCTTATGAATGGATATAAGATGTCCCTGTACAGAGCAGGTATCCTCACCTTGTTTTTCCACTGATGATAATGGGTCATTACTGAAATGGTCACACCCAGTAATATGGTTTGGCTATGTCCCCACCCAAATCTCATCTTGAATTGTAGCTCCCATAATCCCCATGTGTCATGGGACAGACCCACTGGGAGATAATTGAATCATGGGGGCAGTAACCCCCATGCTGTTCTTGTGACAGTGAGTGAGTTCTCACGAGATCTGATGAGGCTTTTCCCCCTTTGCTCAGCACTTCTCCTTCCTACCACCATGTGAAGAAGGACATGTTTGGTTTACCTTCTGCTATAAGTTTCCTGAGGCTTCCCAAGCCCTGTGGAACTGTAAGTCAATTAAACCTCTTTTCTTTATAAATTACCCAGTCTTGGACAGTTCTTTATAGCAGCATGAGAGCGGACTAATATATCTACTTACCAAGCCCCTTATTGATCAAGTATAGCCTTAGTGTAAGTAGACATTGATGCTAGAATAGTACCCCAGGGCACAGTCTGAATTAGAACATAGGCAAGGTCATACTCATACTTTTGCACATTATGGGGGACTTGCAGGTGCATGCAACTTTAACATTCTCTGTAGAAAAAACCAGACATGTTGATATATTACCTACCCCACTGTCAAACACGCAGCTAAAAGAGAGGACAGGGAAGAGGGAAAGAGAGAGGTAGAGGCCCCACCTGGCACCTAGCAGAGCACACATTGGAGGACAGGGAACATCCTCAGGGGTCAGCTTTGGATGAATGTGTATAGTAGCAAATTAGCGACATTCATATCAAAGATCATAGAAATGCAATTGATGAAAACTCTAAGCCAGTGGTTCACAGCCCAAACTGCACATTAGAACCACAGGGCTAGCTTTTTAAAATGCCAGTCCAGCTGGCCCGTGGACCACATCCATGACCAATTAAATCAGAACCTCTGGGGCTGACACCCAAGCATCTTTATTATTTTTAAAGCATCCTAAGTGATCCTGTAGATTGAGAACCTAAAAACACCAGGCAGAAACTTAGCGTAATTTAGCATTATAACACAATTTCTTTTTTACATAGGAAAATGACCTTTCCAACACAGAATCAAATGATGGACAAGAAACATTTATACAGGAACCAAACAAAGCCATTTCCTTCAGTTATGCAAGGCTGTGGGTATCATCAGCTCCTTGAATAGGAGAGTCCGGAGTTAACGCTACTGATATTTGTAGTTTGTAATCAATATTCACAGTTTATGTTGACTAGCATTTTGTGTGCAGGTCAGTCTCTTGGTTTCATGCTAGTCATTGTCATCCAATTCTTTTGTTATCCTTGTAAGCTCCTGAATTAAATGAACTCCTTCAGTGATTATTAAAGATAAATACAAGGAATAGATGACTCCAACTGACAAGTACAGTCAAGATTCTTCTGTCATAGGCGGTAGAGAGAACTAGTGCTTAACTAAGGCTTATTATTACCTGGGTTTGTAACATGTGCCACAAGGACAAACACTGCAAGGTGGCTAGCAAGAGTTGGGGACACAGTCTATAGCTAGGGAACAATACACAATTCATACATCATGCAGAGTTCAAATACTCTCTCATATTTTCACTATCTTCAATTTCAGGAGGCTGCACTGCTAAAGTTATAAAAAGAGGATCTGTTGTTTTTGTTTTTGGCTTTTTTTTTAAGAACATGAGACATGCCCTAGAGGCTTAGTTCCGCAGTTCATCCAGCCTCATGTTCGGTCACTGCCAGGGGTACACGAAGTGGATGGGAAATTAGGATTTGCACTCTCTGATTTGATTCCTCCACCATAACCCCAGAACATCCCATAGGTCTGTGTGATTCTTCTTTAATAGAGAAGAGACATAAAGGGCTTGGACAGACTCCCTGGCTGTAGCAAGCAGCAGCTAAGACATGCTGTAAAGTAGCAAACGGTATTTAGATGCTTAAGGACGATAAACACATTGGTTTTTATCCAGAAATCTCTCCCAGTTGAACTCCCAGCAAGCATCAGTCCTCAAGGAGCAAGAAGACTTCAGGCACTCTTCAGTGAAAGCATAGCAATTATGATGAACAGGATCTTACTCAATCCTCAATATGCCCTGAAGCATTTGTGCCTAAAGACAGACATTTATGCCCCCAATTCACTGCTGTGAAGAGGAAAGCTTAGGGTCAGAGGGACTTTGAGAAGTCCTCTAGTACAGTGTGTCTCTAGCTTTAAATGCATCAAGATCACCTGCAAGGTTTGTAAAACCCAGGTTGTTAGGGTCCAGCCCCAGAGATCCAGAAATTCTGATTCAGTGTGAAGAGAAGGGAGAATTGATAGCAACAGGAGACAAATTCCTAGGCAGACAGGAACGGGTCCCCAGTGAAACCCGACCTACAATCCAAAGACAGTTTAAAGCCTGAAAACTGAGCTGCCAGTTCCACATAGAGTCCATGACTAGTGATAACTTCTATCCCCATCTTACCCTCCCTCTCTATCAATTGGTTCCTTGTTTCCTGTTTTTTGTTTTTTGGAGACAGAGTCTTGCTCTGTTGCCCAGGCTGGAGTGCAGTGGCGCAATCTCAGCTCACTGCAACCTCCACCTCCTGGGCTCAAACAATTTTTATGCCTCAGCTTCCCAAGTAGCTGGGACTACAGGTGCACACCACCATGCCTGGCTAATTTTTTGCATTTTTAGTAGAGATGGGGTTTCATTATGTTGCCCAGGCTGGTCTCAAACTCCTGAGCTCAGGCAATCCACTCACCTTGGCCTCCCAAAGTGCTAGGATTACAGGCGTGAGCCACCGCACCTGGCTGATTGGTTCCTTCTGAATGATGCCTTTTAACCAATCGAATGGTGCTTTTTCCAAAGACCACCCATGGACCAATAAACACACATTCTCTCATTCTAGGCCCATAAAACCCCCAAACTCAGCCTCACAGACAGAACCTGCTTTCAGGGTCCCCTCTTTCAGTTGAGAGCTTTCCTTCTGTTGATCAATAAAATTCTTCTCTCCCTTACTCACTCCCTAGTGTCCATGCACCTCATTCCTCTTGGTCACAGGACATGAACCCAGAACTCAATGAGCTGTGGGCAGCAGGAACGAAAAGAGCTGTGACATGCTCTCACTCACCAGACTATGGTAGAAAGAGAGCTGTAATATGCCTCCACTCACTGAGCTACAAGAATAAAGAGCTGTGACTTTTCTTGCAGACTCAGACCTTGGGACTTTCTGAGCAAGAGCTGTAACACCCCTTGGGGCTCCATGATTGCTGGCATCTCTGAGTTTTGGGGCATCACTGCGTTCCCCTCATCTAGACACTGGTGCCCAACATGGAAGCTGCTCGTGTCATGCTCAATCCAGCTAGGAGCTGAGCACAGAACTGTAGCGGGCATGGGATCTGGGCCAGGGCACAAGCCAAGCACAGTCTGCCAGGCCAAGCAGGTGGAGTGAGCCCAGTGGGCTGGAGTGAGGCCCCAGGCAGAGGCAGCAGCAGCTGTAGAGATTTCTGGCTGGTGAAGCAGCACCAAAGGAATTCTATAACAGAATGAGCCTTGCTAAAAAACTTCTAGGTGCGGCTACTGATGCTGCTCTGCAGACTACAGTTTGAGAACCACTGGCCTAGTCTACCCACCTGCCCAGTGCAGGAATTCTTGGTGCAACAACCATAACATCTCTGTGATATGGTCCCAGGCTGAGCCATTCTAACATCAGGGAGCTCATTAATTCACAAGGTAGCCCTGCACTTTCTTAGGCCACTCTGTGTGACTAGGGTGGGGATAGGTGGTAGAGTCAGGATTTAGCTTTCTCAGTAAGGGCACCCGCACCTGAGCATCCTCGCTGTACCACAGAACAGGAGAGCTTGCCACTAGGAGCCACTGAGTGTCAGAGTCTGTAAGATCTTCATAATCAGCCAGCCCAGTGGTTCTCATCTGAGGAGATCCTGTAGCCAGACTTCATCCCAGACTGAGTGAATCAGAACTTCTAGAGTATTTTGTTTAAGTTCCCTGAGTTGCTCCAACAAGCAGCCAGGGTACAGACCCACTGAATGGGTCCCTCTCCACTTTACATATGAGAAATCTGAGGCCCAGTGGAAGGAAAGGGCTCTAACCCTCCAGCAGATAAGCCCACCTCTTTTTAAGCTGCCCTATTCTTCATAATTCTAGAAATAGCAGAAGTCTCATCAATAGATAATGCTTTCAAAAGGACAATGATAATTGTATGGTGCTTATTATTAAAAGTTTCATTTGCCTGTGAGCTCTGTGACAGTAAAAATTTACATGTAACTTTCCTAGGTCCCCAAACTCCTAGGACATGTCACGTATCCCAGTAACTGTTGTCAGACTAACTCTTGGATCTCAACCCTTCACCACATTCTACCCACAGGTGCATGGAGTTCCCCAGAGCAGCTCCCAAGCCACCCACATGGGAAAATAAGTTACTGGCAAAGGATGAACTCAACTCTTCTGCTCACCTGCTTTGTGTGATGGTTTAAAATATGTTCAAAAATTATTTGACACTCTCTTCACAAAGTTGAGCATAATTCCCCTTCATCTGAATGTGGGCTGGACTCAGTGGCTCACTTCTAATGAAGAGAAAGAAAAGGGCAATGACCATGCCATTTCAGAGTCCAGGTTGTAGAGGTACCGTAACTGCTCGGTTGCTCTCTTGGATCACGTGTGTGCCCTGGAGGGAGGCAGCTGCCGTGTGATAAGCCCCTATGGAAAGACCTGCAGAGAGGAACCAACGCCTCCAGCCACATGAGTGACCTTGGAAGCTGATCCTTCAGCCCAAGACAAGCTTCCAGATGTCTGTGGCCCTCACCAACACCATGACTGCAGCCTCATGAGAGTCCCTGAACTAGAACCACTCAGCTAAGCAGCTTCCAAATGCCTGACACAAAGGATCTGTAAGCAAATAAACCTTTGCCGTTTTAAGCTTCTGAATCATGGGGTGGTTTGCTACAGCCACAGATAGTGAATACATCTTGCTGCCTTGCTTTTTAAGCAAAAGCACTCGTGCATTTTAGGATGTTGAGAGTGCCCAGGATGAACATGCAAACTCCTCCTCCTTCAGTGCTCACAGAGTGAGGATGAATACAGGCATCAAGCTGTGCTACTGGGTAAGCAGAAGGTGGAAGGCCCCAGGAGCAGTATTGATGGACAATGGAAAGGCAGATGTGTTTGGGTTTCCAAGGGAAATTCAGGCATCTCAGTATATCATCCAGCTACTACCTGATGCCAGGCAGAGCAGGGAGCAAAGGAGGGGTATAAAAGAAGTTCTGTAATCGATTTAAGTTTCTGCCCTAAGATTTACTAGTATCGGAGGAGGCGAGACTCACACAATTGACATTATTAGAGAATATGGCAGTTTATATTCTAGTGCTGTTCCACGGAGCAGGGCCAACAGTAAACACCATGAAAGAGAGAAGGCAGAACACCCTTAAGTGACTCAAGGAACAGACGTCTAGGATGGTTCCCACTGTAGGGCAAGCTTCGCTCAGAAACAAACAGCAGATGGAAGCAGGAAAAAAGCAGCTTGGCCTTAGCCAGCCATAGGTTGATGGAAGTCCCCTTGGGCATTTGTACAAACATTTTTAGCAACCACCTAGTAAGAGCATGGGCATGTCATTAGCAAAAGGTGTGGGGCAGCCTTTGGGGAGGTATTCAGGCCATATGTCTTCCCCTGATCAGGGCAAACTTTGCCCTTGGTCACACCCATTACTTCCTGCTCTTACCTGCCCTTCTCACCCTTCTCACCTGAGGCAGCCGCTGGCTCCCAATCCTGCAGCCCATTCCCACATCTACTGTGTTGGTTTTGAGCAGCAAAGCCACCTCAACAAAGGTGACCTATTGCTTGATGCCCCTACTACTGAGAACAGACCGTTTGCCAACACTGGTCTTCAATCCCTTTGGTGTGACCCCTGCCTCCTCCTCCTCCAGCCTACTCAGGCTTCTGATGAAACCCCACAGACTGAAGGAGGAAGGGGGATGACAGGGGAGGTGGAGCCTGCTGAGATCCCTGCTAGGCTCCCTGGGTGCTGATGGGACCTGTTGGAATAGATTTCCTCAAGAGCTTCTTGGAGATGTATCAATTACTGTGTGATGAAGAGCCCTGTGAGAGGAAACCACAAATCAAATTTTCATCACCAAATTGAAGTGAGTAGTACCACAAGTAAAATCCATCACTGTTGCTTTCTTTTAAGATGGGCCAGGAATGGATGAGAACTCACTCCCCTTCTAACACCCTTTGCACTTGTCCCTAGCCAACAATTAGCCCACTGTCACCCTCTTCTCCATTTTCTTCATGCACACCTGGTGTGCAACTGTGATGGGCATGGAGTGGGTCTCACCTATTTTGGACAGCCCTACTGACTCCATAATGCCCAGCACTGGCACCATCCTGAGGGTACCTGGGAGACTTCCCTGGGTAAGCCCCCAAATTGAAGGGGAATAGGCCTGGGAGGTGGGGAAATGTAGCTGCCAGCAGGTGGCTGGGCTATGACTCAGGGCTTTTAATCTGCTCTCAAGGTAAAAGCGTGACTCCCAGCTAGTACCAAAAAAGAAAACAGAACAGGCAGAGAACAATTCCTCCCCAAACTCATCTAGACTAAGGAGGTGGGACTGTCCCACTCCACTTCCACACATACCTCTCAAGTGGTTGCATTTTTGTAACTCATCTGCTTCAAAGTTGCCCTTGACATTCATTTAAACTTCATTTTCCTTGAAAAACAATATTCATGTAGGGGGAAGCATAATAGTTGCTGCCTGGTGCCACTCCAAAAGCACACACAGTATTTAAAATCCTGAGCAGAGGCCAAGAGTGATGCAAGGACAAAATGATGCACAGGCCATGTACCCTGCGGCCTTATCACTTCCCATGGGGACTCCTGTGACAGTCTCTTGTGTCTCCTGCACGTGCATGTTCTCTCCAGTCCATTTTCCAACTTGCAGGCAATGAGCAGGCAAATCTGATCACCATCCTCTCCTGCTTACACCCCTCAAAGACTTTCCTTGCCTTCAGATCAGCCCCAGCTACTGTGCTCCAGTCTCTGCCTGCCTGTCCAGACTAAGCTGCCCCTCCTCATCCAATTCTTTACCCCAGTTATCATAAGCCATGTATGGTTCTCCATGCGAGGCTTACTCATGTTCTCTCTCACCTCTGCCCATGCTGCTCCAGGGATACTGCCCCACCTTCCCCTAGCAAACACCAGGTCATCTTCCAAGATTCCTCCCAGACATCACGTGCTCCTGGAAGCCTCCTCTGAGTCACACTCCCTCCTGCCCATGTTTGTCCCCTGAAAGCCCCAGGTGCTCCCTCTACAGAGCATTATGGGAGCAGTACTGTGGTGTCCTTTTAGCAGTCCATTACTCCCCCAAGACTAACCACTTCATGTAGTAACGGCTCTTCCTCTTCCTTATAGCAGCAAAGCTTGCACAATACCTAGCATGCATTAGGTGTTTCATAATTTTTTCAAAAAATCCATCTATCAATCTTATAGTTTGCTAATAGGTTCTTTTGATTCCTGATCTTGTAACCATTAGGTAGATTTGCAGCAATCATATAATTTCCTTTTCCTTGACCAAACAGGCACCATCTGCCATCACTATGTCCTTCCTCCTAGACCAGTGGTTCTCAAATGGTAGTCCCCAGACTAGCACCACCAGCATCACCTGGACAGGCATTAGAAACGCATATTCTTGGACCCTATCCTATACCTACTGAATTGGAAACTCTGAGGGTTGCCCCAGCAATCTGTAGTTTAACAAGTGTTCCAGGTGATTCAGATGCACACTCAGGTTTGAAAACCACTGTTGTGGAGCCTTCAAAGACCATTAGAAGCGGCTCAGATTCCATTCAATGAGCAGCTTCAATGAACTCTCTGGCCACTTCCCCTTTTCCAGGATAGCTGAGCGCTCGCAGTTTAAAACAGCTGCATTCACCTGGGGGCCAGATGCAGAAATACAGCCCCTCCCCTTACGCCTTGGACTAAACAGGAATTGCCTAGGGAACAAAGGAAACCAGGCAACACATGCAGTCTGTGCTCCAGGGAGCTCTCTGTTGAACCCTGGGCAGTCGGTAGGCTCTCAGTCAACACTTGCTGAACTACACAGAGTTCACCTAAGGCTAAATCTATGGCTGGAGTACCTTAATGTTACAGAAACCAGTTTCTGGTTATTTTTCTCCAAATAACAATGTTAGATACATCAGGAGTATGACAGGCAGATGTGCCACTCCTATCACTGCAGATACAAGGAACAGGGCAATTAGGAAGATCTTGGCTGTCAGTTTCAGCTCAAAGTTCTACTGGTAGCCACAATGAAGGCTGTGGTCGTGAGCTGAATTTATTAGGTTTTGCTGCCTACCCTTCATCCAAATCACAGCATAACATATTCAGGCCTACGGAAATGTCCAAAGAACCAGAAATGCCCAAAGTTTTAGCACTAACATTTTTATAAACGCTTCTATTGTTTCATGTGTTCCCATTTTTATTGAGCACAGGGTAACCCTGGTGCACAAGGTAACCCTGCACAAGGTAATCCTGGTGATTTTGCTGGTTAACACAGGGGATTGCAATCTTGGCTGTATATTTGAATCACCTAAGCAGCTTCACAAAAAATCTGATTCCCAGACTAGACTCCAAACCAATTAAACCCTAGTCTCTGGAGTGAGACCCAGACATCGGTATTTTAAAAACGCCCCAGATGATTCTAACATGCACCTAATTTGGGGTTTTAAATAAAACTGATGTCTGGACCCCACGCCATATAAATCAGAATCTCTAGGGCTGAAGCCTGGGCACAAATGTGTAACACATGCCCTCATACACACATGCATACGGTGTGTAGGGAGTGTATGCAAACAGGCACACACACTCTCCAGGTGATTCTAACGCAGCCAAAGCTGAGAATGACAACACATACCATTGGTTCCCAAACTTGTTTGCACTTGAGAATCATCTTTTTAAAATTCCAAACCTCATGCTAGACCCCAGAACAATCAGATCACAAGCTCTAGGGCAGTGGGATGGGCACAGACATCAATATTTTATAGGGTCCCCAGGTGATTCCAATGTGCAAACAAGTTTGGAAAGCATGGCGCAGGCTCCAAGCTCCAAGCTCCAAGCTCCAGGAGAGCAGGGTCTGTCTTATAATTTTTACTGTAACTCTCCTACAGCACCTACCCGAAATATTTGTTAAACTGAATTGAATTTGTAGAGACCTCCATTCTCATGAGGTCCTTTCCAACTATGCCTACTTGCATTGGTGCCACCTAGGACCCTATGAATCCAGAGCAGGGCTTGGCATAAAAGGAATATGCTTCATACAAACTGCATTATACTGCTTCATTAATAAATACTGTCCTAGGGACTTCCACAGACCTGACACTTTGTTATTTCATTATGTGATTTAATTAAAAATGGAATCTATTAAGCCTTTTTCACATTAGATGTTGGTAGAAATTTTTATTTTTTTAACTTTTATTTTAGGTTCAGGGCACATATGCAGGTTTGTTATATAAATAAATTGCATGTCACAGAAGTTTGGTGTACAGATTATTTTGCCACCCACATAATAAGCATAGAACCTGAGAGGTGATTTTTGGATCCTCATCCTCTTCCCTCCCTCTATCCTTAAGCACGCCCCAGTGTCTGTTGTTCCTTTGTGTCCATGTGTACTCAATGTTTGGCTCCCATTATATGTGTGAACATGCAGTATTTGGTTTTCTGTTCCTACGTTAGTTTACTCAGGATAATGGCCTCCAGCTCCATCCACGTTGCTGCAAAGGACATGATCTCCTTGTTCTTCTTATGGCTGCATAGTGTTCCATGGTGTACATGTACCATGTTTTATCTGGCCCATTGTTAATGGGCATTTAGGTTGATCCCATTTTTTGCTATTGTGAATAGTACTGCGATGAACATATGTATGCATGTGTTTTTATGGAAGAGCGATTTAAATTCCTTTGGGTATATACCCAAAAAAAAAGGATTGCTGGGTCAAATGGTAATTCTGCTTTGAGTTCTGTGAGAAATCACCAACTGTCTCCCACAATGGCTGAACTAATTTAAATTCCCACCAGCAGTGCATAAGCATTCCCTTTTCTCCACAACCTCACCAGCATGTTATTTTTCGACTTTTTAATAATAGCCATTCTGACTGGTGTGAGGTGGTAATTCACTGTGCTTTGGATTTGCATTTCCTAATGAATAGTGATGTTGGCATTTTTTTCATATGCTTGTTTGCCACATGTATGTCTTCTTTTGAAAAGTATCTGTTCATCTCCTCTGCAAACTTTTTAATGGTTTTTTTTTTTTTTTTTTTTTGCTTGTTGATTCATTTAAGTTCCTAATAGATTCTGGATATTATTGATAGACCTTTGTCAGATGCATAGTTTACAAATATTTTCTCCATTTTGTAGACTGTCTGTTTGCTGTCGATAGTTTCTTTTGCTGTGCAGAGCTCTTTAGTTTAATTAGGTTCCATTTGTCAATTTTTGTTTTTGTTGCAATTGCTTTTGGCATCTTCCTCATGAAATCTTTGCCTTACACTTTTTGATAGTGTCTCCCTCTTTGGAATTTCTTTTGCTGTCTCTCCTTTGGGTGACTTCAGAAAAAAATAAAAATAAAAAATAAGCCTTTCCAGCTCTCTGTTCTCAGCATGTTTAAAAACTGGGAATAGCTTTTGAGCACTCAGGTGCCTAGGAGTGAATTTAGGAACTGAGGTGTTGTCTTAGTCCATTTGTTCTGCAAAGACAAAATACCTGAGACTGGGTCATTTATAAAGAACAGAAATTTATTTCTCACAGTTTTGGAAATCCAAGATCAAGGAACTGGCAGGTTCAGTGTCTTGTGAGGGTCTAGTCTCTGCTTCCAAGGTGACACCTTGAACCCTGCATCCTCCAGAGGGGAGGACACTTTGTGTCCTCATATGGCAGAAGGCAGAAAGGCAAGAAAGGGACCAAACTTCTTCCATTAAGTCACTTTATGACAGCATTAATCTATTCATGAGGACAGAGCCCTCGTGACCTAAACGCCTCCCCGAAGGCCCCACTTCCCAACACTGTTGCATTAGGAATTAGGTTTCCAACCCATGAATATTAGACAGAGCATCCATGGCCTCTGCTCCTTGCTGAAGGAGGAGTTCACTCACCAGGTCAGAAACAGCTCCTATTTTAAGAAGGCTGCAGGTGAGGTAAAAATTACCATTAATCCCTCCTTTCACATTGATGTTGTGCACCTGGATTTACCCAACAAGTGAGGGTGATTTTTCTCTATTGCAAATGCACCTGGTGTGGATACTTATCATCTCAAGGATTCCTACTGCGAATTCCTTTGTGAAAATGCTGATGTTTATATAGCAGGTTTGCTTTAAAAGGAGGTAGAGCTACAAAATCATTCATTAAAACTTGGAAAAATAAGCTCAGTACAGCCTTTTCTTTTTGAGAGTTTTAAAACTCTCTTCACATTTGTAGTTTTAATTTAGCATGACCTGATTTTTGCCAGCATTGACCATTCATCTAAAACTTGATGGTCAATCTCTGTAATAACTGTTGCAGCAAAAGGAGGGCTCGGCTAGAAGTGAGGAGAACTGGGCTCTGTATACCATGTCACCTCTAATTCCCTGTGGGATCTTCAGAAGTTATTTGATCTTCAGGTTCCTCATTTGTAAAACAAGAGAATAAATACTCTCGATGATTTTCTTCCAACTCAAACAACATGTGATTCTAATTCTCTTGTGAACAATGACATTAGTCTTGTAGAAAGGGCTTCATTTATTCCTTTTGTTTTCCTAGAAATGTATAATTATTTGGGAGAAAATACCTTAAATCCAATTCCATAAAAGAAAAGACTAAGGAATGAATATATGTGCCATAATGTACTAGACACAGTAAGGCTACAAAAAGAGAGACAGCCTATATTGCTGAAATTAATGAGGAAAACAATCATCTAACTATGATTCAAGACAGAATGAAATAGATGCAATGGCACAAAACCAGAGAGGAGGCAGCTTGGAGTATTTAAAAAAAGAATGTCTAGAATAAAGAGCAAAATTCTTTTTACCAGGGATAAAAGAACGCCGATGTGGAATCAGAAGTGGCTTCTAGTCCTGGAATACTAGGGAAGCAGGTAGTAACTATATCATCTAAGACAAGCCACACATCTTCCCGTAGCTTCAGTTTTCCCCTCTGTAAAATGGAAATCATATAATACTGGCTCAAAATACCAGACAGCACCACTAGGAGGCTCAAAGAAGACATTGGTATAAGAGGACTTGAAAAAATGCTGCAGAATATAAGTTACACAAAACCATGGAGGATATATGTGACCTATATTGACCATATGTTCCTATAGATTTTGGTCTGATGATTAACAAAAACCAGAATTTCTAATGAGAAATTAGTCTAGAGCAGTGGTCCCCAACCCTTTTGGCATCAGGTACCAATTTCATGGAAGACAATTTTTCTGTGTACAGGGCTGGGTATGGGAGATGCATACAACTCACCATGATGTAGAATCAGTGAGAGCCCTGAGCTTGTTTTCCTGTAACTAGACAGTCCCATCTGGGGGTGATGGGAGACAGTGACAGATCATCAGACATTAGATTCTCATAAGGAGCATGTAACTTAGATCCCCCACATGTGCAGTTCACAATAGGGTTTGTGCTCCTATGAGAATCTAATGCCGCCACTGTTCTGACAGGAGGCAGACTCAGGCAGTCATGCAAGCCATGGGGAGCGGCTGTAAATAGAGATGAAGCTTTGCTGGCTTGCCCACTGCTCTCCTCCTGCTGTGCGGCCTGGTTCCTAACAGGTCACAGACCAATACTTGTTCTGTGGCCCAGGGGTTGGGGACCCCTGGTCTAGAGGTTAAATTCACAACAGGATCTTATAAACAGTGACTTCTTTTTTCTCCACCTTCTTAATTCTCTCCTTATTTACTTATTAAATATGCTTATTTAAAACATCAAATAGTAAAATATAAACTAACAAATCCCTTCCCTCACGTCAATCCTCAATCACTTCTTACTTTATCACTGCTAACAATGTCTTGTGTGTCCTTCTAGGAAAAAAGCTTATGACTGCCCCATAATCATAACTGTACATGCTCCTGAGTGTGTCCCCTGTATAGACAGCTATACACCTGCTTTTCTAGGTATCCATTACTGGAGAGGAAAGATCTTATTTCAAATAATCTAAGTTTAAGGCAATATAGTTTTAGATTACTGAAATCTGACGTTGCTTTTGGTGGTGATAATTAAATAATAATGTGATTATTATTTCTTATCAATAGCAGAGGTGGAAGAGAAAACTAGAAGGTTACTTAATATAGAAGCCAAATCCTGAACTCAAATTGTAGAGCAAAACACTGTTGTTTGTTGGTTAACGAAGGGAGAAAATTCAGCAGGTAAATGGTGGATAGATTTTTGATTCTGGAGATTTGCTTCTGAATAAACTGGAAAGAAAAGACAACGGACTTTTTTTTACTGCCTCTAGTTCAGAAATGCATTTCATAAGATTGAGAATCTTATGAGAATCTCAGAAGAAAGACTGCTGATAAGAAAGGAGGGGTTTCAGTATTAACAAATTCACTGAATAACTTTTGAAAAATGACAGCAGGTATAGACATATGGAAACAAGACTTTGAGCTTTTAACTAAGTACTTCAACTGAGAGCATTATCACTTTGGAATCATGCAGAGACCCAACAAACTTCATAATGACCTGAGTCTTCTTTCTTTTGTCCTTAGTCTCCATTCAGCTCAAGAAAATAGTAAAGTATAAAAAAATGGACAGTTATTCAGGCCACAACATACCCAGAACTACTTACTAGATATATTCTCATTCATAGTGTAAAAAACTCTCGCTCCTACTCTGTGTACCCTAACGTTCTTCTCTGTGTCATTTTGATGGAGCATATTTCACTGGCTTTATTACACAGCAGATGGCTGGGTCGTTAAAGCCCTCTTCGAGTCCTACACTGCAAGTATTGAAACTTCATAATAATTCATAAGAAATTTTTCATTTTCTCACCTCTGATCTGGAAAGCTAAAAGCAATCCACCATAGTTACACCATTGTTACATATTTCTCACCTCCTCTTCCTATGTGATTTACAGTAATCATCTTCCTTATTCTCCTCTTACAAATAAAATCATTTCAGATTTCTGAACTTCTCTGTTCCTTTTTTCTATTGAATGAGCTATAATACTTTACCATTCTGAGTTCTTTAAAGGTGCTGGACACTTGGTAAAAAGCCCACCGCATACTGAAGGTGATGTCATGGTCTCTGATAAGTACAGGAATTTGCTCAGCTAACTTTGTCTGAACTCCCTGTGGCTTTCACATATGTTATTGAAAAGGCAGCATATTATCTCTTATTAGCAGACAAGATGGTCTCGAAATAACTGGAAAAAACTCAAATCCACATAAATGGAAAATTTGACAAAAGAAATACAGAAAATGGCCCTGATGGGTCTCAAATAACTATATCTCTTTAGAAAAATCACCTTAAGAGCCCAAGTTACTGATAAAAGAAATTTGGGCTTGTACCTAAAGTGAATCATGCTGGAGGAATTAATTTACTTCATCTCAGGCTGAAAGTTTTCAAATGTCATGGTTCATAAATTCTTATGGCTGGTAGGGCTTTCTGGCCATTCTGCCTCCAAAAATAATCATGGAAGGGCACATCTTCTAGGAGAACAGAAAATTTGCCTCTTCAAAATTAATTAATTCATTTTTCATTTCTTCCAAAGGCTCGGTCACAATCTAGAATTACCTGGGAGTGGGGTTACAGATTTGTTCTTTTATGGACAGTTACTGAAATCGAATTGGAGGATTTCTATTTCTAGCAATATGGTGGACTAATTTTTCTATAGTCCTTCCTATGTGTGAAGTACTGTGAAATTAAAAATCCGCAGGGTAAATTATTGTGGAATACATAAAAGGCTCCATGGTATACGGTGGTCTCCAGAAAGTCAGTGGGATACCTCCCCCTAAGACAGGGCCCTTTCTAGAGGGGCACACCCACACCTCCCTTCTCTTTACCCAATGATTACACACCTGAAGGGTGAGGGAGGAGGCTATGGTTCCCTGGGCAGACAGTGATTTTCTGAGAGGATAGCTCAGCTCTAAAATTTCCAGGGAAAAAGGTACTCAAAAATAAAAATAAAAGCCGCCACCACCCCACTCCCACACCCCAAAAACCAATGGAGGCTCTGGTAAGGTGGAGGATGAGAAGTTCCCACCACTCAGGCTCCCTTTGTCCAGCCTTTTCAAACTCAGGAAATACACTTTGCTTTTTGTAAACTTCTCTGGCTTCTTGAAAGTTGGGGGAAGAGTTGGAGGAAAGTAAGGGGAAAATAGATGTGGCTGCTGATTCCAAGAACACGTGGTTGAGCATGCAGAAAAGCATTCTAAAAGCCAAAAACTATCATAAAGCTCCAAACCTTAGCATCAAGCAGAGTCATCTGGAAAGGCTGTCTTGACTCCTGAGCCTGGATCTGATGGTTCAGCCTCTGCAAGGAATTGTCTGGGCCATGGAAGAGAAGTTCTGCCTTAAACATGAACATTTTGGGGTCCAGTTTGAATGGAAGGAAACTTACCCAGCTAAAATACAGCCTACAGTTTTTACTTCTTAAAAGCTGCTGAAAGAGAAAACATCTTCCTGCCTCAACACTTCCCTTGGTCCTACATTCCCATCTTTTGCAGGACAGTGTAGGTGAGAAGAAGCAGGTTCGAGATGGGGCTCCAGGTAGCACTCCTGTGACTGCCTTCTCAGCCACATCACCTGCCTTATTAGGAACAGCCTGAGGAATTAGTTTCATCTATGCAGGGAAATATATCTACATGTGGCTATGTCCAGTTAGTTGAAATATATCCATCCCAACTTCTGCTTTCCAGCTGCAACCAGGGTGTTGTGTTGGGAGCAGATAAAGTTCTCTAGTCACAGTCAGGCAAAGAGCAGCTGGTCACTTGTGTTTCTCTCCTGTCAGTCTCTAAGATGATCTGACTGGGTCCCACCTCCTGCCAGCAGTGAACTGGGTAATTTGAGCCAACTTTCCCAGTGAACACAACAAAGAAAGCTGGATGAGGTTAACAACAAACAAACAACAAACCTTCCTAAAAGCACCAAAAAGCTAACAAGATAGGGAGGAATTTCAGGTTTAAGATGTGAGAAAAGAAAGAGATCTAGACATGTAGGCCTCAGTACTAGGGGCTGCTTTTACCCAGTTGGAGGGGCTGGGCCTGTCAATCCAAAATAGGAAGCTAGGAAGCTGAGCAGCGTATTGACGGCCTCATGGAATCAAGAGGCCAGGGCCTCCCTGAGGCCTGGTAAACCGCTTTACATTTAGAGTAGGACCCCAAAGAGCTCCAAGCTTGTCTAACCCACCTTATTTTGTTGTTATTGTTGTTCTGTTTTGTTTTAGGCTTTTAGCAGCCTGAAGCCATGGTTTTTAGTTTCTATCTTTAGTGATAAGCGGAAAACAAGGATGAGGAAGGGGCTTTACTGGCCCAACCAGAAATGGAAACTAAGAACCCACGACTGTATTGTCTCCCTTGGACACCCTCTGATAGACCCTAGAAGTAAGACAGAACAAAAAGTAAACTAGTCTGGCTTCATGTCATCTGGGTGATCTAGAAAATCTGAAGCCCCAAAATTGACCCACTATTGCTGATACCCCAGAAAACCTTAAGAAGTTAATTAAAATTCTCTTTTGAACTCTTGTCATCTTTATTATGATTATCCAAAGTCTCAAATTATCAAATGTCCTGAAGTTTTAAATATCACTAATTATATGAAGCACTATGATTTTATGTACCAGTGAAAAAGAAAAAATGCTGTCAACTAGAAGTGTAAAAATTCATGACATAAAACACATACTGATTTCAGAGACTAAAATATAAAAACACTGTACATCTTAAAATGAATGACACATGGTATTCTTACATATATTTTTTCAAAACAATATCCAGCACACATTTAAAGATAATGAGGCACACAAGGAGACATGACAACATAAATATGAACCAGCATGAGAACCAGAACAAACAAAAGACAGGACAAAAAGATGCTTAGGAATTCCAGATAGAAAAATTACCAGATACAGAATGTAAAACAATTATGCTTACTATGCTCATGCAGCTAAAAGCTCAACATAAAAATTACAATAAAGAACCAAGACCCATAAAAAGTAACATTGCAGATTTGAAAAATAACTAGAATTCTAGACTGGAAATTCAGTAATCAAGATTGAGAATGCAATAAATGATGGATTTAACCACAGATTAGATACAGCTGAAGAGATACACTGTGACTTGGAAGACAGGTCAGAAGAAACTATTCAGAATGTATCTTGGAGAGATTAAAAGAAAAGGATGGCAAACACAGGGGAGGGTAAGAGATACAGAAGATAGAGTGAGGAAATTTAAGATAGTAAAATTAACTTGCACCACAAAGTCTCCCAGAAATAGGCAGTAGAGTTCAGATGAAGTTTCTAATATTCCTAACCCTAACTCCCTCCAAGACCAAGTACATAACTGAGGCAGGCCATGTTAGCAAAGATCCAGAGGTAGTTAGCAGTTATTAAAAGTGTATGTGACTGTGGTTACGTTATTTTACTTTTCTAGGCAACACTCTCCTCATGTATAAATGGAGAGACGTGACAGTACCCACTTCAGAGACTGTTGTAAGAATAAGAATTAAGGCCTGAGAAGCACTTAGCAAATGCTCGATGTAATTTGGCTTCCACTAAGAGGATAAAGCACTCTATCTCTCCATCTAAGCTTGCTTCAGGAACTAACAAGCAGCTCTATGACTATCAACAAAATGTTTAGCCTGAAACATGGAACTGAAGATGTTGGAATCATGGAACATGAGGGTTGTATGGAATTCTTTTTTTCTTTTTTCTTTTTTTTTTTTTTTGGGACAGCGTCTGGCTCTGTCACCCAGGCTGGAGTGCAGTGGCCCGATCTCGGCTCACTGCAAGCTCCACCTCCTGGGTTCATGCCATTCTCCTGCCTCAGCCTCCCGAGTAGCTGGGACTACAGGCATCCGCCACCACGCCCCGCTAATTTTTTGTATTTTTAGTAGAGACGGGGTTTCACCGTGTTAGCCAGGATGGTCTCGATCGCCTGACCTCATGATCAGCCTGCCTCGGCCTCCCAAAGTGCTGGGATTACAGGCGTGAGCCACTGCGCCCAGCCGGAATTCTTTATAAAATGGCCACTATACCTATGAGATCAGAGGTTATTGTTTTTCCTTTTGACAAATGACAGGTCATTTTTTTTTTTTAAAAAAACACTACACTCAAATAGATAATTCACCAAAACAACAACAACAACAACAACAAACACCACACCCACCCACACACACACACACACACACACAAAGTCCTATAAAAAATTCTATAGAAAAATGTTTAGCTGTGTTGGTAAGCAAAATGTAAATGAAAGCAATAAAGACACCTTTACTTTGTCACATAAGTAATTACAAAACAAGTATGTTATCAATGGTGTGGTGAAATTTCATCATTTATAGTATGCTATCAATATAAGGTAAACTGGTACACCATTTTGGTAAAGCCATTGAACACAATGCATACACATCCTTGGCTCAGTAATTTCACTCTTTGGAATGTATACCAAGAAAACAATCCAAA
Source organism: Homo sapiens (assembly GCF_000001405.40). Taxonomy (NCBI): domain Eukaryota; kingdom Metazoa; phylum Chordata; class Mammalia; order Primates; family Hominidae; genus Homo; species Homo sapiens. The sequence goes on along the minus strand of NC_000018.10, from coordinate 50,567,459 downwards.
TTGTAGAAAAAGCACAGACACAAAGTTGCTCATGCAATGACACAGCAGGGAGAAATTAGGAGCAAACTTAATGTTCACTAATAGCAAAATGTTGTGGTAAATTAACGAGCTTCTAAGGATTGAATTATGCAGACATGAAAAATTATGTTCACAACAATGAGAACACAAGGACACAGGGAGGGGAACATCACACACCAGGGCCTGTCAGGGAGTGGGGGTTAGGGGAGGGATAGCATTAGAAGAAATACCTAATGTAGATGACAGGTTGATGGGTGCAGCAAACCACCATGGCACGTGTATACCTATGTAACAAACCTGCATGTTCTGCACATGTATCCCAGAACTTAAAGTAAAAAAAAAAAGCATCAATAAAACTCTGACATTGTGGAAAGACAAAAAAAAATTATGTTCACAAAGAATTTATGTTCACAAAAATTATGTTCACAATAACACATACATTGTTTATTCTAATAAAAAAGCAAGAAAAATTAAAATTATATGTACAATATGGTCTCAATTGTTCAAATGAGCTTGAAAATGGGCTGAAAAACACACTAAAAATACACAGCAAAATACGAATGGGATTAAAGTATCACAGGATCACCGGTAGGATTTGTTTATTCTTCTTGCCACTTTCCATAATGAATATATATTACTTTTTTAAATAGACAAATAAATGTTTTTATTCTAGTTATTTACTGTAAAGATGATACAAAAAAAGCAATAAAGGAAGTTTTTATAAAATAGTCTCATTCCACCAATTGAACCGTCTCAATTTTTCTGTGATAGTTTCAGTACTGCCTGTGTTTACACACACCTTTGGCATAGATGTAATCAGTTCGAATTAATGAGTAGTTCTTTGAGGATCAGGTGCCCTGGAAATGAGACAAGTTATCAAACCCTTTTCCTGCCTGGTCTCCCTACACCAACACACTCTACAACCAGGAAGACAGAAGAACGGTATCCCAGCAGCACTGAGTGTCAAGGGGATGGGGTGAGCTCCTGGCTCCTTGCGCCAGCCTCCCAGCTGATCTCTGTGTGACCTTGGCAAGCCATCTAACCACTCTCAGCCTCAGTTTCTCCAATTATTCAATGGGCAAGCAAGGCTGGCCAGAAACCCCTAAAATCTCTTTCAGGTCTAATTTCTGTGACTGTGTGCACATTTGACCTAAGATCTCCAAACAGGTCTCAACTCGAAAAATTTATACAAATCAGACCTGTTTAAATACAAATGAAAGACTAGCAATGCTTTAAAAGAAATCCCTCCTACAGCAAATCTTCATGTAGAGTGTTTCTTATTTCTTATTTTTAATTTTTGTTAAATCTAGACATTGATACATTGCCAGATCAGTCTTGTGCAGGGCCAGGCATTTATATTTAACATTTCTACACTAAAGCAACAATTAGAACACTGTCTTCCTCACTGAAGCTAAGGTGATCTAAACTAAGGAAAAAGATTAATTAATGAGAAGTCTGAATTATAGTTTCATTTTTAAAGCCTTATTATTTTAAGTTCTTAAAGTCATACAGTCATACATCACTTAATGATGGGGATCCATCTAAGAAATGCATCATTAGTCAATTTCCTGGTTATGGGAACATCATAGAGCATACTTACACAAACCTAGATGGAATAGCCTACATACCTAGGCTATATGGTATGGCCTATTGCTCCTAGACTACAACTCTGTACAGCATGCTTACTGTACTGAACACTGTAGGCAACTGTATCACAGTGGTCAGTATCTGTACACCTAAATATGTCTAAACATGGAAAAGGTACAGGAAAAATACAGTATTATAATCTTACAGTTTCACAGTCCCACATGCAGCCCTTCATTGACTGAAATGTCATTATGTAGCACACAACTGTACTTAAATTACTTGCTCCCCAAAATGAGGGGGCAAGTGTTTCCTGCCTGGCCTGTTTTAATGCAAGGACATCTCATCCCAGGCTCAGGTATTCCAAAAGAAAAGTTTGAATCAACGTACTCCTGTTATAAACTCTTCAAATACCATTAGAGTGACCTGAAAAAGAGTTTCATTCATTTCCCGAGGCAGTAACTTCAGCACTGACCAACCTCGTTTACAAGGTGCAGTAAGTTACTACTACCCACTAGTGGAACACAGAGCCTCCTGCTAAACCGGAACGATCCCTGCCCCTCATTTCACCTATGATGCTGCTCATGTGGACCTGGGGCTGCTGACGATACAGAAGTTCTTACTTTTGAGGGCAGATGTTAACAGAAGTATAGGTCACCCTAGGTTTAACAATTCCATTTTGATCTGTGCTCTCAATTTAAGTCAATACTTTGAGAACATTCTCTTAGCTCCTATCAGTCACAGGTAGGACTAGCTTCCTATTCTTGCAAACACAGCTGTCCAGTCATTCCTCAAAACCTTTCCCAAAGACTGCTTTCCCAAAGACTGCTTTCCCAAGAAGCTAATGAAACTTAAATTCAGAGCCCATCACTTGTCCTCACAGGACCCTTCCAAGGCCTGGGAGGGGTCCTAGCAATGTGCTCCCCTTATCGTTTTGTCGTTTCCTTAAAGAGGGTCCATCAAATTACATAAGCATCAAGTCCACCAGAACTGAATCCTCCTCTGCCATTTTCCTTCCCGACTGGTGGTTACCAGGCACTGCCCAAGCAGCAGGCGGGGATGATCTTGTGGGTAATGGCGGTTCTGCTACCCACAGTTGTGGTATATAAATCAGCCACACTAGAAAAAGAAGAATTTGAGGCTTTATGCTTCAAAAGATGAACTTAATATAATAACCAGATTAGGATATCAGGTCTGAAAAAAAGGATATTTATTCTAATTTATGAAATTACTTATATGAAAAGTTCTGCCATGTTAATTACACATGTAATAGTTCCTCTTTATTGAAAAGAATTGAATTACATTAGATAAGGCCTCTCTTATATGGCATGATACATAATAACCAATAACCCTTAGAACAGTGGTTGTCAAGCAGCAGTGATTTTGTTTCCCAGGGGATACTTGGCAATGGCTGGAGACATTTTGGGTTGTCACAACTTGGGGAGCAGGCTGGTGTTTAGTGCTCCTGGCATCTAGGGGGTAGAGGCCAGGGATGCTGTTAAGCACCCTGTAATGCACAGGACAGCTCCCCATAACAAAAAATTATCTGGCCCATAACATCAATAGTGCCCAGGTTGAGAATAGCTGCCTTAAAATAATGGGCACATATAGGTAAGGAAGCAAGGATTCTCCCTGCAAACGATAAAGCTTTAAACTTTGGAGTGGAATGTATGAGGGCCAAGCTGACAGGTGGCTCACAGAGAGCCACTACCTGACTTCAACCACTGCACCATGATAAACAGCAATGAAGCCTCCAGACTTTCAAGAATCATGGGACTGCAAGGACCCTTGCCAAGACTGGCTATGTGAGGGGGTGGTGGTTTCAGGAGCACCAAGAAAGTCACTTTGCCTCCCCAATTACCTCCAACACCCACTTGTCTGTGCCTGACATTGTCTCATGGTGAACACAGCCTTTCATTCCATTATGAGGCTTAAAGTGCAAAGACCCCTGGAAGAGAGAACACAGTGACCTACATTCATATTTAAGAGAAAGTGACCGATGACAGATTGGTTTTCCCCTGAGACCAGTTTGCATACAGTGAAAGGCTCTCAACAGCTGAAAATGATGGAGAGGAAGAGAGCATAGCAGGCCCTGATGAGGCCAGGAAGGAGTGACGAAATGGGCAATAGAGGTCACTGAAATAAGTGTCACCTACCCTACCGACTCTTTCTGCCTGAACCTGCAAGGAGGGAGGGATGCAGAGAGAAAAAAAAGTCACATTCTTGGCCTTGAAGAAGATTACAGTCAAGTTCAGCTCAGGTGAAAAAACTCCAGGAATGCTTGAAAGAATGGCTGAGATGCAGGGCAGTGCTACCCCACAGCCAGGACAGGAGACAAAGGTCCTTGACAGCTGTGGGATCATGCTGAACCTCAATTGGTTCTGGGTGATGCCCCCCACCTGACACCTAGCCTAGTCCTTGACACAGTAAAATGTTCCAGCAGCACTCGTGTGTTGAGTGAATGGAAACTATTCCAGAGGAAGATCTATCAAATACCTAAAGTACTCTAAATTCGGTTTGTTTTCCTTGACACCTTTGCCAACGCTATTTCCCTCAATTTGGGAGGAAAGTCTTTGTTAGTTGTCTTTGCCCATCTGAATCCTATTTCATCTTGCAAAGCCCGTTTGTTTTCTCTGTAAATTCCGGATAGTTTTTCCCCCTTTTCTTATGAGCACATTCATCTAATACTTACCATATTTTCTATGTATCTTTCATAACGGGCTTACTTACAGAAAAGATTTCAGAGAGGCTTTCAAGTTCACAACAAAAATCCTGTAATATAGTTTTTTATAAAGAATTTAAAAGAGAGGTCTCAGAAATAATTTAGGGAGAAAAAAATCATTGTACCAAGAAGCTGGGATAAAGCCATTACCAGGAATTTCTAGAGGCCAAGGCAAAAAGATAAACATACAAGGCACGTAGAGAGTTCTCAATGTCTGATAAGAGAAAAACCACAGTTCCATGTGGTGAGAATATTTTTTATGTCAAATTCCAGGAGGAATTTGCTCCTGGCTTTTCATATATGCTGCCCAAGTTGTCATTTTACATGTTTATCTCATGAACCAGAGTTCTTTAAGACAAAGACTACGTCTTAGACTACATTTCCCTGATAAATGCCTATATTGCATTGTAAATACTCAAATATTTGCTAATGGATATGATTTTCTCGCCAATCTGGATATTCCAGTGCATCTCAAGATCCTAAGATTATCAGAGTAACAGATTCATCAAATCTCTTAGCAGGAAAACTATTTAATTCCAGTCCTAGGGCCCCAGCCATGGGCAATGATGGGACTTAGACTCTCTCACCCCAACATCACTGGTATCAGTTTGGAGTGAGGGGCTGGAAGGTTCAGCTGGCCCTGTCTTCATGCTTCCCTCTCCCTTCCCCTATTGGTTCCTTCCTTGTTTAGGAGGTGTCTTTTTTTTTTTTTTTTTTATTGGCCAAAATGCAGAATGAAGTTTATTTGAGAAAATCTTGTTTAGTTAGAAACAAGAGGGTGATATAGCCAGGGTTTGTAAGAGGCAGACTTTTAACCTGCAGCAAAAGTGAAACAACGAATTTGAGTCAACTTGCAACCAACCCAACAGGAGATTCACGCATCTGGAGTAATTGAGTTAAAGCAGATTAGGTTCTGGATTAATACAAATCACTAATTTCTATTTGTTTGCTTTTTTTTAGTAATTGAAAAATACATGCAATTAATTTCTGACATGAAGAAAAATTACAATTAATCCCTCACTGCTCAAAAGCAGAATTCTAGGAGTTAGGTCAGTTGTCTAGAACTTCTGGATCAGATGATCCAAGGTTGCTTTGTTATTTAGTTTAAAGCACTGAGTATTCCCACAATAGCTGTTTAAGCACGGTATGACAGTAGCATTAAAAGGGAGGTGTCTTTTTGTCTGTCTCCAGCATGGATTCTCTGTCCCTTTGAGCATTAGGGCTTTGCCTTATTGCCCTTTGATTCCCTGTGATAACTCCATGGTGCTTTATGCAAAGAGGCTGACTTTTCTAATGCAAGGAAACTGAATTGGAAAGAGGTTCCAGAGCAAGCCTTTTTACTATTCAGCCCTGCTCCTGTCTGACAAACCCTCAAGCATAGAAGTGTACCCTCAAGTGTAGAAGACTAGCCCTTCATACACCACACAAGCGGTTTGGAAAGGTTAAAACGCAGGTCACTAAAGGAGTTGAAGACTCGAGGTTCAGAAGATATTATATTTTCTCTCCCTTGTTTCTATCCGTACCCCAAAAGTACACTGGGCAACCCTTCAGCAAAAAAGCCTTTAGTATTTAGTAGGTGCTCAGTAAATACATATTACAATAAGGTCATAGCATAGCTATCTTGAACATAGTAGGTACTCAATAAATATCTGTTACATTGAGAACGTCATGACGCTTCACCTTCGCACGGGGTAGGTGCTCAATACATATCCATTCAATTGAAAAGTCTGCAGTATACCTGCTTTTCACATAGTAGGTGCTCAATAAGTATATTTTACATTAAGGTTATTTAAGATAGCTGCCTTGCACACAGTAACCTCCCAGTAAATGGCTACTGAGCAGTTGTGGACACTCCTCAACCCAGGCAGGGGTGACATTAATCAACCCCCAGGCACAGATCCATGAATGGAAATGCACGTCTCGAGGTAGTGCTTTCGAGAGTGCTGGAGAGGCGCGTGACAGTACGCGGCCGCTGCGCTCTGTCGGGACGCTGCTGACCCACTGCTGGCTCCAGGGTATCGATTAGCGATCGGAATCCATTCCCCACCCAGGGGCGGGAAACAGCCGCCGCCTCCAATGGTCATTTCGGGGACGCACCTGGAACTCCCGCCACAGCCCCCTCCCGGGGCATCCGCCCACCCCGGCTTCACCTACGATTCCGTAGAGTAGCTGGCAGAACAAAAGCAAAAGCCGGCCTGACTTCCGATTGCTTTCCTGATAGAGAGCAACCCGGGAGGAGGCTCAGGGAGCCGGCCCGGGACCCAGCTGGGATGTCAAACCCGAGCCGCTGCCCTCTCCGGCAGGCTGGGGCTCTGGGTCGCCCAGCGGCGAAAGCGGCGGGGTCCCCCCACTCCCCCTCTCCCAGGGGCTACCTACCGCCAGTGTAGGCGCCTCTGTCGGGTGGCGAGGGGAGAGGACGCTGTATTAACCCTTCAACGAGAAAGGGAGAGGCTGGAGGGGAGGATAATCGGGACTGCGATCCGAATCTGAACTCGCAGTGTGAACTGCCCCTCGGCGACCCCAAGCGCTCCGGACTGTCCCCGGGGGTGGGGTCCCCTAGCGGCGCCCGGCCCCTGCGTCCTCCTCCCCTAAACACAACGCGAGGAGCCCAGCGGCAACCTCCCATCCCAAACGGGTCCAGGACAGCACCGGCGCGCGGTCTGCAGGCGAGGAGCTCACCCAGGGCAGCCGGGCGGGTCCCGCGGGAGACCCCCGCCGCTCGGAAACTCGCTAGTTTGGCAGTGGCTTGGCCTGGGGGGCTTATTGTTAGGGTAAGGTGGGGAGGCAGTGCGGGCGGGGAAGTCTCATCTCTTCCCCGCTTCTCCGGAGCCCGCCGAACTCCGAGAGGCGCAGGCGGCGGGAGGAGAAAGCCAGCGGAGGGGAGCCACTTACCGAGGCAGAGCCCGAGAGCGTGGCGGCCCGGGCGCGAGCCGCCCTTTGTCTGCGGCCGCGGCGCCGGCGCGCTCGGCCAGGCCGGTCCCAGCCACGGCGCACGGCGAGCTCCCGCGGTCGCCCCGACAGCCCGGCTCGCTGCTCCAGCTCGGGCTCCGGCTCCCGCCCCGGCCCCGGCCCCAGCCTGCGCCGCCGCCGCCTCGGCTCCGCCCAGAGCCGGGCCCCGCCCCCGCCCACTGGGCCCCCACCTGCTGCGGCGGTGGCGCTGGGGAGCCGGGCCCTGGGCGCCCGGGGGCGGCAGTCTCCCGCGCGCCCTGCTCTGCCCTCCCGCAGCCTCCAGGCCGCTCAGCCGCGCGGTCCTGGGGCCTTCCCGGACCCAGTCCCGCGGAGACGAGCTCACCTGGGGAGCCGAGCCCCGTCCCGGGTAGCCTGGCCTTCCCGGGGCACACGCGGTAGAGCTCCAGTCACTCAGAAGCCCTTCCTCACGCCCGCCGTGGGTGGGGGATCCTCGGGCTCCGTCCGGGAGGGAGGGGGCGCCGAGAAGGCGGGAAGCGGGGATCTGCCTGAGCCCGGTCGCCGCCCCGCCAGCCCCGCGCGGCTGCAGCCGCCGGGGGCCCGGTGGGAGGGTGGGTGGGGAGAAGGAGCCGGCGGGGACCGGTGGGCTCTGGAACCGGGGAGACCCGCGCGCGCGGGAAGGGGCACTGGGCCGAGGGTCGAGGGGGCGCGGAGCCCAAGTGCACCGGTCCCCAGCCGGCCTGGGATTCCGAGCGGGCCGCCTGGGCTGTGAATCTGTGCTCATTGGCATGACCGGAATAAAACTAACAAAAGAGAACCAACACTTTGGGATCCAGAGGAAAGGGACAGAAGAAGCCACTGGACCCTAACACTGGTAATAACTGGTGCTTCTGTGGTGCCTTCAGCGAGCCCAGAGCTGTGGGCACCGATGAGGGTCGTCACTGAACGCGGTGCGTCCCGTTGGAATGGTTGAGGCGCTGCTTTTCTAGGCATAGAAAAGTCTGATAACCTAAATATTGCATAATGAGGTCACTGGTGGCTTTAGCTGCCCATGAGCCTTCTCCTCTCCCAACTCCCAAAGCCTTCCGAGTGAGACCTGCGTTTTGGCACTTTCATAGGGTCTGCTGTGTACTGCAGTTATTCCCGCTTCGTCCCCCACCTCTACCCCCAGACCCTAATACAATTCCAGACGCTTAATAATTGTTGCAAGAATTCGCTGTCGAATTTTAGCGTGGGCAAAACATAAAAATGAAGGATTGTGGGATCATATTGGAAAATGCACTAAGGGTTTGCACAGTGATGGTGGTATGAAGGGTAATGAGTGTTGGCTGCCATTAGTACATAGTTGCGCTGCGACTCCTATGTGTGCAGGTAGTAGGTTTAGGATGATATGCTAAGTTAGAGACTGCAGTTATCAGGACCTTCATTAACCTCAGAGAATAGTTAGGGATAAGGAAGGAGTGTGTAACAAGCGAGTGTGTGTATATCTGTGGTAAGACATTCCAATGTGTCTTCCCCAAAGAGAACATTTTAACATTTTGCTTCCTTGATTTTCATTACAAGTAGTATCAATTCAGCAAGTAGGCATAAATATGAAATGTTTTGTGTTGATTTATTCATTTTTATAACATCTCTTCTATGAAGGAAGAATAAGAGGCCCCAAGGCTGCTCATTTAATCCAAAAGAAACAGAAGGGCAAATGTCCCGCCACTTTAAGCCCACTAACTGCAAAGTGAGGATCTGGCGAGTCCGAATGAAGAGACTGACCCCCATCAACACCTGGAAAGCTCAGAGTCCCCCTCCAGCGTGTTTTTGTTTTTTTTTTTTAATCTGTTTATCTTAGGTCTGGAAGCTGCTCTTGAGAGCAATGTGCTTGTCCACGTGAGATAATTTATCTCTTCCATTTGGCAACTGGGAAAATGTAATTTTCTCTGTGTGATGAGCATGAGTGAGTGGTTCATACATAGTGAATGGCCATCCTCCAAATCGCGGGACAAGAGACTGTGAAATATGCATGTTTAATATCAGTGCCCATTACCGTACGATGGCAGGGGAATGAACAGGAAGCGAGTATCTGTCTGGGGCTCTCCACTGTCAGGTAAAGTGGTGTTCTGTTCTCCTTGCTGCTATCAGGAAACAAGTTATTTCTTATTTTTACTCCATAGGGAAGACTTCTAAAGAAACAGCTGGCTGAAGTCGGTGTCAGTCACTAGAAAATAACTGCACAGAATTCTGGAGTTGGGAAGTTCACCAGGTCATTCTGTTTGAAGACTTTTTTTCTGGGAGGAAAAAAAAATGAGCCAGCATTTCCTTACTGCCTGTGACTAGACACCAGAAGCTGTAACTCGGTAGCTAGGCCAGGGGTGCCCACATCTACAGTAGCCCTGGAGGATATGGGGGCAAGGGGTGCTGCACAGAGCAAAAAAGTGCCCTGTCTGCCTTGCTTAGGGTATTTCGGTATACTTTTCAAAAATATTGTGCTGGCTAAATTTGTCTCCCATGGCACCTGTTTTTGACTCAGATCTAGGTAGAGGAGGGAAGCAACTTAGGTGATTAAACAGATTCCTGACCCCACCCTTTCTGTTCCCAGGAGGAGTTGGCATCGGGGCCAATGACTTTGCATGTGGCCTCTCTTCCGGGGGTAAGCACTGGCCATGTTTGAGGAACCCACTATACCATGGCTTCTAGATGAGGGGATACCCTGAGCAGCCAGGTGCCCTTCTTCCTCTTGGGTTGCTTCTTTCTTGGGAGAGGACTGACGTTTTTTCTCCTTGTCTCTATTTATCTACCTCTTTCTCTCTCTTTCTGTTCCTCCCTCCCTCTCCCTCTCCCTCTCCCTTTCCTTTCCTCCCTCTCTTTTCTCATAGGTCCAGCCTGTCCAGCTATGAAGTTGAGACCAGCCTGGGCTGTTCTCATAGAGTGGGATCTAGGGCCTAGGAATTTGAAATCACACTTTCTTCATTCTTTCTTCTGGAAACGGCTTTCCTCATCACAAGAGAGATGAGATCCAAGATGTAGGATCAACTTGATTGAAGGAAGTGATAAGCTGTGTAAGTTGCTTGGTTCTAGCTATAGACGAGTGATTCCACACTTGCACGCTTATGAGAATCACCTAGGAAAGCTATACGTCTGTGGAGAAAAAGAAACAATAGGCGACTACAGTGGCCCACTTACCAGCATCTGTCCCTGTCTCTCATAGTCTGCCTTCCCTCCTTGTCTTAATATGTTTGTGCTGTTATAACAGAATACCTAAGACTGGGTAATTTATAATGAACGGAAATGTATTTCCCTCAGTTCTGGAGGCTGGGAATCCAAGATCAAGGCAATGGCAGGATTGGTCTCTGGTGAGGGTCAGGTATCTGCTTCCAAGATGGCGCTTCATGGCTGCATCCTCTGGAGGGGAGGAATGCTGTGTCCTCATATGGCATAAGGCAGAAGGGCAAGAGGGCTGAATACTGCATGAGGCCTCTTTCTGCCTGGGCCCAGTGGCTCACACCTGTAATCCTAGCACTTTGGGAGGCCGAGGTGGGCAGATTGCCTGAGCTCAGCAGTTCAAGACCAGCCTAGGCGACATGGGCAACATGTCTCTACTAAAATATAAAAAATTAGCCAGGCGTGGTGGCGCACATCTATAGTCCCAGTTACTCAGGAGGCTGAGGCAGGAGAATCGTTTGAGCCTGGGAGGCGGAGGTTGCAGTGAGCTGAGATCCCACCACTGTACTCCAGCCTGGGCAACAGAGCAAGATTCTGTCTCAAGAAAAAAAAAAAAAAGTCACCCTCCACTTGTGTACAAGATCTCGCTCCTCTCACTTTTGTAAGCACATCTCTCTATAACATGCCTCTCTCTGTTTGATCACCAGTTTTACCTTAATGCTGGGTCCTAAGCAGTAACTTTCAAATATAGTTTAATGTCTCCCATCTTTAAAAAACAAAACAAAACAAAAATACTCTTTTGACCCCATTCTCCTCCAGCTGCTGCCTCAACTCTCTTCTCCCCTTTACAACATCTCCTGGCAAAACAGAACTTGCCTCCTCTCCCGGTCTCTACCTCCTCTCCCCGCATCCTCTGTCTAACCCATTCCAATCATCACTCCATGCTCTGGTCAAGGTCATCACAGACCTCTATGTTTTTAAATCTAATGATCAGTTCTCAGGCTTTATCTTACTTGACCTATCCATCATTTGATGTAGTCAATCACTCCTTTCTCCTGAAATAGTTATTTTTTCGTGTGACTCCCAGGACGCTTCTGGATTTCATCCAACCTTACTGGTCCTTCAAGGAACAATAAATGCTAACTACTAAAAACAACACAGCAAACAGCACACAAAGTGGAGCTGTACTAAAGCCACCAAATTCAGGAATACAACAGAGATGCCTCCTATCACCACTATTATTAATATTGTTTTAGAGACTAAAATAAAGCAGTAAGACATGAAAATGAAATAGTAGATACAAATATGGAAAAGGAAGAAAGAAATTGTTTCATTGTAAATGCTGTAATTGCACAACTAAAAACCTTCAGACTCTAGTTCTTTTAGAAGAACTATTAGAACTAATAGGAGAATGTAGTGGTGTTGCTAAAAATAGTAAAAAGAATAAATAAACCCAAAATCTGGTGTTTAAAAAGAACAATGAAATAGGTAAACTCCTCAGAAGCCTGGTTAAGGAAAAGAGAAAGAAAAAATTAATATTATCAATAAAAAGGTGATATAAGCATAGATTCAGAAGATATTCTAAATATTATCAAAGAAAATGAAATGCAGTTTCCTGATAAGATATTTAAAGTAGATGTTTTTATCTTTTGTCAGACATAGTCCCTGCTTTCACAGAGCTCATAGTCTAATAAGAGAGAGAGATATTAAATACATGCTTACACAAATAAGTGATTTTCCTCTGTGAAGGGTCTAACAAGGGGACCTACTCTCATCTGGGGAATCAGGAAAGGTTTCATGTGGGAGTAAAAATTAAATTGGTTGAAGAACAGAGGAAGAGTGGCTCAAGTAGAGGGAACAGTATGAGGGACACTAAGGAAAAGTTTGGAAAGTTTGAAAGTGTCTCACAGGCTACAGGGTAGGATAGATGGTGGGGAGAGCAGGTGGAGAGAGAGGCAGGGCACAAGCCGTGCAAGGGGTTTGTAGCCCATCACAAGTATTTTGACCTTTATCCTAAGTATCATGAGACGCTCTTTCAACATTTTGAGCAGGGAAGAGTTGAGTCCCTACTGTGTAAATTACTTCCTCTGTAAGATCTGCAAAGATTGTAACCATGCATCAAGGTAGCATTGTCCAGGATCCTTTGTAACTAGCATCACTCGGTGATACCAGATACCAATCCCCCCCTCTTCCTCTGTAGCCCTCAAAATGCTCAATGTCTTATAGGTTTGGGTAGAAATTCTGGCATGTCTTCAAAGCAAGTTAACCCAGGTGACCAGTATCCAGTGGTCACCTGGGGCAGATCTTGACTCTCACCTGACTCCCACAGGCAGTGCAGACCTCTCAGCCTGCTTACTTCCCAGAAGTTTCTTGACTGGGTTGGCCCATCCCAGCAGTCTCTTCTTTCAACCCATAATAGATAAGTCCTCACCAGAGTTTTAAGTACATTTTCTTACCCTTGGTGTTTACCCAGCCCTGTGTTTTTCAAACTACAGATCATAACCCATTATGGGCTGTGAAATCAATTAGGTAGATAGTGCTGGTATTCTTGAAATGATGGAATAGAATAGAATAGAAAATAACAGAGTTCATTGTAAATGATAAGAGTATCACTTATGACATTACAATTTCAGATATATATGTTTGTATGTATATATGCCATAGGTCACACCATTAAATGGTTTTTAAATTATGACCCATGATCAAAAAACATTTGAGATTCAGTACCCTACTTCCTCCCTTCATGTGCTCTGTGTAGAAACTTGAATTTAACTGAGGTCTGACTCTTTTGTCATTTCTCCCTGAGAGTCCAAAGAGTCCAATGATTCTTTTGTTCATTTCTCCAAGTTGTTTTAATTCATCACCTGACCTGCTAAAATGTCCTGTTCCTCTCATACAAACAATATCCTGTTATTAGAATATATTCTGAGTTTTCCCCCTTATCCTGTTGCTTGAGTTTTTCTTTATCACCAACAGTGGCTCATGCTTATAAAAGTAATCCATGGTTTGATGAATAGCCCATATCTTTATGGACATAAAACTTACTGCCTGTGTCTTGTTGGTACCTAATTGAGCTAAACAGCCTCAGAGTGATCTATGAACTTCATCCTTCAATTCCCAAATCATTGAGTATACATTATTGTTTTAGATTCCCAAACAACGATCATGCCAAGCTAGTATGGTCCCTGACATCCAGAAGCCTAGAAGACAATTAATCTAATATTTGTCCTAGTCACTTAATTATCGAGTGCTTACTACATGCTTAGAACAGTGTTATATATTTACACCCTGATGGTTATAACCCGCTGAACAAAGATTCACAGTTCTAACTTTTAAACTTAGTCTATTTGTTCTCTTCCTGTCCTGCCTCACCTCCCTATCCCTAAGTCAGCATGTTCATGGCCCCAGCTTTTCTCAGCATGGATGTGGGTTGCACACATATGGAAAGCAGTCTCATACCAACTCCATCAGCACTCAGTAAATGTGGAATTGGATCACTATCTCCAATCCCTCACTCTCCCAATGCCAGATAAGAAATACACTGCTATAATTCAAATGAGCAACACATGGTTGTTGTTGTTGTTTACAGGAACTAAAAAACCTCAAGGGACATTTAAAAATGTGTTTCTAAGTGATGAAATAATTTTCACTTCAAAAATTGAAAATAAATTGTTTCTGGCTCTATGAAGACCATCATCTTAAAATTACTGTATCGTCTGTATTCTATGAGCCTTAGCACACATCCAAGGCAGCCTCTGTCTATGCATCAGAAATTTTACTAGTAATGGCATTTCTTATGGTTAGTCTTGCTTGTGTAATTTTCATGGGAAAACAATAAAAATTATTACTGGGTAGATTAAATACAAATGCGTTTTTAAATACTTTTAATATAAATAACACACAGACACACTCACGAGTCTTTAGTGAAAGCACAATGAATTTCAGTTATTTCACCAGCACATTCAGTCAACTATCAAAGATCAGAAGACACATTTTGCTCAACCAATTCAAGAATATAACAACCTAAAATCTTTTAGGAAGTTCCATTTCTTTGGAAAAAGAATTTGAACAAACCTGAGTCCTCATAAAAGCTATCTAGTGGCCAGGAAGTATGTGTACCCAGAAGGAAAGCAAGGATTGGTGAATTTATTAGGAGTGTATACCTGCATGTCAGTCAGTGTCATTTGTTTTTATAGAACACTCTAGTATGTCAGCTACTTGCTGCCTGTCAATTAGTGGGATTGTCCTTGAATTCTGCAAGAAAGTGTGAATTACACTGGCCATCCTGACACAGGCTGGCCATTCTGACAGGCTGAGAAGTGTAGCCTCCAGCAAAGACCAAAAGCAGACACTTTGAGGGAGGGTAAGATGGAATAAGGATTTAAACTGAACAGGTTGGCCAAGCATACATGTTCAACAGGTTATAGAAGGAGCTATGAATACTCATGAAGAGGGGATACATGCATGTGTAGTAATGAAACATGTCTATTACGGTCAGCCCATGTTCACTTTCAGGTGGACCCCTAACATTTAAATGCATTACAATTCGTCACTATACATCAAAAGGTAAAGCAGAGGACATGAAGGCACTCAGTGCACAGCCTGTGTAAACCAGCCAGAACCAGTCTATGGTCAGTGGTCTTTTAGCAGGATGAAATGACTGAAATCACTCTTGTATCCAATCAAAGCTGTAATTATGGCTTGTGGAATGGTGGGGGGAATGTCAGTCAGCATCTGGCAGTGAGCTGCAATTATTTCAACATTGCTTGTCTTGAGGCTAGTGCTTGTTTAGCTGATAGAGAAAGAGAAGAAACTTTGTGGCAGCACATAGTTTTTTTTTAAGTGTAGGGGGTACATGACTTAACCCTTGCCTAGAGTGGCCTTAGGTCTTGTTTATAATTGGGTATATTATTGCCACAAGGAGTCTATTCTGTCAGTGGTATGATCTCTAGTTGAATACTACTAATAGCCTACTGTTGACTGGAAGCCTTACCAATAACATAAACAGTTGATTGACACATATGTTTTATTTTATATGTATTATATACTATATCCTTACAATAAAGTAAGCTAGAGGAAAAAATGTTCTTAAAAACATCATAAGGAATGCTTATACACAGTTGGTGGGAATGTAAATTAGTACAATCATTATGGAGAACAGTTTGGAGGTTCCTCAAAAAACTAAAAATAGAGCTACCATACGAGCCAGCAATCCAACTGCTGGGTACATACCCCAAAAAAAGGAAATCAGTGTATCTTAGATATAACTGCATTCCCACTGCAGCACTATTCACAATCACCAAGGTTTAGAAGCAGCCTAAGTGTCTGTCAACAGATGAATGGATAAAGAAAATGTGGCACATATACACAATGGAGTACTATTCCACCACAGAAAAATGAGATCCTGTCATTTGCAACAACATGGATGGAACTGGAGGTCACTACGTTAAGTGAAATAAGCCAGGCACAGAAAGACAAACATTGCATGTTCTCATTTATCTGTGGGAGTTAAAAATTAAAACATTTGAATTCATGGAGATAGAGGGTAGGATAGTTATCAGAGGTTGGGAAGGGTAGTTGGAGTGGGGGTGGGAGAGGGAAGTGGGTATGGCTAATGGATACAAAAAAATAGAAAGAATGAATAAGCCCTGGTATTTGCTAGCACAACAGTGTGACTGTGGTAAAAAAATAATTTAATTTTATATTTAAAAATAGCTGAAAGAGGCCAGGCACGGTGGCTCACGCCTGTAATCCCAGCACTTTGGGAGGCCGAGGCGGGAGGATCACCTGAGGTCAGGAGTTCAAGACGAGCCTGACCAATACAGTGAAACCCTGTCTCCACTAAAAATACAAAAATTAACCAGGTGTGGTGGCAGGCGCCTGTAGTCCCAGCTACTTGGGAGGCTGAGACAGGAGAATTGCTTGAACCTGGGAGGCTGAGGTTGCAGTGAGCTGAGATCGTGCCACTGCACTCCAGCCTGAGCAACAGAGAGAGACTCTGTCTCAAAAAAAAAAAAAAAAGCTAAAAGAGTAGTGATTATTACACATTGCATGCCTCTATCAAAATATCTCACGTACCCCATAAAAATATACGTATACTATGCACCCACAAAAGTTAAAAAAGAAAATCATAAGGAGGAGAAAGTATATTCACTATTCATTAAGTGGAAGTAGATCGTTATAAAGATCCCCATCCTTGTCATCTTCACTTTGGGTAGGCTCAGGAGGAGGAAGAAGAGGAGGGGTAGTTCTGTCTCTGGGGTGGCAGAAGTAGAAGAAAATCCACATATAAGTGGACCCACACAGTTCAAACCCGTATTGTTCAAGGGCCCTCTGTACTTCAGTATCATCTCCTAGGAGGTGGCCAGCCTCAGGAAATCATTTCACAGAATAACAATTCTTAGAAAGGTCCAGGGTCTAAAACAAGGTAACTAATTCCCACCTTTCTCTGTAGTACAAGTATGACTTCTTTATGCATTGTTAATACCTATTCCCCAGTTTGGTTTTGTTTTCTGGAAGAAAATCTATGATTATTATAGTTATGCCTAATGTATACCACGTCAATCACAGAAAAGGATTTTGTAAAAGAAAGGGAACTGTAAATGGCAATTTTCAATATTAAAAAGAATATGAAACTATAAAGCATTCGTCTAAGTTTGGTACATCACTCTCAGTTTAGAATTATCCTCAGTATTTTATTAAATAAGGATGGCTGCTGCCCAATTGTGGCAAAGACGAACAAAGCCTCTACCTAATATTGGCAGATGTGGCTGATAATAATAGTCTTCCCCTTCACTGTGGAAGTGGAAGTTTCCTTTGCCTAACTCTAAAGGAACCTGGTTAACAAACGAACAAACAAAAAATGCTCCAATTAAAATGTGCACACAGTCTGTGTTGGATAAAGCTGATACCAAAGCCACTTAGAATATTCAGTTGAGAAAGGTCAGGGCTTTGATGATGCTTTCTTGAGTCTTCAAGAGAAAAACAGGTAAAAAAAATGCATGCAATGAGAGCTTAGCAGGATAAAGGAGCACTAGCCTGAGAGTCTAGTGTGCAGCATTCTACCACTAACTAGCTGTATAAGACTGGACAAGGCACTTTCCCTCTCTGGCTTGTAGTTTTCTCACCTGTATAATAGGGGTGTTCACCAACTATATCAGACTCCTTCTGTGTATCACCTCAGATCTTTGTGGCCTCACATTATTTTGGCTGGCCACCTCAGGGACTGTCCCTGCTCAGGTACCCTCAACATTACCTCACCTCTTATTCATGCTGCGCACTTCTAACCTCCTGCTCTGAGGCTCATCTGCTGCCCCTGAAGTGTGAGATGCTACCAAGACCCTGCGTATAATGGGAAGGTGATGTTTTGACCAATGGGCTCAGGAGCCAGCAGATACACTTTTCTCATATTCTCCCCAGAGATGGATTGTCCTAAGATGCAACAGCTCATATGGACACTCAGAAGAGGGTCTGGCAAATGAGGCAATCAATTGAGGGGGATGCCAAGTGCTGACTAGCTCCTTAGTGTGATTGCATATTTTCTCTCCCTCCTTCCCTGCCCTGGAAGACTGGAAAGACTCGCCTTTCTCCTCACTCCTATTTCCCTGGGACTGCCCACACTCCCTAATAGAGTGGTATCAGATAAGCATTTGTCTTAGGATCTGCTTTGGGGGATTCCAGGCCAAGGCATCAGGATAACCTCTGTTTGTCAATGTCCTAAAGATTCCAAGAGATTGAAACCAGGTATGGTGCCTGTAATCCCAGGAATTTGGGAGGCTGAGATAGGATTTCTTGAGGTTAGGAGTTTGAAACCAGCCTGGGCAACATAGTGAGACCCCATCTCTACCAAAAATTTTTCAAAAAATCAGCAGGACATGGTGGTGCATTCCTGTAGTCCTAGCTACTCAGGAGACTGAAATGGGAGGATCACTTGAGCCCAGGGGTTTGAGGCTGCAGTGAGCCACAATCATGCCACTCCATTCCAACTTAGGCAACAGAGCAAGAACTGGACTCTAAATAGAAAAAAAAAAAAAGATTCCCAGAGATGCACAACCCTTCTCCCACCCACCCCATGAGGAGGAGGACTGCAAGATAGAAATAAAAGTATCTGCTTTATGTAATGTCTTTCCATGTAATGTCCATTTAAAACAAAAAAAAAAGTTCTGATATTAAAATACATTTGAAAGCCCCTGGAGTAGGTAAAATTGGGACAAGTTTGGGAAAATTCATCACAGAGAAAGTGGGTTTCTGATACCTGAAGAATCTCAAGAGAAATACCGTGAGGGTGCTGGACCCTGAGCTGGAGATTCAGGTTTTGAACTATCATCATGTTGTGGGTAGGAGGGGAATCTGGGTTTATGGTTGATATTCCTAGGAAGCATCTCAAATAGGAAGAGGGTTAAGGAAGGAATCTAAAATCAACAATTGCAGCAACTCTCTTCAATGTCCATGCAAAGCCATTCTCCACACTCTACCATCCCCTTTTCCTACCAAAACAACATTGATTTGTTCAGGTTGAGTCTCTTGATTTCAGGAAGGTAACACCATCCCAGGCCTCCAGAGGATGAATCAAGATTGGCTTACAGCCTGATATGTGACCCAGTTCTGGCTGATGAAACACAGCAGGAGGCCTGCTAAAGAGAACATGCTTCCTGAATAAAATGATTGCAAAAAGGGAGAGGTTGCCTCATTTTTTCTTTCTTGAATGTGGATGTGATGCCTAGTGCTGCAGCAGCCACATTGTGATCTTGAGGCAACAAGCATGAAGGGAATACCAAGAGAATCTCAGAGATACTGGACCTAGCATCAGTGAGCAACTAAGCCAACTTTGGCAGCTATATGTCGTCTTCTGTTGTGCAAGAAAAATAAGTCCTTGTTCACTTCAGTCACTGTTAGCAGGTTCTTCTGTTACTGACAGCCAGAATAGTTCCTGAGTCTTGGCAGGTGTGTCAGAAAACCAGTAAGATAAATAAGAAAGAAAGGAATCCAGAAGTCAAAGAAATAGAGTTTTGAGGAAGAGTGGGTAGCTGACAGTACAAATGCTATGAGGGAGTCAAGTGTTATGAGACTGAAAAACACACATGAGATTTTTCAGGAGAGCCATTTCAGAGACACAGAGCGGGCAAAAGCCAGGCAGCGCGGGAGAAAAGGGGAAAGGCATGGTGACATCAAATACAGACATTTATTTCGAGAAGTTTTGACCAACTGTGTATCACACACAATCAAATGTGTTACAATGTTGCTAAGCTTTGACCTAGATTTTTCACTTCTAGGTATCTATCCAAAGGAAATAATTAGAGATACTGACAAAGATTTAGGTAGGAGTATGATAATTGCAGCTTTATTTATAATAGAGAAATGCTGGCAACAGTGTGAATATCAAGCAACAGAGGAATTGTTAAATAAATTATGGTATGTCTTCATGGTGGAATATTGTTCCAGCCAATGTACATGATATTTTGAAAGAAATTTTTAATGACATGAATATTTATAATGAATCCAATAAAAAGCACCAGGCTATAAATATGATTATAAAGTTGTTATGTATAATGTATATTATTTATATGCAAAGAGAAAGGCAGGAAAGAAATACATAAAAATGTCAAAAGTTACAGAAGAACCTCTTAAAATTTGCATTTTCCTGTGTTGTTAATAAATTAGCATTTATTATTTTTATAATCAGAAAATTTTGTTTCTAAAAAATAATGAAATTTGCTATGAAGGAAAAGAAATGGAATAGAGGCTATACAGTTGGCACTGGAAGGACATATACCTGAAAAACTAGCAGGTATATTAAATTCTCCAAAATGAAGTCTATACGGCACATCATGTTGCCCTCTGATATCAAGCGGCTGGGAACTTTGGAAGCAAATTTGATGTTTAGTCACAAGTTTATCATTTCCTTTTCTTTGTATATTTGGTTTATTTCCTTTCTTGGGCCTCAGTCTCCTTCTCTGCAAAGATAAGAGGAATGTTGAATAATTTAGTGCAGGGGGATGTGTCAGAGCCCATCCCTATAGCCCAAACCCCTATTGCCAAAAGACAGAGGTAAAAGACAGCAAATAACCCTTATGGCAAGATCCAGGTCAGAGACATTTATGTGGACTGAAACCAGTAGATAGCAGATGGACGATTAATCCCCTTCTACTCAGAGGACATTGCATGATATCAGGCTGGAAAAGGCAAAGAGACTCTCATTCATGGTACCCAGGCAAAGGATCTTGTTATATCTGTGGCAGCATCACAACAACTTGGCCATGGAGGAGGCCGGTCTCTCGAGGGCAGATGGGCAGGAGGCAGTGCTGCAGATGAAGCCACCGAGAGGCTACCTATCCAACATACATGCAGTTCAAATTCCCTGCCCACCTTCCAACCCTCCCCTCACAGGCCCAGGTTCTTGGCCTTAGCTTAGGTTATTTGAGTCTTACGAGGCCATCAAGGCTCATGACCAGTGATAAAACAGTCATTTTCCTCTGGACAGATTTTATTCTCTGCCTTTCCTTAAGAAGAAGTAAGGTACATGGTTGTTAGGCTGTCAGTCATTCTATGCTGAAATCTCATTCTGCTATAGGCACACACGGGCTGCGTCATGACATCCCACTCAGGGAGAGGACTCAGCATGGGAGGGAGGCAGTGGCCAAGCATGGAGGTTCCTCCTCCTCCCATGACAGAACCTTCTGTATGTCCCAGGGTGATGATGAGGGAGGGTCAAATGAGATAATGAATATGCAAACATCTGGCAAACCGTGAGAAGCTGTATGAATGTAAGTCGTTGTTACCAAAGCAGGATATTTCCCCGACCCCTTCACAGGACTCGTGACAGGGGTGCCTCATTTACTCAGCCCGCCACTCCAAACTCCTCACGGGAGGAAGCGAGTGAGTGAATTAGTGCAAGAACTGGAGTGAATTAGTCCAAGAACGAGCGGCGGAACCAGCCAGCCGCTTTGGCGCCGGCAGGAGTGAAATTCTGTGCAGGCCCCGCGGTAGCATCCAGGCGGTGGTGCCTGCAACTCCCGGAGCCCCAGAGGCATGCCACAGTGCTCTTTTAGCTTTGCCTTCCGTGGATTAAGTGTTAACAGTTCATTGGGCCCCTTTCCTTTTTGCATGAGGCGGCTGCCCTCAGCCAGTGAGGGCAAAGGGCCAGTGTGACAGTCTTTTGTATCCACACTCATGGCTCCCAAGCTCTTGTCTGGCGTCCAGGAAAAATGAGGTCGCATGAACAAATTGAAGGATGGTAAATGCAGGAAATTTGATTGCCAATGAAAGTAACTCTCAACAGGAAAGGGAGTTGAAAAGGGGATGGGGCGGGTAGGTAATCTATCCCTGAAGTGCAGCCGTCTCCAGCTGGATTCTTCTCCAAAGTTATCCTGTCAGGCTGTCCCTCTGAAGTCAAGCTGATTCTCTCTGATGTCCAGCCATAGTCCCATCTACCAGCTGAGTCTGGGTTTTTATAGGCACAGGATGGGGCAGGACGGTGCCATGGGTGGTTTAGGAAAATGCAACATTCAAGCCGGAAAACAGGGATATAAGTTCTCACTTTAGGCTGCGGTTTCAGGCTTTTCAGCTGGAGGGTGGTGTTTCACCAGGGACCTGCACTTTTCTGCCTAGAATTTCTCTTCCCTATGTCCCTATCATTATGACTACTACCCTAGGCAGAAGCCCAACTCGAAGATGGATACTCGGCCTGTTTCACTTTTCTAGCCTCCAAGTCATTGAGGAAATCCTCATGCAAAGAATTAATCATATGGTGGTGATTGTTGCACAATGTTATGAATGTACTTAATATTGCTAAACTATACAGTTAAAATGTTAAGATGGTAAATTTACAATGTGTATCTTGCCACAATGAAAATGGAAAAAAATCTTTAAATAATAATAATAAATAAAAAATGGTATCAACATTCAAATAAAGAATTAATTCTAGAACCTGGTTATTGCTTTCTTTTATTTTTTCAAAGTAAAAGCAAGTTTATTAAGAAAGTAAAGGAATAAAGAATGGCTACTCCATAGGCAGAGCAGCTGCATGGACCACTCTGATGCTTATACTTATTGTTACTTCTTGATTACATGCTAAAGGAGTGGATTATTCATGAGTTTTCTGGGAAAGGGGTGGTCAATTCCCAGAACCGAGGGCTCCTTCCCTTTTTAGACCATATAGGGCAACTTCCTGATGTTGCCATGGCATTTGTAAACAGTCATGGCACTGGTAGGAGTGCCTTCTAGCATGCTAATACATTATAATTAGCGTATAATGAACAGTGAGGATGACCAGAGCTCACTCTCATTGCCATCTTGGTTTTGGTGGGTTTTGGCCGGCTTCTTTGCTGCAACCTGTTTTATCAGTAAGGTCTTTATGACCTGTATCTTGTGCTGGCCTCTTATGTCATGCTATGACTAAGAATGCCTAACCTCCTGGGAATGCAGCCCAGTAGGTCTCAGCCTTATTTTACCCAGCCCCTATTCAAGATGGAGTCGCTCTGGTTTAAATGCCTCTGACATTTTCCCCCTCCCTTTTACAAGGATTGTAGAGGAACAAAGATCCATATTCTGTAACTTCTTCAGGCTGAATAGGGCGATGATATTCCTGCCTAACTATTAGGGTCTCTTGTATTCAGAGTAGAGAGGAGCTCAGTCAGAAAGCATCTATATGGTGAGGCCATTTATAACTTTGAGTCCTAACAAAAGGTGATATCTGGCAGATCAATAAGTATTCAATTTAAGAAAACGTTGAGTAAGCTTATCCTGCACTCCTACACAAAGAGTAGAATAGCAAATATATTTCACAACAGTAAAGTAAAATAAGTAAAACTATCCCAAGTAAACTAAATAAGAAGGCTTTCCATGAACTGGGCAACTGTTGGAACCAAGCTGATATGGGGTTGCTGGCTGATTCCACTACGTGCCCAGAATTAGAATATCGATCTAGATTTTTACATTACCTATCCCTCTTGTTTCTTCTGAGCAGCAGTCAGAGATCACTGAGGTTCACAGGAATAAGCAAGGTGAGTCTAAATTGCAGAAGAAAACCTCAAAAACAGCTGATAAGACTAGAATCTAATAACACATGTACCATAGTTTTTGAAGCATACTTTTTCTCTCTCCAGTCTTCCATTTTTACTTAAGACAAATCATGGCAAGACCAATTTGCTTTATTATACTTGGCCTGATTATTTGTATGAAGTGCAGCAACAATAATTATTTTTCACATAGGCTTTTAAAATTGCCTTTGATGGAACTCTGTTTCATAAGGAATCTCAGAGGACTTTTTAAAAAGCTGAGCCCAGCCATGGGTTTGTACCCTCAAATACCTATGAGTTGAGTAAATCTCTCTCCTCTTGAGGTCCCTAGATAACCTGGGGATCCTGGACCTGTCAGAAAGTGATTTTCTTTACTTAGGGTACTGCTTTCAATTTATTTCAGCAAATGGATTGCTCCAACATTCCTAAAACCCTCAACAGAATTTATTTTTGAGACCAGAAAAATTTGTTTTGAGACAGACTCTGTCTCCCAGGCTGGAGCGCAGTGGCACAATCTTGGCTCACTGCAACCTCCACCTCCCAGGTTCAAGTGATTCTCGTGCCTCAGCCTCCCCAGCAGCTGGGATTATAGGCATGCACCACTATGCCTGGCTAATTTTTGTATTTTTAGTAGAGACAGGGTTTCACCATGTTGCCCAGGCTGGTCTTGAACTCCTGGCCTCAAGTGATCTGCCCGCCTCAGCCTCCCAAACTTCTGGGATTATGGCCATGAGCCACTATGCCCAGCCACCCTGAAAATTTGATTCCTGAAAAATTTGGCCTAAAGGAAGAGTAAGTGATAGTTTCTGTATAAAGGAAAGAGAAAAGACAAATGGGAATGTTCAAAGGGAGTCTTTCTTGACATGGTTATCTGTTGAAATGGCTACTTAAATTGTGTGAACATTTAGGGTAGGGGCAGCAGGCCTCATCTGAGAAGGGCAGGTGTGCTTGGGGAACAAGGCTGCCCCACTTGACAGCTTGATATTCAGCTCCTCTGAGAGGAGAAGCCAGGGAGAGTGAGCCTGGACCCTGGAACATTGCTGCTGAGAGCAGGGGGTCTTTCCAGAGGGGCTGGTGAAACAGCTGTCCTTGAGCCCCGATTACCAAAAGGGTGATAAGTTAGTGGGTTAATGAAAAAGAGCAAATGGGCCCCGATGCTGGTTGAACATGAATGAATTGAGTATATTCTGAGGCCTCATGGGTGAGAAAACAGGGATAAAAGCCCTGCTTGGAGTTAAAACTAATGTGCAAAGCAATGACCTTCTGTGTTCACTACAATGGTTACCAAGTCTGGAGAAGAGCAAGAGTTAAAGTTGCTTATTCAATGAACACGTGTTTACTGGACACTGCTATGCACATAGTAAATTCTAGACACAGTGGTGAAAATAACCCAGTGAACTATCATCTGTAGGTTTTGCCCTGAAGTTACTTACAAGCCGCTAGGGAAGAGAAGTTAAATCATTTGACAGAGCCGAATGATGTCACAGGCAGGAGATAAGTGACAGGTGAAGGCCCTAACGAAAGTGCTAGGAGTAGAAAGAGGGAGAGATGGTTTGGGGACTAGAGGGTCAGGGAAGCTTTCATGGAGGCGATGCAAGCTGACCTCGATCTTGAAGGATGCACATACATTGAACAGTCAGCAGAGAGGGAGTTGGGAGCAGCATGAGCGAAGACCAGGAGGCAGGAATGGATGTGGTGAATGTAGTGTATGCTGGCAGCAAAGGGATAACCTTACTCTAGGAAAGGCTTTATGTAGGGGGATGATGGAAATCAAGGTTAGAGAAAAACTTAGCTTTTGATTGCAACCTAGAAAGGGGTTTGAAATGCCTCAGAGGCTAAGCCTGTGTGCTCATGCAGGGGAGGGTGCTCATACAGACAGTGTGTCTGTCTTTGGGCCACTGTATCAACTCTACAAACCACAGGTAAACAGCAGCCTGAGGCAGTCCCAGAGCATCAAGTGTGTGTTGTGTAGCTGTAGACAGTGGGAACAGCAGGCAGGAACCTGAGAAAGGGGACTTAGAAGACAAGGGACTTAAAAACACCTAACAGTGCTTTCTGGGAGGGGGTTGGGCGAGGGGCATTTGAAATAAGAGATTTGAGGAAATTCCTTCATAGCCTTTGCATTTGCAAGTTCAGCATATTGGAAAAATAATTGCAAGCTGAAAGTAAGTGATGGCAATATCTTTGTCCTCTTTTTCCCCTGGACATCCTCCTCCATAGCTCCTAATAGTTAGGAAATGGGCATACTCAATGTGGAGAGATGTTGATTTAAGTGTCATTAACTCTTTTTTTTTTTTTTTTTGAGACAAGGTCTCGCTCTGTCACCCAGGCTGAAGTGCAGTGGTGTGATCATGGATGGCTCACTGCAGCCTTTACCTCCCAGGCCCAAGTGATTCTCCCACCTTAACCTCCCAAGGAGCTGGGACTACAGGTGCACACCACCATGCCTGGCTAATTTTTTGTTATTTTTGTAGTGACGAGGTTTCACCATGTTGCCCAGGCTGGGTATCATACTCTCAATTTTTTGGAGAGGTTTTAATACGCTTGCGTTTGATGCAGGTCTTCAATCCTCTGTTCACCCCTTAATCTGTCCACCTCTAGGCAATACTAGGGGTGTTTATTATTCTCCTGAGCTAAAAGGAGGTTTCAAGCTGGTTCTTGTGAGTCCCACACAAGTGTAGGTGTGAGTGCAGCAGGGAGGCGCCTTTCCCTTTGACTCCACACCTCCATCTTGGCACGTGGTTAAAAAGGGGTGTGGGGTGGGTGATGGTGTGAGCTAAGTCAAATCAGGCCTCCGCAGTCTCAGGGATCAGATGGCACAGAGCATTCCCACTGGATGGTCAGAGGGGCTGTGCTGGCTGTGGAAGGGAGGCCTTCTTGGATGGCAAGTGGGAAGACAGACACTTGTGGCCCAGGCAGTACTGAACCCCTTCAAAAGGACATCCATCGTTCTGCAGTTGTGGGCCCACTTTCCAAGTAACTCCTCAGCAGTTGATGCCAAGACACCATTTCTCACCTTTTGATGTGAGAGATAGCCAAATGTTTGACAAGCCCTTATCAAGAAGGCTGTGGGAAAAGTTACCCCCTTTTGCTGAGAGAGTACAAAGTAGTACAAGTCTGTGAAATAAAATGTGGCAATATCTGCCAAAATTACATATGCCTGTATGTTTTGCCCCAGTAATTTCACTTCTCGGAATTTATCTAAAGTTAATCCTGCACACATACGACATAATGTTTATCAAAGGGGCTCCTTGCAGCCTAGTTTGTGATAACAAAAGATTGGAAATGACCTACGTCCATTCAAAATGCACTGGGTAAATAAATGGATACATCTGCCCAATGGAGGATGTAACTTTTAAAAAAAAGTAATGAGGAGAAGTTTTCTGTACTGATATGGAAATATTTCCAAGATGTGTTAAATTAAAGAAGAACAAGGAGCAGAACAGGGTAAGGCTTCTACATTTCCAAGAATAACTTTATAGAAATATATGTCTGGAAAGGTAACTCTCCATTTTAGAAGCAGAGACACAACTAAAAGAAGAGGCATTTTTTAATCTACACTCATGACAGTGTAGACAGAGAATCCAAAGCCATCTACAAAACCTTCAAGACATACTAAAAGTTACTTTTATAGAATACAAGATCAATATAAAATCTCAGCTGTATTTCTATGTAGTAATAACAAGCAATTGGAGAATGTAATTTCTCAAAAGTATTATTTACAATATCGTCAAAAAGCACAAAATACTTAGGAATTAGCTTAACAAAAAATGTGCATGACCTTTACACTAAAGGTAAAGTAATTTCACTCCTAGATATTGGCCCAATGAATACCTAACACTAAAAACTTTAAAGTACTGATAAATAAATAGAGAGATATACCATGACTGTTGATTGGAAGACCTGATATTGTTAAGATGTCAGTTCTCACCAAATTGATCTGCAGATTCATATAATCCCAACCAAAATTCATTAGATATTTTTGTTGGAATTGAAACGTTGGTCATAAAGTTTATATGGAAATGCAAAGTACCTACAACAATCAAAACAATTCTGAAAAAAAAAGAACAAAGTTGGAGGATTTATACTATCTTTTAAGACTTATTATAAAGCCTTAGTAATCCAAATAATGTGATATTGGCATAAGGAAAATAAAATAGATCAGTGTAACAGAAGAGAGAGTCTAAATATAGACCCATATATAAACAATCAATTGGTTTTTTTGTGTGTGTGTGTTTTTCCTTTTTTTTTTTGAGACAAGGTCTCTTGTCTGTCACCAGGCTGGAGTGCAGTGACATGATCTTGGCTCACCGCAATTTCCACCTTCCGGGTCCAAGCAATTCTCGTACCTCAGCCACCCAAGTAGCAGGGATTACAGACATGTACCACCACACCTGGATAATTTTTGTATTTCTTGTAAAGACAGGGTTTTGCCACGTTGGCCAGGCTGGTCTCGAATGCCTGGCTTCATGTGATCCGTCTGCCTTGGCCTCCCAAAATGTTGGGATTACAGGCGTGAGCCACTGCGCCCAGCCTGATTTTTGACAAAGGTCCCAAGGTAATTCAATAGGGGGGAATAAAGTGTTTTTTAATAGTTGGTGCCAGAATAACTTAATATTTGTATTTAAAAATTAATCTTGATTCATACCTTATACTATACACAAACATTAACATGAGAAAGATTGTAAAAGCAAAAACTTTAAAGCTTCTAGAAAAAAATAGGAGCCTCCTTCATCATCTTAGGTTAGGCAAAAAGTTTTCAAGACACAAAACACACTAACTATAAAAGAAAAGCAGGTAAATTGGATTTCAGCAAAATCAAATATTTCTGCTCATCTGATTGCATGATTAAGAAATAAGTATTCAAACCACAAACTGAGAGAAAATATTTGTCATTTATGCCTGAAAAAGACTTGTCTAGAGAGTAGAGAACTCTCATAACTCATTAATAAAAAGACAATCTAATAAAAAATGGACAGAAGACTTGATGAGAAACTTGATAAAAGTAGTATATGAATAAGCATATGAAAAGATGCTCAACATTATTTGTCACTAGGGAAATGCAAGTTAAAACCAAAATGAGGATGGGCGCCGTGGCTCACGCCTGTAATCCCAGCACTTTGGGACGCCGATGGGGGTGGATCACAAGGTCAGGAGTTTGAGAGCAGCCTGACTAACATGGTGAAACCCCGTTTCTACTAAAAACACAAAAATTAGCTGGGTGTGGTGGCGGGTGCCTGTAATCCCAGCTACTTGGGAGGCTGAGGCATGAGAATCACTTGAACCCGGGAGGCAGAGGTTGCAGTGAGCCGAGATCACACCATTGCACTCCAGCTTGGGCAACACAGTGAGAGTGTGTCAAAAAACAAAGAAACAAACCAACAAACAAAAACAAAAAACCAAAATGAAATAGCATTACATACCCACCAGAATTGCAAAAACTAAAAAGCTGGACAATATCAAGTGTTAGCGAGGACATGTAGCAGTAGGGTTTCTCACATAAGGTACAGGGGGTAGAATATGATACAAGCACTTTGGGAAAACATTTAGTGTTTCTTAAAGAGTTAAACATTCTCCAACCCTGTGAGTCAGCAACTTTACTCCTAGATATTTTCCCAAGAGAAATAAAAACATGTGTCCACAAAACACATGTTTCCACAAACATGTAGGAAAATGTTCATAGCGGTGTTATTCATAATAGACAAAAACTGGAAGTAACTCAACTGTTCACCATCAAGTGAATAAGCATATTGTTGTATATTCAAACCATGGAAAACAACTCAACAGAAATACTACAATGAAACAGCATTAAGAAATTTCAAAAACTTATGCCGAGCAAAGCAATCCAGACACAAAAGTGTACATACTGTGTTTCCATTTATATGACGTCCTAGAAGAGGCAAAACCAAACTATTAGGATAGAAATAAGACCAATGGCTCTTTGTCTGGGTTGAGAGTGTGAAGGATTGACTGGGAGAGGACAGGAGGAAACCTACTTGGGTGATGGAAATGTTGTGTATCTTGACTGAGGCAGTGATTGCATAGGTGCACCAACTCATCAAACTGCACATTTTAAAAACTATGTATTTTTAAATGTAACATACACCTCAATTTAGAAAATGTATAGGCAGATTTGAGACCAATCAAACTTTCAGAAATGAAATATAGTCATTGAAAATAAGAACACAATGGGCCTATTCATTAGTGATTGGATGCAGCTGCAGAGAGCTTCAGTGAGATGGCAACACTGGGTGCCTGCACCTGTCTCAGAGGGCTGCCCTTGCTGCTGCCACCTGCCCAGCCCCATGAACTCCATTCATACAGAGCTCCAAGCTTATGCGCAGGGATGATGCCTGTACAGGAGCTATTACTGAATGGGCACGGCCAGAGCCAGCAGTTGTGCTTTGCCTACCCCTGATTCTGGAGCTAAATGGAAGCCTTGCTGAATTCAAGCCAAAGGGAGAGATTGAATCCCAAATGGAGTTCACTCTGATGTGTGGGAACCAAAGTACCATGTCATGTATCCCAGCATACCACAGAGATATGGGGAGTGAGAAGATTTCTCTCCATTTTACCCATGTAAGCCTTCTTCTCTAAGACTTAGTTATGAATTTATGGGGCTTGAGAGGAAAAATCTGATGAACATCCTGAAAACCTCAGAATCACCCTTCCCCTTTGATAGCTGAGGCACTGTTACTGAGCCAGCATGCGGGCCTGGCCTTCACCCTCGGGAGTTCTTTCCCAGTTAACATGTCTCTTTCTATTTCTCATGTGAATTTTGAGAAAGACCTTGAAGGAATCTACTTCAGAAAGCTATGAAGACATAATCTCTGACCTAAAGGAACATACCTTTAATACTAGCCTCTCATTGTTCATGGCTGCAATATGTGATTATTTTCAAGGAGTTGGAGATTTCTCAAAATGAGTAAGTTGCATTCTGAGTTGGTTTTCCACTTTCTAGCCCAGCGCTGTCCAATACAACTTTCTGCAATGAAAGCTGTGTTATTCAGTTCAGTAGCCATTAGACACAAGTAGCATTTGAACACTTGAAATGTGGCTAGTGTGACTGAGAAACTGAATTTTAAATTTTACTTCATTTTAACTAATCTAAATTTCCATTTAAAATGTCACATGTGGATAGTAGTTCCCATATTGGACAGCACATGTCTAGTCCTTACAAATCCTAAAGAAGTACTTACAAATCCTAATGTCAACCACATTACAGCAACCTGCGTCTACCTTCCCTGCATTAATTCTGGGACTGTTTAAGGCAAATGCCATCTCATGAGCAAAATTAAACCTCTCTTGTGGGCACATATGTGGTTTGCTCTTTCTTTTGTCTCCTAAGTAGTGCCTAAATATGTGGCATGGAGTTAGCCACGTAATATTTAACAGTTATTATTTAGAAAAGCAGATAATGTGAGGAAGAAATGAGGGGAAATATTGATCAAAGTTGGATCTTCCTGTCTTCACCTTCTTCACCCCATTCATTATGTCTGTATTCAGTGGATCTACCCATCTCTGTCTCCTAGTCTCACCACATGGGCATTGCCAGACCTTAAGCTAGCTAATGACAGTATCTAGCTTCTCTGACTCTGTCACCAACCATCACGAATTCTGCCAGCACTCAAAGCCTGTAATTCTTTTAGGCATACACACACTGCAAGATGACTATGAAAATGGTGGAGTAGAGAACTCCAAGAGATGAACTCTTCACAAAAACAGTGAATAAACTGGCAAAAACTGTCAGAATCTATTTTTTTTTTTTGAGACAGGGTCTCACTCTGCCACCCAGGCTGAAGTGCAGTAGCATGATCACAGCTCACTGCAGCCCGAACCTCCTGAGCTCAAGCAATCCTTCCACCTCAGCCTCCTGAGTAGCTGGGACCACAGGTACATGCCACCATTCCCAGCTAATTTTTTTTTGTAGTTTTTATAGAGACAAAGTTTTGCCATGATTCCCAGGCTTGTCTCAAACTCCTGAGCTCAAGAAATTTGCCTGTCTTGGCCTCCCAAAATGCTGGGATTACAGGCATGAGCCACCGCACCTACCCTTTAAAAACTGTCAGAATCAATTTTATTGGAACTCTGGAAACTAGTCAAAGGTTTACAACAACCAGACTGATGCTTAATCAAGAAAAAGGAGGCTGAATATTGGTAAAACAACTTTCAGCATTTTAACTTAACCTTCCCCCATCCCCTCCTCCCAGAAGCAACAGCTGTCTTAAAGATGGCAGCCTGCATTCTAAGTGTGGGTTCCTGGTACCAGACAAAATGGAGTGTACTTTGTTCTCAAAGAATTGTGGGTGCTTGGTGTGACCTGTCTGGTGGGTCCTTGAAGAACTGGTGGAAAGGACTTTCCTTTCTTTTTCTTAATTCAGAAGTTTCAAAGAGCAGAGAGGCAGCTACCTGGGGGAGCATTTGTCAGAAACAGTTTAAGGCAAATGTGTTCACCGCTGCTGCCAGGACAAGGGATAACAGTTGGG
This sequence comes from Homo sapiens, assembly GCF_000001405.40. NCBI lineage: Eukaryota > Metazoa > Chordata > Mammalia > Primates > Hominidae > Homo > Homo sapiens. The sequence continues at coordinate 50,535,573 of NC_000018.10, read as the reverse complement.
GCAAATAATAGACATATCAGAAAGCTTGGGAGAAGAGGGTGGGGAGTGAGAATGGGGCTGTGAAAAGCTACCACCTATTCCTGAGAATCTAGAGGCCATGCATATGTCCAGGGCAGTGCGTATGCTCAGGAGAAACCTGAAAGGCTCTAAGCTTTCACCTCTGGCCGACCTTCAGGCTCTGCACAAGCAGGAAGTAAAGACTAAAACAAAGTTGTAAAATGCCCAGCAGAGTGTTGAAGATATGCCCAACACACACACACACACACACCACACCACACACATACACACACACACACCACACACATACACACACCCCAACACACACCCCCACACCACACCACACACATACACACACACACACACACCACACACATACACACACACCCCACCACACACACACACACACACACACACACACGGAGAGAAAAAGAAACACACAGCCCATCTGCAAAGGCTGGGAGATTTTCTCTGGTTTTGGCTGCAGGCATTTCATGCACTCTCTGTCAAACCACTATCTGATTATTAAGCTAAACAGAGAGACTTCAGTGGCCACATGTGACAAAGAACACAAATGTTACAAAATTAGTTCAGAAAAGTCACCAAACAAACAGAAACCACCAGCATTAACATAACAACAAACTCTGAAGAGGGAGGAGAATCTGATTTCCAGAGTTGCCACATTATAACCTTCAAAGTGTCTAGTTTTCAACAAAAAATCATGAAGGATGCAAAAAATACCCACAACGAAGTATGGCCCATACATAGTAAAAAAAGAAATTAATAGAAACTGTGCCCAAGGAAGCCCAGATATTGGACTTATCTGACAAAAATCAACTACTTTAAATATGCTCAAAAAGGTAAAGGTAACCATGTATACAGAATTAAAGGGCATTATGAGAATGATGTCTCACCAAATAGAGAATATCAATAAAGAAGAAACCAAATACAAAGTCCAGAGTTGAAAAGTACAATAATCGAAATGAAAAAATTTGCTAGATGTGTTCCACAGCAGATGTGAATTGACAAAAGAAAGAATCAGTGAATTTGAAGATAGATGAAGTGAGATTGCCCAATCTGAGCAGCAAGACAAAAAAAAAAGAAGGAAGGAAAATGAACAAAACTAAGAGATCTGTGGGAAACCATTGAGAGTTCCAGTGAATGTATAATGGGAGGTGCAGAAAAAGAGAATAGAAAGGAGAAAGAATATTTTAAGAAATTGGCCAGGTGCAGTGGCTCAGGCCTATAATCCCAGCACTTTGGGAGGTCGAGATGGGTGGATCATTTAAGGTCAGGAGTTCAAGACCAGCCTGGCTAATATGGTGAAATCCTGTCTCTACTAAAAATACAAAAATTGGCTGGGTGTGGTGGTGCACACCTGTAGTCCCAGCTACTTGGGAAGCTGAGGCATGAGAATCACTTGAACCCAGAAGGCAGAGGTTGCAGTGAGCTGAGATCGCACCACTGCACTCCAGCCTGGGCAACAGAGTAAGGCTCTGTCTCAAAAAAAAAAAAAAAGAGAAATAATGGTTAAAAAGCCCTATATTTGATGAAAGACATGGATCCACACATTCAAGAAGCTAAGCAAACCCCAAATAAATAAAGAGAATCACGCTGAGATATATTATCAAACTGTTGGAAGACAAAGAAAAAAAGGGAATTCTGAAAGTAGTAAAAGAAAAGCAACTTGACACATACAAGGAATCCTCAATAAGATCAACAACTGATTTCTCATCAGAATCCATATGGGCCAAAAGACAGTGGGATAATATTCAAACTGCTGAGAGGAAGAAAACCCTGTCAACAAAGAAGTCTATATCCAGCAAAAAAAAAAAAAAAAAAAAAAAAAATGGCAAAATGGATTTTTAAGCAGTAATATGGAGCTTTACTTTGATACAGTTTAATGAAGTCATTTTGCAACTTCTCCCAGTAAATCATTTTTTGCCTTTAGATACACACCTCAGTAATTCCAGTTCTGCCAGGGTGATTATATAACCTGGTCTATAATTGCAGGCCTATTTCTGGATGGAATTTGCCATGGGTCCCAGTGGCAGGTTTAGATTGTCACATGAAGTACATGGTTGTTTCCAATGTCCCTTAAATGCAACATCTCCAAAACACAACCCTGATTTTTTTCCACCTTACCTCCTCCACCATCCTTACAACAGCAAAGGGCATTTCTACATACCACTGTGAACAGTTCCCTTACACCATATCCAATTAATCCCCATGTCTGGATGTTTGACTTCGTAAATGGCTTTCAAGTCCATTAACGTCTCTTCATCATCACTGTCACCACCTTAGTTCAATATGCCATCATCTTTATCTGAACTACTATAATGGACTGACCTGACCACCTGCTTTCTCATATTAATCCTTTTCAGTCAATTTTCCATATTCTATCTGTTTGCATTTTTAAAATGCACATCTAATTACTTTGCTCCCCTGTTTAAAGCCTGCAGTTGGCTTCCTATTGCTCTTGGAATAAAATCCTCAAGGGTTGAACTGGTCCAGGATATGGAGACTGTGTGTGGCCTGGCTCCTGCCCACCTCTCCAGCCACCCCATCTGACCCACTTCACTCCAGTCGTGGAAGAGTCTCTCTGTTCTCCCTACCTCAGGACAGTCATATACATGCTCATCTCTTTCTGGAACATTTTGCCTCCTCCTCTGCACTTACCCAGACCCACTCATTTTCAGAGCTCAGATGAAATGTCACTTCTTAAAGTGACTCTTCCAGGATCAGTTAAGTTCCCCTATGTGGGCCTCCTAAGCACCTAGGGCTCCTCTTTTATAGTACATATTACTCTTATTATTTCAAATTTATGTGATTAATTGCTCAATATCTGACTCCCACTAAAATCTGAGACCCATGAAGGCAGGTACAGTCTTGTTCAATGCTGTAGCCCCAGTGTCAATGAAAATGCTGTGAGTGTGGCAGAAGGCCAATACATATTTGTGGATATTGATATTATAAAATGCAGTTGGCTCTCAGAGGTATCACCTTAGCAATCAGTTGGCACCTTGGTAAAAATGAGTTTGCATGCTGCCAGAGAAAGAATGCAGCCCAGGTGTGCTGCTAGCTCCAGGCTCCTTATCGTTAAAATGGGATCGCAGAAGAAAGTACATGTGAGCAGTCCTTCATTCCTCCTTTGAATGTCATATTACAACACACACAGCATTCCCAGGACAGTGGAATTTAGGGATTGGATTATCCATTCCGTTCAATTTGACCTCCCAAACTGTTTGATAAATTCAGGGTGTTTTTTCTGGACTTTCAGGGGTTCCAAATGGTCACCCCCTTGCAGGGGTAGAGAAACGTCAGGTCCTGGAATCGTCAGCAGTGGGGAGGAGTGAAGGGGAGAGGAGAGAGGTAACAGACGTTCATCATGATCTAACCTTAAGGAGAGAGATGGATAAACAGATCTTTCATCCTGCCAATGTGAATCCCCTGCTAACTTATTTCCTGGACATTACAATGCTAAAGAGAATGTCAGTTTCCTGCTACTCCACCTCTAGCTTTATTACCAAGGTCCCACTGTTAAAATAGCATCAGTGTGTTTCAGGCAGGACCCTGAAAGGTGGGATAGAAAACCCTACAGAGACAAGGCACTTGGAAGGGAAGGTACCACTCCTAACACAGGCAGTGGAAGGAGGCTAAAGGCAGTCTTTATTCCCCTCACAGGTTATCTGAGAGTACATAATTCTGTGTTTCTTGCAGAAAACAAGTATCAGTGAGGGATACTGCAGAATTATTGCCACAAGGTGTTTGAAGCTAAAAATAATAAGCTGGGAATGACATTAAGTAAATAGACTGCCTAACTCCTTCCTGGTGTGCTTCTATTTTCTCCATCAAGGAGAGCAAGCCTCAGACTGCAAAGGCAGAACAAACTTGTGTGAGGCTAGGCAGTCAGGATGAGAGAAGAGTGTGTCTGAAAGTGATGAGCTTGGTCCCAGTGCCTCAATTCTCTTAGCCTGGATAATCTGGCCATATCCTGGGAAAATGAGTGGATTAGTAAACAAGAAGAATCAGCCCAAACTATCACTTCTGAGGATCTTGGAGAAGGGGACAGTGTCTGAAGAATAGAAACAGTCTCAGTTTCATGTCAATTCAGATTATTAAGGTCATGGTTTGTAGACATTGAGTGTAAAGGAAGACGTGGTCACAGACCCTGCATGGAAACTCTACCCCTATTTCCTTCCTTAGTAGAGTTTTTGGGGTGGGAAATAGGACTATACAGTAGGTGGTACAACTGAGTTTCTGCAAGGTTTTGGACACTATGAACACATAAGAACATTTGTGCAAAAGAACTTGATTAACGGAAGCATCACCACCTGGAGATGGAGTTCTAGAGGCATTCCTCTGGGCTCTGGTTTTAACCTGCTCTGCCCCAAAACTGTCACCACTAAATTTAGCTGTCGTTGCATCTAGCCCATACTTTTCCATATTTCCCAAAGGGTGAGATTTAGTAAAGTTAAACAGTGATAAATATAAGGTCCTGTACCTTGGTCTGAAAAATCAGCTGCACATCTAGAGTGCAAGAAAGATGTGGTTTAGCAAGAGTGACACTTTAAACCTCTTAAGACTTAATAATTATTTGCCTCATTCTGAAAGGGTCCACATAGGAAGGGCTACCGTTGGATGATGTCAGCGCTGCAGGACCTCTGCTCCCACTTTTATATAAGTCTGTTAATTTTATTATCAGACATCCAGAGCTCTGTGACTAGATCACCATTACATACAGACTATTTCCCTAAAGAGCTTTAAAGAAAGTTGATTTCGTTTCTCAAGGACAGGGCAGGAGTATCTCTATCTTAAGCATTTGTCATCCAATGGCCAGATCAAAGTTAAACAGCCAAGAATATACATGAAAGGGAGCCATGGAGAGAAATCATGTCTGAAGAAGCATTCTGATGTTCATACCATTCCTGAGTTTAAAAGCACTTTTCACTCATCTCATTTGATCCTCTTCTGCACAAATCTGTGAGATAACCCAGACAGGTGTCCACTTAATGGATGGGAAATCAAATAACCTGAGAGATGCAAAGGTTCCCCAGCTTCTAAGTGACAGGTCAGGGTCCAGAACCAACTTGCAACTTCAAGTTCAGCTCTCTACACTTGAAACTGTCCTGCATGTATGTGTGCATAAAATATAGTTTAAAATCAGGTAATCTTAAGGAAAAGAGCTCCCTGTGTATTTGTTTAATTCAAAAACTATTAGCTATTAATAGTTAACAACTGTTAACTATTTTTTTTTTTTGGAGGCAGAGTCTTGCTCTGTTGCCCAGGCTGGGGTGCTGTGGCACAATCCTGGCTCACTGCAACCTCTGCCTCCCAGGTTCAAGTGATTCTCCTGCCACAGGCTCCCAAGTAGCTGAGACTACAGGCTAGTGCTACCACGCCTGGCTAATTTTTTGTGTTTTTAGTAGAGACAGGGGTCTCACCATGTTGCCTAGGCTGGTCTCAAACTCCTGAGCTCATGCAATCCGCCGATCTCGGGCTCCCAAAGTGCTGGGATTACAGGCTTGAGCCACATCGCCTAGCCAACTGTTAACTATTTAAAAGAGCATATTATGTGTAAATCACTGCTCCCACAGAGGGGGTGGGGCAAGAAGTAGAAGTAGAAGTAGAAGCAATCTCCACCTTAAAGCCCCTCACATGAGTCAGGAGCTCAGACAATGACAGTGGAGGGTCACAAGCTGGAGGAGGACAGAATCTGCCAGGGCAAGGTGGGATTGGGGCTGGATGAAAATGTAGGCTCTGACTGTCTGCTCTGGTTGAATTCTTTACAAGTTCAGAGGGAGGTGCCCAGAGGTTTTGTTTTTGTGTTGTTGTTTTCAATGGAACCTTAATACTGGTATTTCAAACACCTGTGACAAGCAAGGGAAGATGTCTCTTTGGTTTCAGGAACGCTTTCTTGAGTGTTCCTCAACTCCAAATGCCTAAGTAGCCCCTCCCACCCCCTCCGCCCTGCCCCAGTGTCTGACTGGTCTTCCTGGCTGACCTGAGGCCAGCCCCGCCAGACCTTCTCACTTTGCTTTTTAGTTTGGGGTTTGGAACCATTGAACTCTTCCTCCCCACAGCACAATCCTGGTTTGTGACCTTTTTTCCTGTCCCTGACCAAGCCAAATTCTGATCTTTCTGAAGGGCATTAATGTGCCAAGTTTGCAAAATGGAACTTTCAACTCATTCTTCTTGCCACTGTGTTTGTTTTGTTTTGTTTTTCTTTTTCTTGACTAGGCAAGGGGTGTAGTTATTTCTGTGCTCCTAAATTAGAATTTCCATGGTTTTATAGGCATGGAAGGGTCCTCACCCACCATAAGGGACATGTTCACAGAAGAAAAGCTTGACACATTTATTTAATCAGGGTTTTACGTGACATAGGAGCCTTCAGAAATAAAAACCCAAAGATCTATTTTTCTGCCTAGGTTTGATGAAGAATGGACAGTGGTGTAGAAATGTGATTGGAAAAAGGGCAAGTGATTGAATGCTGAGAGCGGAAGGCAGAAATCCAGCAAGGCCTGTCTGTTCAGATTCTTCTTGGCCTCTGTATGGCATTCTTTCCTCCTGGATATGGCACAAGGACCCCTCTGGAATGAGGATACTCAAGAAAGAAGGGAGAGAATGACCTTTCTAGGTTTGACGGCTTGCTTTGGGGGAGAGGAATTCTAATTTCTATGATCCATTTTGGGAAAGAGGAATTCTGGTTTTTATGACTCACTTCAGGGGAGAAAAAGAGGCGAGAAGTAAGAGGGCGAGGGGAGGTCAGAGAGACCTTGCTTCTGAGGCCACTGTTTTAGATCAGTAGTTCTCAAAGTGCAGTCCCCAGGCCAGCAGTGTCATTTTCATCTGGGAACATGTAGGAAATGCACATTCTCAGGCCCCATCCCCGACCTACTGAATCAGAAATTCTGGAGTTGGAGCCCAGAAATTGTCTTAACAAGTCTTCGAGTGATCCTGATGTATGCTCAAGTGTGAGACCCACCTGAATAGAGAACTAGAACATGGAGGCCAGGCGTGGTGGCTCACACCTGTAATCCCAGCACTTTGGGAGGCCAAGGTGGGTGGATCACTTGAGGTCAGGAGTTTGAGACCAGCCTGGCCAACATGGTAAAACCCATCTTACTAAAAATACAAATATTGGCCGGGCATGGTGGCGGGTGCCTATAATCCCAGCTACTGGGGAGGCTGAGGCATGAGAATCACTTGAACCCAGGAGGCAGAGGTCGCATCTCTGCACTCTAGCCTCGGCGACAGAGCGAGACTTTGTCTCAAAAAAAAAAAAAAAAAAAAGAGCTGGAAAGTGGAGCAGAATGTTTCTTCCTTTGCCCAATTTCCTGCTCCTCCTTCAAAAGCCAGGCCACAGGCTGCCTCCCCATTGTGGCTTGTCCTGCCTGCTTCCTCTGGCCTCATCTACCTGCACCACTCACTGGACACTCTCCTGCTCTATGTTGCCTTTTCTCCCTTATCTAAAGGTTTGTTTGTCTTGGCTCTTATGACCAAAGCTACCTGGCTGGGCACTGGTACTTGTATGAAAACCTGATGTTCACCCCTGCCCCAGAACACGTAGTAGAAGCAGGCATCACACACACACACAGACACACATACACAAAAGCTCTCTTTTCCTGGAATGTCATCTGGTCATTTGTTTGTGCATGCTGGGCTTTCCCATAACCAGGGATGCACCATCTGTCCCCAGCTTACACTCCTGTCCTATTGCAGAATTTACTGGAAGTCCTTGCTCTGCTTCTCCTCTGATTTGTCCTCCTTTCCCCCTCCAGAAACAAGCTTGTCATCCTCCTGCCTGTCACAGCCTTGACAGGAGCCTGCTGGATGCCTCTTCTCAGTGTACTGTCTGAGTGCTCCAACCACACTCCCCAACCATGTGTTCCAGCCACTTCTCCAACGACATCCCGTTCTTACCTAGCTCACTCTGTGTTCATATTCCCTTCTACCTCCGGCCTCTGCCAGAATTCAGGCATCCACATATCCCATTCTCTAACCTGAAACTCTCCGTTTCCATTGGCTCATAACCTTCTGCCTGCACTTCTTTGACAAAATGTCCTCTTTGATGGATTTCACTGGACTCTCCTGCTCCAATCACCCTACCAAGCTGTTGATAATTATGTGTATGTGATCAGCTATGGTTAGTCTGTCCAATCTTCCTTGGTAATCCCTATCAAATCAAATACAGTCATCTTTAGACCTTGGGCACTTAAAAAATGATGCTGCCTGAGAGATTTACTTGTAGAAATGACCCATTCTGGGCAAAACACTATTGTAAGTGCTTTGCATATATTATTTTAATGTTACATAAAACATTAAGTTAATAAGTTTTATCAAGATATAATTTTATGGGATGCCACTTGCCTATTTTATCTACTTCAGGCACAGAATTTTGACTATCATAGGATTTCCCAAGTCTAGATAGCACCCCATAACCTTCTTGGCTGGTTTCTTTAACTTGAGGTTTGACATGAAAAAGACTGAGCTCATGCTCTGCAAAGATCATATATTTATGGAAAGATAGGTTGACAGATAGATTTTGATATGGCTACATACAGAACAACTACGAAGAGAAACATGGCTTCTAATACCACCCCCAGCTCTTTCTCACAAGGAGCTGTTGATAAGCCTTGATAAGTGTGGTGAAGACAATGTTATGTTGGGTGCAGTCTGGAGGCCTTCTGCCATGTCTCACACTTTGTGCGTCTCACTCTACTGCAATATTGAGACTCCTGTTCCATGCTTTAGGCTGAGCCCTCAGTAGTAAGTTTTCCACCAAAACATGTGAGCAAGCTTGCCTCTACGCTCAGTCTTTATTTAGTGGTTTCTACAAAGTCTGTTCCCACCAATACCTTCTGCTGGCTGCCTGTTCTGACAATAAACCAAGTGTGCCTCTTGGGTTGTCTAATATGGATGATTTGTGTCTCTGTGTTCTTTGCGGGTGGCTTCCTCTCTGCAGGGCCAGCAGTTTTCTGCAGGGGGTGGCAAAGGGATGAATGCTTTAAATCTCTCTTGGGGAGAGACTAATTTCCTGGGCTGGAGAGGGATCCAAAGTTTGATCCACCATTACTCAATTCCTTCATACTTCCTATGAAACACCATTAAATATCCTCCAGTGTAGCAACAGGGGAATATTATTTAGTTACTATTTGCCTAATATTGTAAGACTTGTGTTGAATTCCTCACAAAGGTGTATTTTTGGCTCTATTCTTTAGATGTAGAATCCAAGACTAAAGATGGTATATGATTTGTTCAAGATGACCTAGCTCTTCTGAGGCAGAACAGGATCCAAATTGATGCCCCTTCTACTTGGACAACTTTCTCTTAGACCTCATGAACCTCAGCGTTCTTTCTACTTCCATGGTATTCTTAGGGCTGACTTACTCAATGGGAGAGCCAGGGTAGCATAAAGGCTAAGTGTACTTGAATGGAACCAAGCTACATAGGTTCACATCCAGGCTCTACTATTTACTAGCAGTGTGACCAAGCGATGTAACCCTGTCTTCTCTGTGCTTTGGTTTCTGCATTTGTAAAATGACAACAATGGTAATACATGTCTGTCTGTCTTTTTTTTTTTTTTTTTGAGACAGGATCTTGCTGTTGCCCAAGCTGGAGTGCAGTGGTGTGATCACTGCTCCCTGCAGCCTCAGCCTCGAACTCCTGGGCTCAAGCAATCCTCCTACCTCAGCCTCTGAGTAGCTGGGACTAAAGGCTCATGCCACCATACCCGGCTTAATAGTTTCTTTCTTTTTTTTTTTTTTTTTTTTGTAGAGACAGAGTCTCACTATGTTGCCCAGGCTGGTCTCAAACTCCTGGGCTCAAGCGATCCTCCCACCTTGGCCTCCTGAAGTGCTGGGATTTCAAGAGTGAGTTACCGTGCCCGGCCCCTACCTGTCTTGGAAGTAATACCTACCTACTTTGCAGGGCTATGAAATGTAAATAGGTAAAGTTTAGAACAGTGCCTACACATAGCAAACACATTCACACATATATGGGTATATGTCTATTTATATTTGCTGTTATTTTTATTAATAATTTCTCCTCCTTGTGTTCATACCCTTTGTGCCCTCTCTTCTGTTCTAGGCTATTCCATTTCCTCCTTTTGGTGTTCTCTCATTCACCTGCTCTGTCCATCACACCTTCAGCCCAATTACTCTTGGAAGGACCTGATTTTGAGCATCTTCATTAATTGTGAACTCAGGGTTCAAGTCCCTTCTCTTGATTATTTTTTGAGGCATCAAAATACTCTCTGCTATCTGAGAGGAGGCTGGCCTGGGCCATAGATGTGGGGGAGGGAGGGACAGAAGACCTTGGTTCAGGTCTGGGCTCTGCCACGTAGAGCTGCTGGGTCTTCAAAATATATTTACCACCCTGAGCCTCTTTCCTCACTCTAGAGATTGTTATAATTATCCTTCTATCTAACTTACAAGGTAGTTGTGAGGATCAAATTAACCCAAATTGGTTTATGTTGCTTGCAGCAAGCACCCCTGACTGATGGAGTCCCTAACTCCTGAGGGTGAAGTCACAAGAGGCTGGAGGACCAGACCTGGAAGAGGGCCATCAGGAACAGGCAGTGGCCATGAAGCAGGCAGGGTTTGCTTGCTGCTGCTGTGATGAAAAGTTTGTCCTTGCATCTAGGAAATTACTCGTGTAAGACCTAGAGTTCCAGGAGAAGGTATCACCCTGGCTGTGCCTTGGTCACTGAGCTTAGCCCCTGACTCTACCAGGGGTGGGAAGAGTGAAGATCGGGCCCCTGTGGGATGTTCGTTCCAAGACACCATACAGAAGCAGTAGGGGTATGATCCTCCCAAAGCTGTTGAGGGAGCTATCTGGAAGATCATAATATGATAAATGCCCACTGGAGAGAGTAAGCCACTTTTCTTCAAGGGGATTTATGTTTTAAAGGCTATATTGTTGAGTTTCCAAATGAATGAAAGGGCTTGGCAATAGAAATCTTCATAGGGGCCCCCAAATCATGCCTTGTACCCAGCTGGCTCCTGGCCTACCAATAAAGCCATCTCAACCTCACAAGCCACAGCTGGGTCCTTTCAATCCTTTGGTGGCTGTTGCTGAGGTCCAGGCAGCCAGCCCTTGAAGTGCCCCCTCTGAGCCACATTTGCTGGGTCACTCATCCTCTTTGTTCCATGCCAGTTTATTCTTGCAGACTGGTTTAACCAACAATTAATAGTGGCCTCCGGAACTGTGTGACTCAGTCCAACCCCTCCCCAAGAATGTGTCTGCCTGTCTCCATGAAGGCTCTGAGACACGGTGGCGAGAGGGGTCTGGGTGACAAGCCCCCTTCCATTCCACTGCTTTAATCCTGCAAGCCAATGCTGCTTCTCATCATGGCCTCAGTTACTTGGGATATATCACAATTCTTTATTCCTGGCCCACACTGGGCTCCCAGCCTCTCTGCAGGGAATCATAGGCATGTTATTTGAGAGGCAGCGAGGAAACCAGAACCCAGTATTAAACTGCAAGGATACCACACTGGTATCCTTGAAGGAGTTAACTCTAATTTTTATCCCCTGAATTCCCAGCTGAGATTTGAAGTCTGCTTTTATTGCACTTGCCTCAGAGGTGAGGTGCCCCTCAGAGTTTCCTGGGAGGGCTGCTGGACTGTGAAGTTATATTCAGGGAACTATTACCCTTTGCTTTTAGCTCCTGACTTCATGGGGCCAGTGACTGCCTTCAGGCAAGCTGGAAATGAGTTCCTGGGGATCCATAAGTACCAAGCAGGGCCAACTCTCTCTGCCTCAGCTGCTGGCTGAGGGGAATGTTTTTCTCCTTTGCTCTTTATTTACTGCCATGGATATTTTCCAATTAAGCTCTGTCCATGGAATTACACCATGGCCACCCAAGTCTCTCAGAAAAGACTGCTCTTTCTCTGGGAATGTCTCTCTCAGTCCCCTCAGGTTGGAGATGTAACTGGACGTTTTAGAGCATCTTTCCCCCAGTGCTTATAGAAATGAGCTATGCCATTTGGTGGAAGAGCAAATAATTATGGCACATATGCATTGTTATTTGCAAAGTGTGAGGCGAGATGCAGACATGTGACAGGACTCCCTGGCCTTGAAGCTCAGGGCTGCGGAGCGGCCAGTTGAAGGAGGACAAGGACGAAAAGGGTAGATTTGAAAACTTCAGTTGGGTGGTTTCTTTCAGAAGAAGCCAAGAGAGGTGTAACAATCTGGTCATTGTTTAGGAAGCAGTAAGGAGGCAGCAGTGGCTGGGAGGAGGAGGGATGGGGAGGGAAGGAGGGGCTGAGGGGTGGGAAACTGCATTGCGGCCTCCAGCTCTGACAGTAGAAATAGGGCGCTGAGTTCCCACAAAAGTGATTGAACAAAGGCCTCAGAATTTCTCATATTGGCCTTAATCATCTCAACAGAATGTTTCATTCAGCTGCAATTAGCCACATAATTAGATAGCTAAGTTTGGGGGGAAAAAATAAAAGGTATGACATAGTCACAGAACATTCTGACTACAGTGCTTTTTCAGATTGTTCACGTGGTTCCTCTTTCCTGAAACTAATCATTGTTCCTATTCCTTCTTTCCTTTCCCAACTAAACTTGCCTCATAATCCTTTAATTCATTGCTGTTGTCCAGTCTTATTGATCTCAGCTCAGCAAACTTATTTAGGCTGGTTTTGCCCTTAAAAAAACAATTTCTCTAATAACATACAGCACAGAATATGATTTTCTTCTTCTTTTTTTTTTTTTAAGACAGTCTCTCTCTGTCGCCCAGGCTGGAGTGCAGTGGCATGATCTCGGCTCACTGTAACCTCCACCTCCCAGGTTCAAGCAATTCTCATGCCTCAGCCTCCCGAGTAACTGGGATTACAGACACACACCACCATGCCCGGCTAATTTTTTTGTATTTTTAGTAGAGATGGTGTTTCACCAGGTTGGGCAGGCTGGTCTTGAACTCCTGACCTCAGGTGATCCACCTGCCTCGGCCTCCCAAAGTGCTGGGATTACAGGCATGAGCCACTGCGCCCGGCCCAGAATATGATTTTCTATAACTGAGACACAATATTCCCAAACACAAGACTTCTTTTTTCCCTCTGGTTTAATCAGGGAATTCTCATCGAATAGGCATGGCTGCATCAACTAAACCAGTAGTTCTCTAGTGTGACTCCTGGACCGGCAACAACAGCATCACCTGGGAGCTTGTGAGAAATGGAAATTGTAGGTCTCTCTCCCAGACTTCCAGCATGAGAAACTCTGGAGGTGGGACCCAGCGATGCGCATTTTAACAAGTGATCACCTCCAGGTGATTCTGATGCATGCTGGAGTCTGAGATCCACCGTTCTAAGATCTTCCAAGAATCTTCTATTGCTTTAGGTTGTTTTGGCATCAAGGAAAGCCCTCAGTGTATGGCTGCAACCTAAGAGAGGTGTGGAGGGGAAATTGACTGCACATGAGATTTCTTAGGATTTCATTCTTAAAAGATTTATAAGTTGAACTTTTTTAATGTCAGGAAGGAAGGCACATCCAGAATGGTGTGTTAGAAGGGGCCCTGGTAACCATCTCCTCTGAGTTGTGGTCTCAACTTGGTCACCAAGCAACCACGGAACCTTAGCAGGTAGCAGCTTCGCTCTGCTTATCAGTTTTCTCATCTGTAAAAAATCAGAAAATTGGAATGGATGATCTTTTCTTATTCTAACAATCTTTGACATGTCTCTTTTTGAATATAGAGTTGCCAGTTTTAGCAAATAAAAAATGCCCAAATTTTTAAAAAACATGCCTAGATTTCAACTTTCAAATTGAATGTCAGATAAACAATTTTCAGTGTTTATGCATATATATATATATATATATATATATATATATATATATATATATACACACACACACACAAATAATATATATGGACATGGGATATACTTGTACAAAAAAAAAATTCATCGTTGGCCAGGTGTGTGGCTCATGTCTGTAATCCCAGCACTTTGGGAGGCCAAGGTGGGAGGATCAATTCAGCCTAGGAGCTCGAGACCAGCCTGGGCAAAATAGGGAGACCCTGTCTCTACAAAAAATTTAAAAATTTGCTGGGTGTGGTGTGTTCCTATAGTCTCCGCTATTTGGGATGTTAAAATGGGAGGATTGCTTGAACCCAGGTGGTCCGGGTTGCAGTGAGCAGGATCATGCCACTGCACTCTAGACTGGGCAACAGAGTGAGACCCTGTCTCAAAAAGATTAAAAATAAAAGAAGTTATTCATTGTTTACTGACATTCAAATATTACCGGGTGTCTTGCACGTGTATTTGTTAAATGGGGCATCTCTATTTGAATGCGAATTTTAATCAGAGATTGTGTCAATAGCAAGGGCCTAATCCAAATCTCTCCCAGAATGCAAAGGACCCTGCAGCTTCAGGGAGGGGCCGCAGAGGGAGCCCCAGATGGGAGGGTCAGAGATGTAGGGCTCTGCTTCTGACCTAACCTTGGGTAAGTCATGTCCTCTCACCAGGACTCAGTTTTATTATCTGTACAATGAGGGGTACTGGACTAAATTATCTCCAAAGTCCTGCCCAGCTGCAAATGTCTTTGAGTATTATGTTTGGCTTTTTCACCACTCTTTGGATCTGTGAAAGGCATTTCACTGTCTTTTTTCTATTGTTTTACTTGTTGGAAAAATGGATTAGTCATGTGAAAGTTAGAAAAATAAATATTTTGGAGCTATGAGCTGAACCCCTTGAAAGTGGTGCTGATATCAGAAAATGGCTTTGGTAGAGCGATAGCTCCTAACTTTGATATGTAGTGTCTGCCTTTGAAAGCCTCATCATTTTAATTATGATAATTTAACACTTAATATCTGAATTTTAGATGGAATGAATAATGCCATATTGACCATTCTTATAAGCAGAGCTTTCCATAGGTAGCTGATTATTTCCTAAGATAGATTTCCTGAAAATGGGGGTGTAGGGTCAAAGGTAAAAATCTCTAGGGGAAACCTCTCCCCTTATCTCTCCACTCCTCCCTCCATACTCCTTTTAGCCTACCCCAAGGAGGTCAAGGGGGATCTGCACTGTCATATCCTGGATCACCAACAGGCCTTGTTTTCCCGGTCAGCACACATGGCTGGGGTGAATTGCTACGCAGTCCCATCTCCCTCTCTTTCTCCGGAGCTGCTCTCTCCACCTGCAATTGGACCCAGGGCTACTGCCCATCATAGGTCTAGAGCCTAAGTGGCCCCTATTCTGGCTCCTCTCTTCAATAGGGGCAGCTATCATTCCCCTTGGGTTCAGGATTAGAGGTCCCTCATGGAGCAGCTTATATCCTGCATGGGTTCAAGGCTATATAGGCCCAATTATTTTCCTGAAAAGGAGCACTGCATGTGAACCAGCACAGGTCCGGGAGTTCAAATCTCAGCTTTGGAGCCAAAGCCTCTCCTAATAGTAAGGAGTTGCTTTTCCTCACCTTGCTTCCTTTGTGCGTTTCTCCCCTGTGGGTGATACATGGAGAGGAAAGTGTTCTGGGCTAAAACACCATTTTTCTACATCTGGGTCTCACAGCCAAATGCTCAATGTCCAACAAAAGAGATTTAAGGCTACTTATAATTTTTTTGCCTGGTTCTATAATGAGCATTTATTATTTTATAAAAAGAAAAAGTTATTCCTTAAAAAAAGCCCTATAATTACTCCCAACTGATCATTTTCCCCACCTCTACATTTTTAGAGGAACCAGAATGCAAGCCGTTGCTCCCTGACTGACTTGCTTTGTGTATTGGATCAGGTATACAATTAATAATGGATGGTATTTAGACAATAAAGATTTTCAGATGTGTAAATATGTTGTACTTGGTCTTGTTAGAAATGGAATGAAAAGGAGAAAAGCCTGAGGAGAGAACGCATTTAAGAAAAAAATAAGGAACAGATAGTGGGGCTCTCTTCTCAGGGAGTGTATGTCCCTTTCATGCAATAACTTTTAGATGCTCAGGGAGAAGAGACTGGGAAACCAAAGTCTAGCCAAGAGCCATCATGGTGGCCCTCAGACTCAGAGTCATTCATCCGAAATCATTAAGTGCCTTGGGAGGTGGGTAAAGTGCTTGCTCTGAAATTAATTTGCATTTTTACTGTGTCACTCTAGTGACTTTCTCCACCCCTCTGTAAAATTCTCTGCCCTAGTTACCTAAATCTGATCAGCATTTGCATGATTGAGCCCTGGAGGCTCTTCAGCCTTGTTCCCTGGAACAGGAAGAGAATTCAGCAGAGGGATGACAGCAGACAAAGGCAACTGCAGCCTTGAACCAGTAGAATGCTGGGAGACACTATTCCGGAAAGTGCTTCTCCTACTTAACTCAAGTGCTACAGTCCCGAGGCTATTTCTTTGAGATTGGCCCTCTCTAATGATTAGATTTTTGGCTTACAAAGGAAGTACTTTTTGAACCATCAAAAGCCTCAGGGTAGTAACCGCTAAAGTAAGTTTGGCTGAGTTCTCTGTGCAGAGTTTGTTCATAGGAGAGAAATTGGAAGTTTTTTGGGTTGTTGGCTTGCTTAAATGCTTGAAGGAAAATGAACTACTAGGAAGGTTTAAAGGGGTTCTAAATTTTGTGTTTGTTTAGACTGTTGCCAGATCACCCATTGAGAAATAAAGAACAGTCAGGGTTGAGTAATTCTTCTGTCAGGCGCACTGTTGAATCAAATAGTCCTTAACAAAGGAAATACATTTTTTACATTGTTGAACTATTATCAGCCCAAATATTAACCCTTATTTGCATAATTTTGTGTTCTGAATAAGATCATTGATGTGTTATCTCTTTTAGTCTTCTCAACAGTCTTATGAGGTGAACAGTGCACATAAGGAAATTGAGGGCTTTTGCAGTTTTGCAGATAAGGAAATTGAGGGCTCACAGTCAAGTTAAATGGTAAAGCTGAGACCAAAAGCTGGGACCTCAGACTCCCAGAACAGTGTCCTCCTGGATTGATGGGGATGATCAAACTCCCACACACACTCAACTTCCTTGATGTCAGTGGTAATGGTTAGAAACACTGAACTTGGATAACATTTGTTTTAAACACAACCTTACACAAGCAATTAGTCTTTATGAAAATGAGTCCAAGAAGTTCAGCTGAAATGCTGATGGAGATTGAATCACTTTCATAGGAAGATAGGCTGAAATTATTATAACTATTTAGGCTCAATGGGAACAGACTGAAGGGGATTAATGAAGGAAACTTGGCTTTCATTTCAACATTAGAAACCAGACGTGGGCTAGGCACAGTGGCTCAAACCTGTAATCCCAGCACTTTGGAGGCCGACATGGGAGGATCACTTGAAGCCAGGAATCCAAGATGAGCCCGGGCAATGAAGTGAGGCCCCATCTCTACAAATAAAGAATTAAAAAATTAGCCTGGTTGTGGTGGCACATATCTGTAGTCCCAACTACTTGGGAGGCTGAAGCAGGAGGATTACTTGAGCCTAGGAGTTCAAGGCTGCAGTGAGCCATGATCATCCACTGCACTCCAGCTTGGGCAACAGAGTGAGACCCTGTCTCTAACAAAAGAAAAAGAAGAAGAAGAAGAAGAAAGAGAGAAACTAGATGTGACCGCTTTGAAGGTTGGGCGATGTTTTGGCACAAGCACAGAGTCGTGAGACTCATTATCAACTGAGGTAACCTTGCCTCTTAAGAGCTAGAGAAGATTTTGCTCAAACACTCCACAGCTGGTAGAAAGTCTAAGCTCTTTGCCCATTTTTGCAAATTCCCAGAGGCTCATGTCCTCATGGTCACCTCTGGATCTAATTCCTTTCTTTTGATGAGTATACTTGAGTTTATGAACTTTATACTTTTCCACACTGGCTCCACCCAACCTGATAGAGAATGTAGTGTATTTCTTTGATTTTCTTCACCCCACTGCTACCAAGATAGCAACAAAACATAAACAAAAATTTGATCATTAAGGCCGGTATTAGTCCATTTTAACACTGCTATCAAGAACTTCCTGAGACTGGGTAATTTATAAAGGAAAGAGCTTTAATTGACTCACAGTTCCTCATGGCTGGGGAGATCTCAGGAAACTTACAATTGTAGTGGAAGGGGAAGAAGACATCTTCTTCACAAGGCAGGGGTAGAGAGAGTGTGTGAAAGAGGAACTGTTAAACACTTACAAAACCATCAGATCTCATGAGAACTCACTCACTATCACGAGAACAGCATGGAGGAAACCACCCCCATGATCCAATCACCTCCCTCCCTCAATACGTGGGGATTACAGGTCTCTCCCTCCTGTAATCCCTCCACACGTGGGAATCAATTCGAGATAAGGTTTGGGTGGGGACAGAGAGCCAAACCATATCAAGGCCTTCGTTTGTACAGCAATTTTCGGGAAAACCAAAAGTATTTAAATTGCAGAAACACAATGTTAAATTGCATAGTAGACCTCCCTCTCTGTAAAGGTCATTTTGGCCACTGCGCCAGTAGATGTCTCACTGGCCGGATTCCCTCCAATATATGGTGTCCCAGCCTGTGTCGACTAACTAAATCCCTCTCTCTCCTTCAGTCTCTTTTCCTTTCCCCTCCCCTGTCCCCATCAGATTGCCCCCAGGAATTCCAAATTCTTCTTGTTATTTATGGAAACCTGCGCCGCAACTCTCTTTTGCCCATGCTCCTTCAGCCAGCACCAGGCCCAAATCAAAAGCCATTATTGTGCTCAGATGAAAAATAGGGCTCATTACCATATCAGCATGGAAGACCCTGGCCCCTTTGACTGTCATAGCATCCATACTCCTTGAAGGCAGTTATGATTTTAAAAAACATTTTCTCCCTTTCTTACAATATTATATTCTCAAAATAGCAAGGAGTCCCAGAAGGTTTTAGACTCAGGAAGTTGGGAGTTAATGATTACCTTGAGCATCCCTAAGGTGGTCAGTCTCATATATGGCCCCAGGCATGGCCTGTTAATGGTATTTCCAGGCACTGCTTCGGGGCTCGGTGGACCAGGAGGGTTGTCTCCACAGGGATTCTCTATTCTTATCTTGTTACAGGAACTACACCTGAAGATGAACGGGTAACTGTGTGGTGGGAGTGGAGAATATAGGGAATTTTGTTTTCTTGAGGAAAATGGTTCTCAATATGCAATGAACCCTCTTACCCTATTAGGGACTAATCAGAAGTTACTTAGGGTAATTATACAGTGAAAGAGTATGTGTGAAACAAGCCCAAAAGAGTGAAAAAAATTAGACATCATATCCATTTATCACACGAGATACTTCACTTTGTATCTTATAAAGGTAATTTGAAAATCCTAGTTTTTAATTTTCTTTATAGCTGAGTTCTGAAAGTGTGAGAATATTAACAAGAAGAAAGAAGTTATTTAAGCAGGAAATGCCCCAAATACACTGTCATCTAGAAATATTAAACCAAAAAACTTAAGCTGCTAGCTTCAGAATTTTATTTTTAAAAGTTTATTGTTCATAGTCCAAGAACTTATTCATATGCAGTATTTGAGACATTGAGTAAATACGTTAAAGTGAGAGTCAGAGCCTTTACTTGATCCAGTCCGTCTCCCCAGTTAAGGTCTGTACTAACAAAATCATATCATAATGATCAATTTCAATGTCTTTTATTAACTTTGTCAGTAAAAATTAGTAGAATATTTTTCTGTGCTGTTACTATGATTATAGCGAATACGTTGAGTGCCTCCTAGGTGCAATATGAGATGCTTTACATGAATAGGCTGTCTTTTTTATCTTTAAAATTTTTATTATGAAAAATTTCAAAAACACATGACAGCAGAGCCCCCCATCCCCTGTACGAAAACATCAGCCTCCTGTTCTTTTTATGCACTCTTTGCAACATGTTTAATGAATTATTTTAAAGTAAATCTCAAACATCAGATTTCATCTATAAATACTTTCATCTATAAATACAATGTGTATCTGTAAGAGATAAGAACTTAAAAACACTTAACCCTGAAACTATGTCACAACCAACAACATTTACAATCATTCCTCAACATCATCTAAAAGTTCATGTTCAAGTATTCCTGACTGTTGAAAAAAATGTCTTTCATAGTTGGTATGTTCAACTCAGGATCCAAATAAGGTCTGTACACTGCATTTTGCTATCATGTCTCTTTTAACGCACAGCAGTTCCCTCTTTTTGTGTATGCCACTTATTTTTTTAGTAAACTGGGTAATTTATTGTGCAGTTTAGAATTTCCCACGTTGAGGCCTTGACTGACTGCATCTTTGTGGTATTGCTGACCATGTGCCACTACCTCCTGTATTTCTTGGGTGGATCTAAAACTTGATTGGAATTAGGCTTAATTCCAATTTTTAGGCTCAATTTGGGGGAGGGGCAAGAATACTTCCTGGGAAGTGGTCTGTGTTCCCCTATCACATCGTACCCGGAATGCACTTAATGACTGGATGTCCCACTTAGCAATGCTGAGGTTGATCAGTAGGTTCAGGTGAAGCTGGATCCTCATCCATTCTGGGGTTCCCTATATGCCTTTCACCTGAATGATTTTTAGCAACCATTAATGAGCAGTGCCTATATCTACCATTTTCTTAAGGTTGAAAATTTTGATTTTTCTAATTCTGTTGTTCCTGCAATAATTAGCTATGATTCATTTATAAAGGAGAATTTTCCTCATAAACTCTTTGCTTTCCCTGAAAATCAGGATAAATCTTGAAAGACAGAATAAATGCTTGATTCCCTTCATATTTATCCATTCTCAGTATAATGAGTTGATACCCGAGCAATCTCCAAAGATGACCAATGATGCTTTTACTTTTTATTATTATAGGCCTGTGGGAATTGCATAGGTTTTATGTGTTTGAAACCCTTGCATTTATTTTTCTTTTTGATGAATAAATGCTCCACCTTTGACCAGTGAGAGCCCTTTGAAATTGGCTCCTGTGTCATTTTGACTGACCCTAGAAGTCTTATAGAGTAGATACATTTCCAAAATCCTGAATGTTAAACGCATTTTTGTAAATATTAGAGTTATAGCGTCATAGAGTTGAAAAAATCTTAAGGATTGTTTAGTCTCCTACACAAATAAAAAGTCCTTTCTCTGTTATCCTTGTCTTAAGGTTGTGGAGCCTGTGAAAATAGTGGAAACTCCCTAGCTTATGAGGCAGGGTCTGCCATCTATGGGATATTCCAGTTGTCAGGAAGGATATTCAGTCTGCTTCCAACTCCCACCAGAAAGGATGTAATTATTTTATTTTGTGGATGCTGTAATCTAATAATATAGGTGGAAATAACATTAAGTTTTGGGGAAATCAGGTTACATGGTGGGACCAAACCAAGCTTTCATTTAACTAAAACCGCCTTTTCAAAATGAGTGTATATGGTGAAATAGTTCAAACAGTAGAGTAGAATGTAAAATGAATGTTAGGTTTCCACCTCCACCACCAGGCCTACTTTCTAGAAGTTATCATTGTTAGTTATTTTTTATCTTTCCAGAAGGTTTCTGTATACATAAGCATATATAGTATTTTTTTAAACAAAAAGGATCACACTCTACTTTTTTATTGCACTTTTTCTTTTTAACTTAGTAACGTGGATATCTTTTCATGTTAGGACATATTAGGACGTATAGAAGCAAGGACATGCTTGCTTCCCTTTTGCCTTCCACCGTGATTTTAAGTTTCCTGAGGCCGCCCAGCCACGCTTCCCATGTAATGGATATGGCTCACTCTTTTATATCCCTTTGATAGTTGCTACCTAATAATAGTACATATTAAGTTTCATTTCCTAGTTTTGTATCAATTTGATTAAAAGAGTCATAGTTTCTTAGCCTCTTCAGCTGTAAAATGGGAATGCTGATCATAGTCCCTCCTTCACAAGCTGCTGTCACTCTGGGAGGCTAATATTCCCAATGGCTGCAAAGGTATTCTACCTGTGAAGATGTTTCTTAATTGACTTAACCAAAATCTTATTGATTAATTTGTATACATCTTTGGGTAGTTTTGTTAGTACATCCTTAGGATAAATTCCTGGAAGTCTGATTACTTAGTAAAAGTTCACATGTTTTAGATTGATAGGTATTACCAAATTATCTCTCAAAAAGGTTACAAAATGAGTCTTTACATCATGCTTCCTCTGGTGCTAACAATGGAAACTACAAAACCTTTTAATGTTTGCCAATCTGTAGGTGAAAATGACATCTCATTTTATTTTGTATTTTTATCTTGAAATACAGCTGACAATTTGTATTTCTTTTTCTGTAAATTTTATATTCAAATTTTCTAGTAGGTTTTTTGTTTGTTTTACCTATTGATTTTTAATCCTGTTTGTATTTTAAGAAAATAAATTATTTGCTTTCTATATGCATTGCAATTGTTTTTTCCCAGGTTTGCAATAGTATTTTAACTTCATGATGTTTTTTTGAAAAGGTGAGGTTTGAGGTTTTATGTCATAATAGAGGAGGAATTCCTATTCCAAGATTATATATAAACAATCATCCATATTTTATTCTGTCAATTTTTGTAATGTCATTGTATACACTTTAATCCTGGACCCTTCTAAAAATATGTGTGAAGTGGGGATCTAATTTTAAAACATAATTGTTTAAGTAATTCATCATATCACTCCAGTGATATGAAATGACACCTTATTTTCATGAAATAAAAACATTTCCAGACTCAGAAAGTTTACCACCCACAGACCTGCTCTGATAGAATTACCAAAGAATATTCTCCATCAAGAAGGAAAATGAACCCAGAACACAGTAAAGGGATGGAAGAAGTAATGCTACACAAACAAAAAGTAAACCATATAATAAGCATTGCTTATAAAATATTATTTTAAAAAATAATTAGGTCTAAAACTCTGGATAATAACATGGGTGAGTGTGTGTAAGGTTTCAGGAGCAGTGGAAAATAAAATCATGTAATGTTCTTGTCATGTCTCAGGGAAAATATGTGGTGATTAGTTTCAGGGTTTCTGAGAGTATAAACTTAAGTACGCACATGACAATTTTAAAGATAATTAGGCTTACTACAGTGGCTAAAATTTAGAAGTCTGACAATACCAAGAGTTGGCAATGATGTGGAAGAATAAGAATGCTCTGGCACTCCAGCCTGGATGATGGAACAAGACCCTGTCACTAAAAAATAAATTTAAAAAAAGGAATCAGACATTTATTGGGGGAAGTATATATTATGTCCACCTTGAAAAACAGTTTGGATGTTATCTGCTAAAGTTGAAGATTCTCATATCCTGTGGCTGAGCACTTTTACTCCTAGGTGTGTGTGTGTATATGTATATGAATATAACTCCAAGAGAAACCTGAGTACCCATGCACCAAGACACATACACAAGAAGGTTCATAGTAGCAATGTTCTTCATATTCAAAAATCAGAAATAGTTGGGCACAGTGGATCACTCCTATAATCCCAGAACTTTTAGGATTGCTTGAACTCAGGAGTTCAAGACAAGCCTGGGAAACATGGCAAGATGCCATGTCTACAAAAAATTAAAAAAAAAAATTAGCTGAACCTATTGGCGTGTGCCTGTAGTCTCAGTTACTTGAGAGGCTGAGGAGGGAGCATTGCTTGAGCCTGGGAAGTGGAAGTTGCAGTGAGCTGAGATCATGCCACTGCACTCCAGCCTGGGTAACAGAGCAAGACCCTGTGGCAAAAACAAAAAAGCCAAAAAGAGAACAACAACAACAACAACAAAACCAGAAACAACCAAAATAATCACCAACAGAAAACAGAAAACACATTGCATTACGTTTAAACAAAAAAATGCTAAATGGCAATAAAGGTAAACTACGGCAACATGTCTGCAGACTGAATGAATCTTAAACCATGCTGCAAAGTGCTAGAAATTGATTACTATAAAAATGTGGATGGCGGCTGCCTCTGGGGAGAGGAAAGAGGTTGTGGTTGGGAAGGTATAAGACACATGTGAAATGTAACACATTATTATAAAGCAAATGCCCCGACACCATAATCCAGACCCACAAGTAGAACATTGCCAGTGACCTGGAAGCCCTTACGTATTTCTTCCTAAGCAAAAGAGCCTCAAGAAAGATTTCCAAATACATCAGTAATTTCCCAAAATAGGAATGAGTTAAACTCATTTATTAAAATATATATCAATTGAGAGAGACTCGACATCTCTATAACACTGAGTCTTTCCGTGTAAGAACTAGCAGTATTTTCCCTTTAATCAAGTCCTTATGATTTCTAGTAGAATTCTCAAGTTTTCTTCATTCTCCCAAGTCATTCCCATGGGGTTCTTCATCTTGCACTTGATTTCTGTTTGTTTGGTATGTTGTTTTTCCACATGCCTAAGGAGAGTAGTTGCCATTTATTCCTGGTGAATGTTAAGCTTTTTGTTTGCATCCGTGACTCCCGTCTGTGCTGCTTCTCTCATATCTCTAGCTGCACACAAATCTCTGATATTAAATGGTGGCTCAGACAGAGCCAAAAGCAGAACTCTGCAGCATGCTGGAAAGATCCCCTTCTAGGCAAACACATGACCTATTCATCAGGAGTATTTAAGAATAGTTGTATAAACACCTGTAACTTTAACCACACTATTTAGGATCTGTTATTTTTTCATCTTGTCTTCAAGAACATCATGGAATCAATTTTTGAATTATATGTATATACTACGTAAGTATATATATCTATATTAAAAATATATTTTTCAACAGTTTTTGGGGAACAGGTGGCGTTTGGTTACATGAGTAAGCTATTTGATTTCTGAGATTCTGGCACACCCAAGCAGTGTCCACTGTACCCAGTGTGTAGTCTTTTATCCCTCACCTGCCTCCCACCCTTTTCCCCAAGTCCCCAGAGTCCATTATATCATTCTCATGCCTTTGCGTCCTCATAGCTTAGCTCCCACTTATAAGTGAGAATATATGATGCTTGGTTTTCCATTCTTCAGTTACTTCACTTAGAATAATGGCCTCCACTTCCATCCAGATTCCTGCGAATGCCATTATTTCATTCCTTTTTATGGCTGAGTAGTATTCATGGAAAAAATTTAAAGTGCCTTTCTAAAATCCAAATAAAGTACATTTCCTTTATTTCATTGTTAAGTAAACCTAGGGGGGTAAGAAAAATCTGGAATTACCTTGACTTGACTTATTCTTAAAGAATCCTAGGCCAGGCACAGTGGTTCACATCTGTAATGCCAGCACTTTGGGAGGCCAGGGTGGGAGAATCACTTGAGGCCAGGAGTTTGAGACCAGCCTTGGCAACATGGCAAAACCCCATCTCTACAAAAAAAAAAAAAAAAAATCTAAAAATTAGCTGGGCGTGGTGGAGCATGCCTGTAGTCCCTGCTACTCAGGAAAACTGAAGCAGGAGGATCACTTGAGCCTGGGAAGTTGAGGCTGCAGTGAGCTGTGATTGCACCACTGCACTCCAGTATGGGCTACAGTGTGAGACCCTGTCTCAAAATAATAATAATTTGTATTGGCTTCCTATAGCCAATGTTTTCTAAGTACCTGTGAACCATCCATTAAATAATCCTGGGATCAGCATGAAGCTCACCCACCTATATTTTCTAGAATTGACTCTCTATGTCAGATTGGATTATTGTTACTAACACCCTTACTCCCTGTATTAGGATAATAGGTCCCTGACTTTTTCGGTGTCTGCTATGGCCTGACAATCTTAACTGCCTAGAGAGTAACTCAGCTGGGAAGTAGGAGCTCTTAATTCCTCACCTATCTTGGGCTTCAGGGACTAAAGCGTTGTTTATTCCACTTGCTCCAATTTTATTTTCTATCTCCTTGATAAAAGTGGCAAGAAAAGGGAAGCTACATCTGATTCCCATCATTTGGCCATAGTACGTTAGCCACCTCAAGCAATTGAATCCTATTCTGTCACTGACTGATAGAAGGAAGTTTAAGATGCTTCCATTTTTGTGGTTTTTCTTATTCTTCCCAATTTCAGCAGCCCATCACTGCCACTTGTTTCCGTAAGTAAGAGAGACTATTTTAAAAGTCCAAGTTGCTAATTTCAGTCTATTTTGACATGAACTGTCTAAGCCATGTGTGTGTCTACGTGTGTGTATGTGAAAACACTCAGTTTCTGAGAATCCTTAATTCATGTCCTTAGATAGACTTGGCTTCAGGATAATTTTTAGATTGTAAACGTGGGCTCACTGATGTAGCGGCAGAGGGGAGAGTCCTTACTCTGGAGGACAGTTCGGATTTGCACACTCCTCTGAGCATTCATTTTGTGTGTTTGTCACTAACGGTGAAGGAGGTGAACCAAACATTTTATAATGAATCTCCGACAGGAACAACTTGTTCTTTAAATTCAGAAGCCAAGAAACTTTCAATAGAATTGGTTTAGAGGGCCCGGGTGGTGGTTTTTTGTTTTTGGGGGGTATTTTTTGTAAACTCAAGTGGAGCAATTCTTATTCAGTCAGAACCAAAATCCTGTCTAACTATATTTGCATCACACTCGCTGGCACAAATTGCCTGGTGATGAAAATAAAAGAGCCTGTGTAAAAGTCTTGGAATAAAAACAACACACATAAGAAAAAGGAAACAGGATCTTGAAGGGAAATAGGAAGGAGAAAGAGGTCAACAGAGGAGAAATGGGGGAGGAGGGAAAAAGGGGGAGGGAGAGAATATCTATAGTCAGAGAATACTTGCATTGAAAGTTGCCTACAAGAATATCTAATCTAACTTAACAACCCTTACATTAATGGTTTGGATATTGAGGCACAGAAAGCCTAATTTGCACAGTAGCACTCAGTTAATAACAAAGCCTGTAGCCATAGTCTCACCACCTGTGTTCATTCTTTTTTCCTTCTACTCCTTACCCCTCAGGCAGGCTTATACATTAATTTGTTTAATATGCAATTAAAAATTTTATTTTTTTTAAAACTTTTATTTTAGGTCCAGAGGTACATGTGAAGGTTTGTTACGTAGGTAAACTTGTGTCACAGGAGTTTGTTGTACAGATTATTTCATCGCCCAGGTAATAAGCTCACTACCCAATAGTTATCTTTTCTGCTTCTCTCTCTCCTCTCACCCTTCATCCTCAAGTAGACTCTAGTGTCTGCTGTTCCTTTCTTTGTGTTCGTAACTTCTCATCATTTAGCTCTCACTTATAAGTGAGAACATGCAGTATTTGGTTTTCTGTTCCTGTGTTAGTTTGCTAAGGATATTTGCCTCCAGCTCCATCCATGTTCCCCCAAAAGACACAATCTTATTCTTTTTTATGTCTGCATAGTATTCCATGGCATACATATACCACATTTTCCTTATCCAATCTTTCAGAACATGCAGTTTTTAACTGGCTTGATTCATTGTGAGAAGAGAAACAACTGCCTCCTAGAAAAGTACAACAGAAAGGTTTGGATGCATTTGAAAGACTAAGAAAAAACCCAGGATATATTTTCATTCAAGCATCTGACATAGTTATTTGTCCAAACATAGCTGTTTGTACCTAAAAACTGAACGTTAAGTTTTCTTCTGGAGTATAGCACAGAAACTCCTTAAAGGCAGATTCCAAAGCTCCCTTCGTTGCTCTGGAAACTGGTTAATGTTCTTAGCCATCATGCCACGACTCACCTCATCCTTCCCTCAGGATGGGATTTCCAGAAGGACAAGAGTGAAGCTGGGAGAGGCTTCCATTATGATCTTCTAATCTTGCACTAAGGTACACGTGGGTCAACATCACACACACACACAGTCACATACAACACAAGCTACTCAAGGAATTTAGTCTTCTTCACTCATATCTACCTGTTATACCTGTAACAGTGTGGCCACAGGGGGGACAAAAAGTGCTATTCCAACTTATTAAAAAAATTTAGTTTTCTTCTTGCCCTGAAGAAAAAGTCCATTTCCCAGAACTACTGTAATAGGATGTTACAAGTATCTCTGACACCCAGAGATATGTATTCGGAATCTAACAAACTGGTGGGGCAGTGCCTCCCAAACCTCTTGGTACCAGCTGATGTGCTTGCAGGGAATGGCCAGTCTGTGGGACAGAAGTTGTAAGTTTAAGTTCCAGGGGGAGAGACTAGAGGAAAGGACCTTGGGGGGTTGTTTTCACAAAGGAAAGCAAGAGGCTTGGGGCACATGTATTGTTGCTGAAGGGCCTAAGAGCCAGACAGGGCCAGGGTAGGTCTGGGCTGGCGATTTCCACCTAGAACACAGTGTGGTTCTAGCAGTGCGTGCATCAAGAAAAGATGAAATAACAGACAGCAGTACTGGCCTCAGAAGGACTTTGCAGTTTTGGGGGCCCAGGAAACAGCAGCCTAGGCAGGGAGAATCATTGCTTTTGGAGAGCAGCCCAGCAGCAGCTGCAGTGGGGAGACACTGCCCTCAAGTGGCCTGTGGGCTGGGGACCTCAATGGTCCAGAACTCACCAGAGACATACCAGGATTAATTGGGGGACACTGAACATCCTGCTGTCAATGCTGTCAAATAGGTGGCAACTGTGAGCCCGCACATTCATATGTTAATGTTAGCATGATGTGCCCACGTGATCAGGAGGCCTGGGAAGGGGTCATTCTCTCCTTCCTCCTCTCATACCTGTGCTCCATCTTCCTCCAGAATTCCTGGATTCCAACTTCACAGATCAAGAGCATTTTCTCACAGCAGTCCTACGTCCTGACCATTGTGCAAGTGTATATTACACAGAGGCAGGAAGCCATTCATCTGCAGTCATTGTTGAGTTGTACCATTATTGTGAACATTTCGTGACAAGTGGCTGTGAAGTGACTTGAGGTTCAGGGTTTTTCCCCAATTTTTCTTATTGGGTAATGGAGGGACTTCCATTAGTGCAGGCCTCTGTTCCAGATATGGTTGTATCCTAGGAGATATCCACATGGATGGCCTCAGAGAAGACCCATCACCAGGACTGAAGTCAAAATGGAGGAAGTGTTAGACTTTCTGACATTGTTCCTGAGTAATTTCAGTTGGGGAAATATGGGGGAAAAAATGAGTGGATTCTTAGTGACTGGCCTTCAAATCGTGAGATGATCTGTAAAAACAAACCCCCTCTCCAGGCACTAGTTCCGAATTCAGGTCTAAGGACAGAAACTGTGTTCTATTCCCCTCTGTTTGTGCAATCTCAGCATAATGCCCATCACCAAGGTGTTTGTTGAGTTGAATTTTGTTGAATTCCTTTTTCAATAAGGTCTAGCAATAAATACATCAATAGCAAACAAATTAGGAGCTTTGCTACCACAAAATACAAGTGACCCCAGGGTGTAATGCAGACAGTTTGAGACTCTATGTCATAACTTGAGTGAGTTTGGAGCACTGGGTGGGAGAGAGAAACACAATAGGAAAAAAAGTTAACATTTGTTTTTTGTTTTGTTTTGATACAGAGTCTTGCTCTGTCACCCAGGCTGGAGTGCAGTGGCACAATCTCAGCTCACTGCAACCTCCACCTCCTGGGTTCAAGCGATTCTTATGCCGCAGCCTCCCGAGTAGCTGGGATTATAGGCGTGTGCCACCATGCCCAGCTAATTTTTGTATTTTTAGTAGAGATGGGGTTTCACCATGCTGCCCAGGCTGATCTTGAACTCCTGACCTCAGGTGATCTCCCCCCGTTGGCCTCCCAAAGTACTGGGATTATAGGCAGGAGCCACTGCACCCAGTCAAAAAGTTCACATTTGTTGAGCACTTACTATGTACTGAATGCTCTGCTTTCATTATCTCTATTGAGGGTTTGGTGTAGGGCTTGGGAGCTTCATTCTATCCTCTCACCTTCCACCCTTAAGGTTATAAACAAACAAACTTACTTATGAAGGACAATAACCAAATGGGAAACAAATGAACACTTTAGACATGGTAGCCCCACTGTACACTAATATTTAGGTTGGTACAAAAGTAATAGCGGCTTCTGCAATTAAAAGTAACTGCAATAACCACAGTTACTTTTGCACCAACCCAATACAAACTCTGAGTTGAAGAATTGAACTTAAAGGAGGCCTTTTGGTTCTTCCTCACCTGAATCTGAGATGGTCAGTTCCCCAGAAAAGATCCAACCTGATTTACCACACTCAGTTTCCAGTAGAGAAGGTGGGGCACAGAGACAATGTATGAGGTAGGGTCCTTTCTAGGCCTCTTACATCATGGAGACAGAAAATAAAAATAAGCATCTGGCCCATTCAAAGGACCCAGGCCCTCTTTCTGAAGCAACTACATCTTATTATTTATCTACTGCTATGTAACAAATTACCTCAACACTTGGTGGTTTTAAAACAACATTTATTATCTCACAGGTTCTGTGAATCGGAAATCTGGGCATGCCTTGACTGGGTCCTTGGGCTCAGACTGTGTTATACCACTGCAATCAGGCTGTCAACCAAGGCTCACTATGGAAGGGTCCACTTCCAAGCTCATTTATATGGTTGTTGATAGGATTCAGCTCCTTGTGAGCTATCGGACTGAGAACTTCAGTCCCTTATTGGCCTCTTGGCCAAAGGCTGCCCTCAGTTCCTGACACATGAGCCTCTCTATATGGTGGTGCATTATATGACAGCTTGCTTTATCAGAATAAGCAAGTGGGAAAAGCCAAGCAGAGCATGTGCAAACGAGAGAGAAGTCACAGTCTTTTGAAACCTATTCTCAAAAGTGATGTCTCCTCACCTTTATTATATTCTACTCATTAAAATATAAATGTCATTTAGAAAATTTGAAAATATGTGGAACAATAACAGTCATAAGTAACTATTATGTAAAGAAGAAATAAAAAGGAAAATCCAAAAATATAGGCATTTATAGCTATACATATTATAATGTATAGCTATAAATGCCTATATTAAAAAGAAGAAAGATGTCTTTTAAACACAAATATTTCCTATCGTGTTTTAAATATCTTTTAAATACAAAAATTAGCTGGGCATGGTGGCACACGCCTATAATCCCAGCTACTCGGGAGGCTGAGGCATAAGAATTACTTGAACCCAGGAGGTGGAGGTTGCAGTGAGCTGAGATTGTGCCACTGCACTCCAGCCTGGGTGACGGAGCAAGACTCTGTATCAAAACAAAACAAAAAACAAATGTTAACTTTTTTTCCTATCGTGTTTCTCTCTCCCACCATTTCCTTTAAGATGAATGAAATAAAAACACAACATACCAAAACTTACAGGATGCAGCTGAAGTGACATTTACTGGGACATGTATAGCTATAAATGCCTATATTATAAAAGAAAGATTTCAAATCAACCTAACCTCCACCTGAAGATGCTGAAGAAAGATCTAAAGCAAGGAGAAGATAGAAAATAATAAAGATTAGAATAGAAATTAATGAAACAAGGAAGAGAAAAACAATATATAAAAATCAATACCAAAAGCATGTTCTTTGAAAACATCAATAAAATTAACAAACCTTTAGCTAGATTGACAAAAAAAAAAAAGATTATAAAGGGAATACATGCAAAATATATGATATTATATGCAAAAACCTAGATAACCTGGATGAAATGAACAAATTCCTAGAAAGACATAAACTAATAAAACTGACCCAAGAAGAAATAGACACTCTGAACAAAACTGTAATAATGGAAAAGAATGAATTAGTAACAAAAAATCAGATTACTCAAAGAGAAAAGCAGGAACAGATGGCATCAATGCAGACATTCTACCAAATGTATAATTGATACCAACTTTTCACAAACTCAAATTCAAAAAAATAGAAGAAGGAACTCTTCCTAATTCATTCCATGAAATTAGAATATGAGATGATCTGTTCCCCAGAAACTGACCAGAAATTATTCTGATACCAAAATAAGACAAATGCATCACAGAAAGACTGCAGATCCATGTCTCTTATGAATATGTATGCAAAGATTGTAAACAAAAATACTAAGAAACCAAACTGGCAGTGTGCAAAAATTATACACATAACCAAGTACAATTTATCCCAGGAGTGCAAAGGTGGTTCAACACAAGAAAACCAATCAATATAATATACTGCATTAATAGAATGAAGGGAAAAAATCACATGATCATCTCAATTAATGCTGAGAAAGCATCTGACAAAATCTGACATTATTTCATGATTAAAAACATCAAACAAACTGGGAATAGAAAGGAATTTCATTAACTTGATAAAGGACATGTATGGAAAACCCACAGCTAACATCATACTTAATGGTGAAAGACTGAATTCTTTTCCCTTAAGATCTGTAACAACACAAGATGCCCATTCTCACCACATTTATTCAACATTGTACTGGAGGTTCTAGCCAGGACAATTAGGCAAGAAAAATAAGGTAAAAGCCATCCATTTTGGACAGGAAGAAGTAAAACTATCTCTATTCACAAATGACATAATCTTGTATATAGAAAATTCTAAAGAATCTAGTAAAAAAAACTATCAAAAGTAATAAACGAGTTCAACAAGATTGCAGAATACAAGATCAATGTAAAAAGATTGTATTTCTAGACTGATCTAGGGGGCATTCCAAGATGGCCGAATAGAAACAGCTCCAGTCTGCAGCTCCCAGCATGATCGATGCAGAAGATGGGTGTGATTTCTGCATTTCCAACTGAGGTACGTGATTCATCTCACTGGGACTGGTTGGACAGTGGGTGCAGCCCACAGACGGCAAGCCAAAGCAGGGTGGGGCATCACCTCACCTGGGAAGCACAAGGGGTCGGGGTATTTCCCTTTCCTAGCCAAGGGAAGCCATGACAGACTACCTGGAAAAATGGGACACTCCTCCCCAAATACTGTGCCTTTCACAAGGTCTTAGCAACTGGCAGACAAGGTGATTCTCTCCCATGCCTTGCTCTGTGGGCCCCACGCCCATGGAGCCTTGCTCACTGCTAACACAGCAGTCTGAGATTGATCTGTGAGATGGCAGCATGGTTGGGGTAGGGACGTCTGCCATTTCTGAGGTTTGAGTAGGTAAACAAAGCAGCCTGGAAGCTCAAACTGGATGGAGCCCACTGCAGTTCAACAAGGCCTACTGCCTCTAGACTCCACCTCTGTGGGCAGGGCATAGCTGTACAAAAGGCAGCAGGCAATTTCTGCAGAGTTAAACGTCCCTGTCTGACAGCTCTGAAGAGAGTAGAGGTTCTCCCAGCACAGCGTTTGAGCTCTGAGAACAGACAGACTGCCTCCTCAAGTGGGTCCCTGACCCCCATGTAGCCTAACTGGGAGACACCTCCCAGTAGGGGCTGACAGACACTTCATATAGGTGGCTGCCCCTCTGGGACGAAGCTTCCAGAGAAAAGATCAGGCAGCAATATTTGCTGTTCTGTAGCCTCTGCTGGTGATACCCAGGCCAGCAGGGTCTGAAGTGGACCTCCAGCAAACTCCAACAGACCTGCAGCTGAGGGACCTGACTGTTAGAAGGAAAACTAACAAACAGAAAGGAATAGCATCAACATCAACAGAAAGTCATCTACACCAAAACCCCATCTGTAGGTCACCAATATCAAAGACCAAAGGTAGATAAAACCACAAAGATCAGGAGAAACCCAGAGCAGAAAAGCTGAAAATTCTAAAAATCAGAGCACCTCTTCTCCTCCAAAGAATCGCAGCGCCCTGCCAGCAATGGAACAAAGCTGGATGGAGAATGACTTTGACGAGTTGACAGAAGTAGGCTTCAGAAGGTCGGTAATAACAAACTTCTCCGAGCTAAAGGAGGATGTTCAAACCCATCACAAAGAAGTTAAAAACTTTGAAAAAAGATTAGACAAATGTCTAACTAGCATAAACAGCATAGAGAAGACCTTAAGTGACCTGGTGGAGCTGAAAACCATGGCACGAGAACTTCGTGACGCATGCACAAGCTTCAATAGCCGATTCAATCAAGTGGAAGAAAGGGTATCAGTGATTGAAGATCAAATTAGTGAAATAAAGCAGGAAGACAAAGTTAGAGAAAAAAGAGTAAAAAGAAATGAACAAAGCCTCCAAGAAATATGGGACTATGTGAAAAGACCAAATCTACATTTGATTGGTGAACCTGAAAGTGATGGGAAAAATGGAACTGAGTTGGAAAACACTCTTCAGGATATTATCCAGGAGAACTTCCCCAATATAGCAAGGCAGGCCAACATTCAAATTCAGGAAATACAGAGAACACCACAAAGATATGCCTCAAGAGGAACAAACCCAAGACACATAATTGTCAGGTTCACCAAAGTTGAAATGAAGGAAAAAGTGTTAAGGGCAGCCAGAGAGAAAGGTCAAGTTACCCACAAAGGGAAGCCCATCAGACTAACAGTGGATCTCTCGGCAGAAACCCTACAAGCCAGAAGAGAACGGGGGTCAATATTCCACATTCCTAAAGAAAAGAATTTTCAACCCAGAATTTCATGTCCAGCCAAACTAAGCTTCATAAGTGAAGGAGAAATAAAATCCTTTACAGACAAGCAAATGCTGAGAGATTTTTCACCACCAGGCCTGCCTTACAACAGCTCCTGAAGGAAGCACTAAACATGGAAAGAAACAACCAGTACCAGCCACTGCAAAAACAGTCCAAATTGTAAAGACCGTTGATGCTATGAAGAAACTGCGTCAATTAACGGGCAAAATAACCAGTGAATATCATAATGACAGGATCAAATTCACACATAACAATATTAACCTTATATGTAAATGGGCTAAATGCCCCAATTAAAAGACACAGACTGGCAAACTGAATAACAAGTCAAGACCCATCAGTGTGCTATATTCAGGAGAACAATCTCACGTGCAGACGCATATAGGCTCAAAATAAAGGGATGGAGGAAGATCTACCAAGCAAATGGAAAGCAAAAAAAAAGCAGGGGTTGCAATCCTAGTCTCTGATAAAACAGACTTTAAACCAAAAAAGATGAAAAGAGACAAAGAAGATCATTACACAATGGTAAAGGGATCAATTCAACAAGAAAAGTTAACTATCTTAAATATATATGCACCCAATACAGGAGCACCCAGATACATAAAACAAGTCCTTAAAAAACTACAAAGAGACTTAGACTCCCACACAATAATAATGGGAGACTTTAACACCCCACTGTCAATATTAGACAGATCAATGAGACAGAAGGCTAACAAGGATATCCAGGACCTGAACTCGGCTCTGCAACAAGCAGACCTAGTAGACATCTACAGAACTCTCCACCCCAAATCAACAGAATATACTTTCTTCCCAGCACCACTTCGCACTTATTCTAAAATTGACCACACAATTGGAAGTAAAGCACTCCTCAGCAAATGTAAAAGAACAGAAATCACAACAAACTGTCTCTCAGACCACAGTGCAATCAAATTAGAACTCAGGATTAAGAAACTCACTCAAAACCACACAACTACATGGGAAACTGAACAACTTGCTCCTGAATGAGTATTGGTAAATAACGAAATGAAGGCAGAAATAAAGATGTTCTTTGAAACCAGTAAGAAAAAAGACACTATATACCAGAATCTCTGGGACACATTTAAAGCTGTGTGTAGAGGGAAATTTATAGCACTAAATGCCCACAAAAGAAAGCAGGAAAGATCTAAAATTGACACAAACAAATGGAAGAATATTCCACGCTCATGGGTAGGAAGAATCAATATCATGAAAATGACCATACTGTCCAAAGTAATTTATAGATTAAATGCCATCCCCATCAAGCTACCAATGACTTTCTTCACAGAATTGGAAAAAACTACTTTAAAGTTCATATGGAACCAAAAAAGAGCCCACATTGCCAGCACAATCCTAAGCAAAAAGAACAAAGCTGGAGGCATCATGTTACCTGACTTCAAATTATACTACAAGGCTACAGTAAGCAAAAACAACATGGTATTGGTACCAAAACAGATATATAGACCAATGGAACAGAACAGAAGCCTCAGAAATAGCACCACACATCTACAACCATCTGATCTTTGACTAACCTGACAAAAACAAGAAATGGGGAAAGGATTCCCTATTTAATAAATGGTGCTGGGAAAACTGGCTAACCACATGTAGAAAGCTGAAACTGAACCCCTTCCTTACATCTTATACAAAAAGCAATTCAAGATGGATTAAAGACATAAATGTTAGACCTAAAACCATAAAAACCCTGGAAGAAAACCTAGGCAATACCATTCAGGACATAGGCATGGGCAAGGACTTCATGATTAAAACACCAAAAGCAATGGCAACAAAAGCCAAAATTGACAAATGGGATCTAATTAAACTGAAGAGCTTCTGCATGACAAAATAAACTACCATCACAGTGAACAGGCAACCTACAGAATGGGAGAAAATTTTTGCAATCTACTCATCTGACAAAGGGCTAATATCCAGAATCTACAAAGAACTCAAACAGATTTACAAGAAAAAAAACAAATGACCCCATCAAAAAGTGGGTGAAGGATATGAACAGACACTTCTCAAAAGAAGGTATCTGTGCAGCCAACAGACACATGAAAAAATACTCATCATCACTGGTCATCGGAGAAATGCAAATCAAAACCACAATGAGATACTATCTCTCATCAGTTAGAATGGCAATCATTAAAAAGTCAGGAAACAACAGATGCTGGAGAGGATGTGGAGAAATAGGAAAGCTTTTACACTGTTGGTGTGAGTGTAAATTAGTTCAACCATTGTGGACAACAGTGTGGTGATTCCTCCAGGATCTAGAACTAGAAATACCATTTGACCCAGCAATCCCATTCCTGGGTATATACCCAAAGGATTATAAATCATGCTACTATAAAGACACATGCACACATATGTTTATTGCGGCACTATTCACAATAGCAAAGACTTAGAACCAACCCAAATGTCCATCAGTGATATACTGGATTAAGAAAATGTGGCACATATACACCATGGAATATTATGCAGCCAAAAAAAGGATAAGTGCATCTCCTTTGCAGGGACATGGATGAAGCTGGCAACCATCATTCTCAGCAAACTATCACAAGGACAGAAAACCAAACACTGCATGTTCTCACTCATAGGTGGGAATTGAACAATGAGAACACTTGGACACAGAGTGGGGAACATCACACACCAGGGCCTGTCGTGGGGTCGGGGGAGGGATAGCATTAGGAGAAATAACTAATGTAAATGATGAGTTGATGGGTGCAGCAAACCAACATGGCACATGTGTACCTATGTATCAAAACTGCACATTGTGCACACATACCCTAGAACTTAAAGTATATAAAAAAAGATTGTATTTCTACATACTTGTAATAAACAAATCAAAAATAAAATTATGAAATTAATCCTATTACAATAGCATCAAAAAGAATAAAACACTTAGGAATAAACTTAAAAGAAGAATAAAACTTGGAAAACTACAAAACACTGTTGCAAGAAATTAAAGGGAAATCTTAATAAATTTTAAAAATCTCATTTTCTTAGATTGGAAGCCTTGATATTGCTAAGATGACAATACTTTCTAAATCGATCTACAGATTCAGTGTAATTTCTATCAGATCCTAGCTGACTGCTTTGTAGAAATTGATAAGCTGATTCTAAAATTCATATGGAATTGCAAGGAATCTAGAAAAGCCAAAAAAATCTTGAAAAAGAAGAACAAAGTAGGAGGACCCACACTTCCAGATTTTGAAAGTTACTCTGAAGTAACAGTAACCAAGACAGTGTGATATTGGCATAAAGATAGATATATAGCTCAATGGAACAGAATTGAGAGTCCAGAAATAAACACATGTATTTATGGTCATCTGATTTTCAAGAAGGGTGCAAGACCATTCAACAGGGAAAAGATAGTCTTTTCAATGAAGGCACTGGAACAAGTGGATAGTCACAGGGAAAATAATTAATTTGGACACTTACTGCATAACATATACAAATAATTAACTCAAAATGGATCAAGATCACAATGTCAAAACTAAAACTATACAATTATTGGAATAAAACACAGAGATAAATCTTCATGACTATGGATTTGGCAATGGAGTCTTAGATCTGACACCAAACATATGAGCAATGAAAAAAAAATGGATTGGATTTTATCAAAATTGAAAACTTTTGTGCATCTAAAGACACTATCAAGAGAGTAAAAAGACAGCTTATGGAATGGAAGAAAATATTTATAGATCATATATCTGATAAGGGACTTGTA
The DNA here is from genome assembly GCF_000001405.40 of Homo sapiens. NCBI lineage: Eukaryota > Metazoa > Chordata > Mammalia > Primates > Hominidae > Homo > Homo sapiens. The sequence goes on along the minus strand of NC_000018.10, from coordinate 50,497,607 downwards.
TCCAGAATACACAGAACTCTTACAACTCAACAATAAAAGGACAAATAGTTCAATTTAAAAATGGGTAAAAATCGTGAATAGAAATTTCTCCAAAGAAGATATACAAATGGCTAATAAGCACATGAAACAGTGCTCAGCATCCATAAAAACCACAAGGAGATACCACTTCACCCTAACATTGCTAATTTAATTTTAAAAAAAGAAAATAACTTGTTGGTGAGGATGTGGAGAATTCAAGACCCTCATACACTGCTGGAGGAAATGTAAAATGTTGCAACCGCTTGGAAAACAGTCTGAAAGTTCCTCAAATGATTGAGCATAGAGTTGCCATATGACCCAACAATTCCACTCCAAAGTATGGATGCAAGAGAAATGAAAACATGTCTACACAAAAACTTGTACTTGAAGGTTTGTAGCAGCATTATTCATAATAGCCAAAAGGTGGAAACACCTCGAATGTTCATAACTGATGAATGGATAAACTAAATGTGATATATCCATACAATGGAATATTGTGCAGTCATAAAAAGGAATGAAATACTGTTACATGCCACAAGATGGATGAACTTTGAAACCGTTATGCTAAGTGAAAGAAACCAGTCGCAAAAGGACCACATATTATATGATTCCATTTCTATAAAATGTCCAAATAGGCAAATATTTAGAGACAGAAAGTAGATTAGTGCTTGCTTAGGCATAGGGGAATAGGGAGTTGATAATTAAAGTGTACACAGTTTCCTTTTCAGGTGATGAAAATGTTCAGATATTGTTGTTGGTGATGGTTTCATATATCTTTGAGTATACTTTATTTAATATTGATTTTTTTGAATAAAACCATTGAATTGTACACTTTAAATGAATGAATCATATGTGGATGATATCTCAATAAAGCCACTTAAAAAAAAGAAAAAGAAAGTCCCCAGGTCCAGCCCACACTTAAGGGGATGAGATTATGTGTAGGCATGAGTATCAGGAGGAGATCATTGGGGACCATCTTAGAATTCTGCCTACCACATGCATGAAAAAGAAGAGGTAGAAGTGAATCTTCTTTTCATGGGTGCAGAAGAGCAAAACGATTATCATTTTGTGGTATGTTGTGTCTTCATCCACTAATAAAATATGGCCCAGTGATATCCTGGGCCCTGATCAATCAAAGGCCCTGATAAGAATGAGCAACTTTTCCTTCAATGGAGGGGTTAGCTAAGAAGTGGTAAATAATTGAGTGGGATATGGTTAGGGCCAGAGTTGTGAGTAGTATTGGACCATCCTTAATCATCTCCTTTGAATTTTTATACATGATAAGGTAGGCATTATCATCCTCATATAATATACAGAAATTAAATATACCAATGTCACAAAGCTTAGAAGCGGAAGTATCAACATTCAAATCTAAGTCTTTCTGATTTCAAAGAACATTTTAGTTCTTATACATCAGTGCTAAGCAACCCTCTTTTTTTCTTGGTTTGAGAGCTAATTTAGGAAAGATTAACATGGTTACTATATTTTTTCACCAAGCAAACTAAAAATGACTTTATTGAATCTCAACGGGGAGGGGGGGAAATGTGTATTCATACAATTTATATTACCTACTTTACTGAATAGAAGAATGCCAATAAGAAAATTGGCTCTGTTTTTAGCTACTAAAATAGTAATATCTGTGTGCATTTAAGAAGTATAACAGACAACAGTATTTTAATCTTTTATACTTGCATTTGGATGGTACTTTAGAGATCACTAAATGTGTTTATATGTATTACCTTGTTTATTTCTCAGAACATACCTTACAAGATGGTTATCATTACCAGCCAATTTTGAGGAGGAAAAACCGAAATCTGAGAGGTAAAATAATTTGCCCAAGGTTACTCAAGTTTAACCACAGCTGAGATAAAGTTGGTTCATTTGGTTCAATTCAATATTTACCAAATGTATTAGTCAGGATGCCTATGGCTGCAAGTAAAAGAATACTACATTAACATTTACTTAAGCAATAGATACATATAATCACCTTGCATTTTTTTTTATTATTATACTTTAAGTTTTAGGGTACATGTGCACAATGTGCAGGTTTGTTACATATATACATGTGACATGTTGGTGTGCTGCACCCATTAACTCGTCATTTAACATTAGGTATTTCTCCTAATGCTATCCCTCCCCCCTCCCCCCACCCCACAACACGCCCCGGTGTGTGATGTTCCCCCTCCTGTGTCCATGTGTTCTCATTGTTCTATTCCCACCTATGAGTGAGAACATGTGGAATCACCTTGCATTCTAAGAAATCTGTTGGTAGGTAGCTCCAAGCTGAGTGCAGTGGCTCTACAATGTCATCAAAAGCCTAGATAGAAAGATCCTATCTTTCTGATTTGCCATGAGGATGTTGGATTTTGGTCCTTGAGCTTTTAGTCTCATAGCTGAAAGGTGCTGCTCAGCTTCAAATATGATATTTTCATTTCAGTGCCCCAAGCAAGGAAAAGGGAGAAAGCATGGTCACATACAACAATCCTCTAACACTTTCTCCTATTATGAAGAAAACATTCCCAGAAACCCCTCTTTAATCTCAGTAAGTCACAAGTTCATCTCTTGCTAGATGATGGCTGGGAAAATATCTGGAAAGAGGTATGGGATTACTATATCTGCTTTAGACCAATCATAAGTCATCCTGTGAGGCTGGAGGAAGCCTACCTCCCTGAGATCAAAGGGTTTTCATCATGCAATTGAGTAAACCAAGATTCTGTTATTGGGAGGAAGGTAGGTGGCAGGTCGGTTGGGTAGACAGCCATGTTCACCAGGCTGCACTATCCCTGGGGAGAAGGGTTGAGTAACACATGGCTCCACATGACTCAACACGGATGTTCCTCTCCTGCGGTTGTACTCCACTCTCAACCCCCAGTGGGGTAGGAAAGAACAAGACATATAGCACAATGTTGTGCAGCCCCACCACTGACCACTGTCAGTTTCCACAAAGGGCTGGCACTAAGTTTCTCTGGCTACTCTGAAATGGGCTGGACATCAATGGTTATCCTTCTGCCAGTGTGTAGGCTCCCCCATCACATCCAATTTTCCTCTTTAGCACATTCTGCACTAAGCTGTCAGAAAAATATTTTCAAAACATAATCATAGCAGGGTAAAAAGTTACCTCATAACCTGTTCAAAACCCTTTAATCACTGGCCTTTGTTCTACAATAAAGATCAAAACCTTAAGGTAGACAAGGCCCTGCATGGCTGACCTCTGGCTACTTTTTTTTTCAGTCCCATTTCATGCTTCCTTAGAAAAGAGTTCCCCCAACAGATTAGGCCCTTTAATAATATACTTCCAAGACCCAGTGAAGTGTTTCTTGACCTCACTTACTATAGTGTGCAATTTTAAAATTATTTTTGTGATTGTTTGATTAATGGCAGATTTCTCTCCTAGAGTATAAGCACTATAAAGACAGGAACTTTCTTTTTTGGTTCCCATTTGCAGCAGACATTGATTGCTAATGAACTCCCAATATCTAGTTTCTAGTTTTTCTTTAGAAAAAGAATCCTAGGCTGGGTGTGGTGGCTCATGCCTGTAATCCCAGGACTTTGGGAGGCTGAGGCAGGTAGATCACTTGAGCCCAGGTGTTCAAGACCAGCCTAGGTAACATGGCAAAACCCCATCTCTACAAAAAATTAGATGAGCATTGTGGCATGCACCTGTAATTTCAGCTACTCAGGAGGCTGAGGTGAAAGAATCATCTGAGTCTGGGTGGTCAAGGCTGCAGTGAGCCATGATCATGCCACTGCCTGGTCAACAGGGTGACATCTTGTGTCAAAAAAAAAAAAAAAAAGAATTCTAGATTTATTGAGGGCAGTGATGCACCCAGCTAAAATACTACATATCCCAGCTTCTCTGCCCATCCCAGCTTCCCTTGCAGCTAGATGTGGTCATATGGCTAAGTTCTGGCCAATTAGATTTAATTAGATTGTAGTGTGGTAGTTCTAGGAAGTCTCCTTAAAAGGAAGGGCAGGAGCCCCTCTTTATTTCTTTCTGCTTGTGGGAATTTGAATACTGGAGCTGAATCTGGAGCAGCCAATTTAGACCATGAGAGGCCATGCCAAGGATGGGAGAATAGCAAGCTAGATAAAGCCTGGGTCCTTGACCACCCTGCAACTGCCATACAAGTCCTGGGATGAGTGCCTACCTCTAGACCACGTCATGTGTGAGAAAAATAAAATTAGATTCTTTAAGCCACCATTTTAGTTTTTTCTTTCTGTCACATGCCATCAAGCTTGATAACAAATACAATATTGAATCATCTAGCTTGTGCATAGTAGAATCTCAGTAAACATCCATGGAAGGACGAAGGGAAGGAAAGAAGGCAGGAAGGCAGGCTGTGGTAGAGAATAAGTGTCACATATCATAAATGTGTAAGCAAAAACTATGACAATCTAGAAATTGATCCATCTAAGATAATTAGGAAAATTCTTGAATTTGGATCTTCTGATTTGTTTCATTGCTTCCATAACTCACTGTATGTACCTCTTTGGTGGTACTGCCATGCTGGTTGCTGTTGTTTTATTCCATAAGTAATGTATGCTCACTGTAAAAAGAATGGTTTTTGAACATATAGAGGGATATAAAGTGAAATTAAAAATTGTCCTGTATGCCAGAGTCCCCAAAGCCAAGCCTTCAGAGATAACCAGTCATCCAGCATGCTTCCAGAAATGTTCTGCTCATATGTAAGCATATGTATCTTCTCTCCATATATATGTATAAATAACTCTTGTTACTCAGATGGGATTGTATCACTTAGGCTGTTCTGCTCCTTGCTCTTTTCTCCTAATCATGTGCCTCTGGCCACCTCCAGCCTGTTTATAGTAGTCTGTTTTGGTGTTTATCATATACTAGACAGCAGCCTCATTAGAAGTACGTTCTGTGCTTCCTCATCTTTGAAGTTCTAGAACCTAAAACAGGTGCTTAATAAATAGTGCTAAATGAATGCTGAGGAAATAGTTAAGTCGGGCCTTGAAGTTGACGCAAAGCAAGTGACAAAGGTGCAATTTTCCTCACTGACAGGATGTTCTTCTTTTAAAGACAGCCTTATGGTCACTGGACACATTATTCTCATGTCCCTGAGTCTCCTAAGGACTTTTCAACAAGCCACAAGCATTGGTGCTTCAGAACAGGGAGCATCTGGAAGTGTTAAATGAGTTAAACTTCTCAGCTGGAGCTAGTGGAGCTGCCCAAGACACAGAAAGAAGAAAAATAAAATAAAAAGAGCCAGACACTTAAATTAAACTAAAGTGCTGGCTCCCTGCATCCCAAAGCCTCCCTTGGGGTCTCATTAAAATGCAGCTCTGGAGAAGGAGAAAGAGCCTCCACCGGCCACAAGGGGAAGGCTCCGTTTAGGCCAGTCTGAGGGAAATTATTGAACCTTTTTTTTTTTTTTTTTTTACTATTAAAGGGCACTAAAAAAAGATTCATAGCAAGTCTCAGACCTCTGAGGTGTTGGCACTTTCACAAAGAAGACTTGTGTCTGGAAGTAAAACTGTGAGACACAATAAAAGGGAGAATATAGCTATTCCTGGCCCCCTTTTCCAAAAAATTTGTATTGCTTTTATGTTCTGCCCATTTTAAGTTTTCATTTATTGGTTGTCTTAGTTCTTTTGTGCTGCTATAACAGAATATTGCAGACTGGGTAATTTATAATGAACAGAAATGTATTGACTTACAGTTCTGGAGGCTGGGAAGTCCAATATCAAGGTGTTGGCAGGTTTGGTGTCTGGTAAGGGCCTTGTGTCTATGCCCAAGATGATGCCTTGAGTGCTGCATCCTCCAGAGAGGAGCACTGTTCCTCACATGGCAAGGGTGCAGAAGAGCCCAGAGAGCCTGCTTCTGCAAGTTCTTTTATTAAGGCATTAAACCCACCTGTGAGGGCAGAATCCTCATGGCCTAATAACCTCTTAAAGGCCCCAACTCCCATACCATTACATTGGCAATCAAATTTCAACATGAGTTTTGGAGGGGACAAACATTAAAATCAAAGCATTGGGTTACAACCTAATTTTAACAAACCTGACAGGACATTAAATTTGCTTCATTAAATCCAAATAGGTATGAATGGAAATCTATTACAGCCATGTACAAAAGGAGTGTTTACAAAACTCCTCATCTCCTCAGCAACCCCAACCACCCTCCTAACCCTCATACCTCTGATACCAATCCTGCTTTTAGGAAGAATCGAAGGCAGCACTCCTCTAGGGGAATATGAAATCAACCCTGCCCTCTGATATTCTCTGACTTTTTTGTGGCCCAGTTCTAGTAGCTACCTTCTAAGAAAGGCTGCTAGTGTTTGTTAAGCATTTGGTGGGTACTGTAGGAAAAAAATGTGCTTAAGTGGAAAACTGTGTATTATTTGGACTCTAAAGGACACCCCAGGGATTATCTGATTCTATGGAAGCTATTTTACTTCTTGATAAATTATAGATAACTGATAGCAATGAAAAATAATTCTTACCTTTAGACATGCAAATTCTTCCCTAACTGGTAGAAGTTGAACTGACTTTTCTCCTCTGCTGTGGAAAATGCTACCTTTGCCTCCATTTGCATATTCATTTCAACATTCCTTAACTCCTATAAATCTGTGTTTTTAAAATTTCTCCTTTGAAATGATTATGACATCTGGTTCTCTCATTGATTCATTAATTGATAAATCCTTAACACATTTTCATTTCTCATCTGTATGAGTCATGATTTTACCTTTTAAAAAATTGTTCTAATGAGTACACATACTAACATTTAGAATGTACACACTTTGATATATATGTGGGTACATCTATGCACTATTATACATACACAGTGCTTTAGGAGCCCAAAGGAGTAAGAATAGAGCAGGTAACATTTCAGCTTAGTCTTGAGTGGTGGATAAAAATGTACAAGGCAGACAGGTGAGATGCAGGTACTCCATAAGGAGGGAACATAAGCTACCACAGTGGAGAGACACCACAGAACTGGAGATGTTTGGGGACTAAAAGAAGTTTCAGTGAGCAGAAGGCAGGATGCAAAATGGAGGCTGAGGCAGATGAGAGACAGGAGCTAAGTCATAAAGGACCCTGGGTGCAGGGAAAGGTGTTTGGGATTAGCTTCCACTATGGTTTGAATGTGCCCCCAAAAGTTCATATATTGGAAACATAATTGCCAATGGAACAATATTAAGAAGTAGGGCCTTAAAGAGGTTATTGAGTCATAAGGGCTGAGCCCCCAAGAAGAGATTAATGTCATTATCTTAGTAGTGAGTTTGTTCTCTCAAGAGTAAATTTGTTTTCATGAGAGCAGGTTGTTATAAAAGTAAGCTTGGCTCCCTCTTGCAGTCTCTTCCACATGCATCTACTTGCCCTTCAGCTTTCCCACCATGTTATTACACAGTATGAAAGCCCTTACCAGAAGATGCTGCCATGCCCTTGGACTTCCCAGTCTCCAGATCCATGAACCAAATACACTTTTTAAAATATAAATTACCCACTCTGTTGTGTTCTGTTACAGCAGCAGAAAATGGACTAAGCTTTGAAATCACACAATGGCACTGAATGGGTTTAAGCAGACTTTTAAAATATATAATCTAATAACAGCATCTGGTCTGTTAGGATGGAAGAGAAGTAAACAACTCAGGATCCATTGTATGTGGCCAGGTTCTGCCCTGTGAACTGGGGAGCAAAGGAGGTGGAAAGAGAAAGGGAAGGGAGAGCAGTGAGAACAGGAGCCGAGATGAGATCCTGGCAGACTTTGAGTTCCATAAAACCCTCATTATTTCCTATTTAAACTAGGGCAAGTGGGTCTCTGTTGACTGACTCTTGTTATACCGTATTTTATCAGTGTTCTATGGTTCACAGAGAATATAATTATCATTTCATTCTGCAACCTGAGGAGGGTGGCATTTGAAATATATAGATGAGAAAACTGAGTCTCAGGCAGGTTCCATGGTTGAGGGAAGAGAATAGTTAGAAACCACCGTGGTGGTCCAGGAAAGAAATGACTCAGGCTTGACCAAGGCAGGGATTTTATGGGAAGGGAGGCCTGTTTGGGAGACAGAGTTGCTGAAGATGGGGAGAACAACTGGATGTAGGAGCCAGGGAAAAGGAGGCACCTAGGTCTGAGTTTCAGAGGTGGTGGTTATTCTGTTTGTTTCCCAGCAGGATAATTTGTCTTCAAATGAACTTTCTGGCACTGCTGTTTGAGTTGAAGTGGGAGCAGTGATGAGCTGGCCTCCCATACCTGCCTGCAACCTAGGCAAATTAAGCCAAATTAACTGTTAACTGTTAACAATAATAAAAGAGCCAGGCAGCTCAGTTTGTGGGTTAGTCAGTGTTCTCTAGATGGACAGAGCTAATAGGACAGATGTGTGTATCAAGGGGAGTTTATTAAGGGGTATTGACTCACACGATCACAAGGTGAAGTCCCACAATGGGCCATCTGCAAGCTGAGGAGCAAGGAAGCCAGTCCGAGTCCTAAAAACCTCGAAAGTAGGAAAGCAGACAGTGCAGCCTTCAGTCTGTGGCTGAAGGCCCGAGAGCCCCTGGCAGATCACTGGTGTAAGTCCAACAGTCCGCAATCTGAAGAACTTGGAGTGTGATATTCGAGGGCAGGAAGCATCCAGCATGGGAGAAAGATGAAGGCCAGAAGACTCAGTGAGTCTAGTCCTTCCATGTTCTTCTGGCCACTTTATTCTAGCCATGCTGGCAGCTGATTAGATGGTGCCCACCCAGATTGAGGGTGAGTCTACCTCTCCCAGTCCCCTAACTCAAATGTTAATCTTCTTTGGCAACTCCCTCACAGACACACCCAAGAACAACACTTTGCAACCTTCAATCCAATCAAGTTGACACTCAATATTAGCCATCACAGTTGGTGAAAATTCTTATCTCCTTTTACAGATAAGAAAACTGAGATCAGGAAAATTAAGTAACTAGACCACAAATACAATTATGGAATTATGGAGTTCAATTGAGCAATGAATGATTCCTGAATTGGGCAGCCCCCAGAATCACTGCAGATTTGGAGAAACTCCAGGAATGCCTCGTGGTCAGAAAAAGTTTATAGACAACTAAAAGAAGTGACATACAGAAATCAGAAGTGAGGTACAGAAACAACTGGATTGGTTACAGCTCGGTGTTTGCCTTATTTGGACACAGTTTGAACACTCAGCAGTCTATGAGAGGTTGAAGTGTGGCTGCTGGATTGACTAAGATTCAGCTATTGTTACAGATGCATACTCCTAAGTTAGGTTTTCAATCTTATCTACCTATTAAGTTAGGTTGTGGTTCACCCATAAGGACTGAAATATTGAAGTATGGAGTCCTTCTCAGGCCCTATTTAGTTTGCTTTAACAATTCCCCCCTTTTGGTCACTTTCTCAATTTTGAGAGCTTGACCAACCAAAACTTTAGTCATTGATGTCACTATCACCATCATAAATGTACTTATTTGGTCTTGAAACCCACTGGGAAAGAGTAGAACAGTCAGTTTTGCAAAGGTAGGAACAAGGACTTTTGTAGAGGGTACCTCCTTGTGCTGGAACATCCTGTTTACAGGAGAATAACAAAATCTGGTCTGGTCTAGGATCTATGTATTTCATTAAAGTCTTAGTTGATTATGTCACATTTAGCATGAATGACTCTGTCTTGGTTTGGTTTGATCTGTTGGGGCCTAATACACGAGCTCAGTCCAAAACAATGGCCTTCCACAATTTTGTTTTAAAAATTCCCCTTTTTTGGTCAGGTTCCTACTTAGATGAGAGTATGACCAAAACTGAGGGCCTTAGCACCACTCTCAGTTACCATGATTTTGGGTTTCTGGTCTCAGCATGTCATTCATAGGTTACAGTGTCCTCATGGCCACACATTTCTTTTAGCTCTGGTCATTTCAGTTGAAGAGAGACCATTTGACACATGTAATGTAACATATTTAAACATCTTTAAGGCCATTCTGTCTACTGCACTTAGAAAACACAAAAAGACCCATTCACTGGAGATTTGTTTTTCCTGTTTTTGTTTTCATAGGATTCAGGACATGCTACCCCAAAATATGGCACTTTGGCATTTGAGAAAACAGCAGAAGCAGGAAGGTTACTTTCACCTTCTCCTCAGCCTTCTCCCCTGAGGGAGGTCATAAAACTGTCATTCCAAAGGTTCCTTCCCTAAACCTGGAGGAAAGTAATATCCTCATTCTTGAAGACACAGGAACACAGAGAAGAATCTGAATAAACAGGCTTTGCTAAATTTTCCCATTTGTTACCATGAGATTGTACCCCTTTTGTCCAATCTTATTTCTCTATACCTATCCACTTCTTCATTAAACTTAACATAAAAATACACAGTTTTCCCTGTCTCTTTGGGTCAGTATTTCTGAAATCTTTCATAACATGTGAAACTTAATATTAAATAAGTTTGTATGCTTTTCTCTTGTTAATTTCTCTTTTGTTATAGGTGCCCCAGCCTTAAACTAAGTGTTGAGTGAGAAAAGGTATTTTTCTCCCTATAGTTTCACACTTTGCTAAGTGCTTTGGCTCAATGGGATCAAAATCATGATTTCCTAATTCAGGGATCAGCAAAACATGGCCCATGATTTGGCCTGTGGCCTCTTCTTTTTTTTTGGCTCCCAAAGTAAGAATAGTTTTCACATTTTTAAATTATTTTAATTTTTTTCTTTTTCTTTTTAAGCGACAGAGTCTTTCTCTGTTGCCCAGGCTGAAGTACAATGATACAATCATAGTTCCCTGTAACCTCAGACTCCTGGGCTCATGTGATCCTCCCAACTCAGCCTCCTGAGTAGCTGGGACTACAGGTACATGCCACCATGCCTGGCTGGTTTTCACATGTTTAAATGGTTGGAAAAAAACAGAATATTTCATGACCCATGAAAAGATTATGAAATTCAAATTTCAGGGTCTTTAAGTAAAGTTTTATGGGAACACAGTCATGCTCATTCATCTGTGTATTGTCTGTGGGGGCTTTGGTGCTAAGCAGCAGAATTGAGCCATTGCAACAGAAACCAAATGGGCCACAAATCTGACAATATTTACTATGTGGCTGTTGACAGAAAAAATTACCAACACCACGCCCATCAACTACTACCAGCTGGGGCCAATATGGAACTGCTTCCCATCTTCTCTGGCCTTTACACGTGGATTACAACTAAAATCCAGCTGAGATCTTTCCTGCTTTCTGTATTCAGCCACCAACAAGGCTTTTGTTCTGAGAGTATCATTTTATTTGTTTTTTACTTGTTTAAATAAAATAAACCCAATCTGGTTTTAATATTTGAAATTTTTTTTTATGTCAGCTCATTTTCTGCAGGGTGATGTTTTATAACTACATTGTATTTCCTCAAAAGGGAGTCACCAATCCCCTACTCTTGAACATGTAGATTTTAAACCTTTTATTATAAATAATGGTGTGAGGGATATCCTTGTACACATGACAGAAGAAAGAATTTGTAATTTAAGCCTCTGTTTCCTTCTATGGAGAGTGACATCTGATAGCAGGAGAGTTCTGTATTTTTCTGAATTCCAGGATGGATTTGGGTGTGAATGGCTGGAGGTAGGAGTGAGAACAGGCAGCAAAACAAAAGGATGAAAGCGCAGAGAAGAGTGAGCAGGAACCAGGACTGCATGCTCTGAAAGAGAAGCACAGGGGTGGTGGGGCACAAAAGGGATTTGGGGTAACAGAAACATCGGATGAAGACTCATAATTTGCTATTAATGTGCTGTAAACTCCCTCTTTTATCTCCTCTACAAAATCTTCAGTAAAGTCTTGGGGGTGTCCAATCTTTTGGCTTCCCTGGGCCACATTGGAAGAAGAAGAATTGTCTTGAGCCACACATAGAATACACTAACAACAGCTGACGAACTAAAAAAATATAAGAAATCACAAAAAAATCTCACAATGTCTTAAGAAAATTTATGAATTTGTGTTGGGCCGCATTCAAAGTTGTCCTGGGCTTCAAGCGGCCCACAGGCCATGGGTTGGACAAGTTTGGTCTACATTGTTCATTGACTTGTGTTTCAAGTAGAGTATTTGGGGGAACTTGAAGCGCTACGGAGTTACATCCAGGTTGACATGGGGTCAGAGCCAAGCAATTGCAGAAGGAGGGGCTGAGGATGAGGGGACCTTGGCTTAAGCTGCATGCTGCTTTTCCTCTATCACTAATATTTCTTTGGGTAAATTCTTAGAACTGCAATTGCTAGGTCAAAGGGCATCTTCTTAAAGCTTTAACAGACATTACCAAGTTTCTTCTCCTGGAGAGTTGTAAATTGTAAATTGGTACAGCAGCAGCCTTGTATAAAAGTAGCATTTCATTGCATCCTTGCAAACATTGTCATGGCTTTAGCCTCTATCAGTGTGTGGTCCTGGCCAGTTTGTCCTCAGACCTCTTTCTCACCCTTTGCTTTCTCTGCTATGTATTAAAGACGAGAGGTGACCACAGCAGGCTGCATTTATCCAGCTTTATCCACCTAGGTGTGGCCAATGGGCAGTATCAATGGGACATTGGAAAGTAAAAGGAAGAGGGAAGCCAAGGTATTTCTCTCCCTCCCTCTCTACTGGAGAAGACATATCTGGTAGTTGCTGCGTTCCCTGGAGTGTGGAGTGAGGAGTGTCCCCAGCCCCTGGCTCTGGCAACACCACCTCCTCTTCCTGTCCTTTCAGCCTAAAGGTGATCATCTTTTCCTGTCATTGCTAATTTTCTCTAAGTTACTTCATGGTCCTCTGTTTACACTCTTGGCTTTTTCCATCACCTGTGTAACCAAGACCCTGAATTAAAATCCTGTCTTGGTAAATATGTGAAATTGTTCCTGTTTCCTGGTTGTACTGCAACTGATAAGGCCAGTTTCATGGTAAAAAATAGCGTGTTATCCTTTTGATTGTATGTTTTTTGTTTTGCTATTCTTGAGGTTGAATCTCTTTCCTATGTATTTACCTTTTGTCTTCTTTGTTTGTGAATTGCCCGTTTATGTCCTTTGCCTATATTTCTATTTCTAATTGACATTCATCTATTTTTTATTAAGTTCTCTTCCTGTATTGAGACTCAACCTTTCTTGCATGTCTTATACAGTACAAATATTTTTCCAGTGCTTCATTAACCTTTTAATTTTATTTGTAAGACTTGGTATACAGAGCCTTTCAGTTTTATCTAGTAAATCTCTTCGTCTTTTTTCTGTATGCTGCTTCTTTTATTTTTATCCTTTGAAAGATCTTCCATACTCCAAATGAAACAATTTTTTTCCCAACTCTCTTATGGTTCCATTTTTATCATTTAACTCTTTAATCCATTTAGATTTTTTACTCAATGTGTCAAATAAGAAAAAAAAACTCTTTTTTTTCTAACTCTAACCTTTATGTTTTCCTCAATATAAAACCACATGTCCTGATACCATTGCCTGAGTAATTAATCCTCTCCCATGGTTGGAAATGCCAACTTTGTCATTTACTAAAACTCGCACTTGAGTCTATTTGACGATCTTTTAATGTTTTTGGGGGTTACATCTTTTTTAACCCTTCCTGTCCCATTTTAATTTTTTTTACTCCTTCATTGCCTTAAATCTTCTTTCTGTCCAAAGAAAAATTTCACTAACTTAAAAAAAAATTATCCCCCAAACCACATATTTTACAAAATTCTGTATTCAACCCAGACATTCACTGGCCACATTCTCTGGTGGGCTATTTGATTATGACATTGAATGTTTAAATTGATAATACTTTGGAATCTGATTTCCCTGAAAATTGATGTCTTTAAACTTTAGCCTCACATATTCTCCCTCTCCAAATCTCAGAATCTTCAAGAAACCTCCAGATGTGTTCATGTGACAGACTAGTGTGTCCATACCTAAGATTTATGGCTTCAGGGAAGGTGCAAGCATCAGGTTCAGCCAGATGTTCCAGGCAGCACACTTCTTCCATGGGAGCGCACTCATCACAGAGAGATCTTGAGAGAGTAAATAAAGTTTAGTTCATACATTAACCGGCCTGATGAATGCCTTCTTCAAATGGTAGCCTGTTGTCTTAAATCATTCATGCTGCTATAACAAAATACTTGAGACTAGGTAATTTTAAGGAACAGAACTTTATTTCTCACAGCTCTGGAAGCTGTGAAGTCCAAGATCAGGCACCAGCAGCTTCCGTGTCCAGGGAGGGCCTGGTCTCTGCTTCTAAGATGGTGCCTCATTTCTGTGTCCTCCAGAGGGAATGAATGTTGTGTCCTCACATGGTGGAAGGTGGGAGGGCAAAGGGGAACTAGGGCTCTCCTTTCAACCTCTTCCATCAAAGAGTGCTAGCCCATTCATGAGGATGGGACCCTGATGACTTAATCACCTCCCAAGAGGCCTCACCAATTAATACCATCACCTTGGGGTTGAAGTTCCAATATTCAAATTTTGGAGGGGACACAAACATTCAAACCATAGCCGGTGGACTTGATAGAATTATAGACTGATATCATGGGGCTAAGAGAGGTACAGTCTAAAGGGAAATGTCAGGCACTTGTGTCAGGAGTCACCAAGACAACCTGTAGGCACAATGGTTTGTTAGACTAATAGAACTCAGAAAAGCTGTTATACTCATTATTTTGTTTATTATAGTGGAAGGATACTGATAGTAATCAGGAAAGGGATAAAGTGTGTGGGCAATGTCCAGGGAAAATCAGGTGCAAACTTTCAGGTGTCCCCTTGCAGTGGAGTTCCATGGAGATATGCTTAATTCTCCCAGCAATGATGGGGGACAACATGTGCAAAGCACTGTTCAGCAGGGGAGCTCACCTGAGCCTTGCTGTCAAGGGCTTTAGCATGTGGCACCTGCATGATGGACTGCAGCTGCTCAGCCTCAAGCCCACAAAAACACTCTTAGCAGGCACGATATTCCAAGGGCTGAGAGGTTCTCTTCCAGGGGCCTGTCAAGGGCCAGTCCCCCACAACACAGGCCATTCTTGTAATGTGTTTGGTTTAGCAGCTCAGGCCTGAGATAACTTCACTGCACAGCATGGATTCAATAAACTTGGATTTTGTTCCCAACTGTGTCATTGACTAGCTCTTACTCTAGCTTAAATCCTTTAGGTCTCAGTTTCATCATCATAGTGGCAACAACGCTTACCCTGTCTACCTTCTAACTGCACATGATCAGATGAGATAACAAGTAAAGGCACTCTGAAATAAAGGGATCCACACCCATAATCTATGTGTTCTAGTCTAAAATACTCACTTGTATATATTCTCAGAATATGGAGGGGACAGGAAAGTTCTCTGTTCTGTTCCCAAACTGTACTTTTTTGACAGGAATGACTTGGGGAAGATATATAAAAATTGACTCACTCCACAACCCTACCTCCCCAAACACACATACACACACACACACTCTCTCTCTCGCTCTCTCTGTCTCTAGAGAGAGATGATTGGCCCTACATTTCCTTTTCAAGGGACATGGTGCTTCCTTCAACACTGAAAAATAAAGGTTCTTTGAAAAAGAGGCTTTTTAAATTCATGCTAAAGTGTCAGTGACTAATCCTTTACTCTCAGCAGGTACGGGCAGAGGAAAGGCACCAGCTACAGACAAGAGACACCTTGGAATGGAAACAGATTTTGGGAAGAATGGGATGCAACACAGACAAATTGATAGTTGTGCCTAAAGTCCTGCAAGGTACCCACAGGTTGCATTAGAGGGTGGTGGAGCTTGGGATGGTACTCACGCATACCAAAACCACCCCTCCCACAGTGGGTGGAAGCCTTAGAAGTCAGGATTTCCATAGTACAGAATGGTCTTGTGGAAAGCAGCCTTTTCCTCTAAATATCCACACACACAGACCCCTATACTCCAAGGATGAAGGAAATGGGACAGAAAGGAAGATGTTGACCTAGCACACACACCAGAGTGTCTGCAGAGACAGTGCTATATCAACAGGCCAAGCAGCAGCCATTGTGGGAGCTAGCCAGAGGTTGGGTGGACACATATTCAGGTGATGGAATCATCCTTGGTCTTCTTAACTACTTTTTGATTTGAAGAAATTGAGGGCAGTCAATACTGTCACCATAAAAAGGAATAAAATGGAAGAAAGCCATACCATGCCTCTCAGAACCCATCCAGCTCTTACCTCCACTAGAGTAGGAGTTCAAAGAAGACACAGCATTTTCATGACCCTTTATTCCCAATCACTCAATGCAGGTATCACCTTATAGTAAATGTACAATACATGGCTGGATGAATATCAGAAAGAAGGTCTGGACTGCCTTCTACAACAACCTTAGTAACATAATTGCTACTGTACTCAAGATAGCCCTTGGGAAAATCCAATAACATCTTTGGGCTTTTTGGAAGGCAGCATAGACAGGAGCAAAGGTTAGGCTGGGACTCAGGAGACCTGGGCTCTAATTTTGCCTCTGCCATTGGTCAGCCACCTGGCCTCAGATAAGGCAATTCCTCTCCCTGAGCCTCACTTTACTGCTTCATAAACAAAATAATGGTATTGGAAGAGATCTTTTAGGGACTCTCTGGCTCAGACTAAGATGCAAAATGCCTGTGTTCTATGTGCCAATCACTTATTTCTCTTTTCTTAATATGATACCTGACATTTGTATGGCTTCTAGCTTTTAAAGATACTTCCATATTTATTCTCCCAAGTGAAACTCCCAATAAACTTGAGAATGGTGAGCAATCCCATGTGACAGATGAGGAAATGCAGAGACTGAGTTAATTGTCTGAGTTTAAAAGGAACTGGGAATCTCCCACCAAATTGGCTAAAATTAAAAGAACAGATGAAAATTGACAAAAATGTCGAGGAACTGGAACTCTCATGCATCGTCTCTGGAAATGTAAATAGGGATGGTCAGCTAGAAAAACTGTTGCATGTTATCTCTAAAGCTAAATGTACACCTACCCTACAACCCAATAGCAGAATTTATCGTGTCTTTATTCAACAAAAATGAGTGTATATGTCCACAAAAAGACAAGTTACAAAAACGCTCATAGAAATTTTATTTGCAATAGCCCCAAACTGGAAACAACCCAATTATCCATCCATAGCAATATGCATAAATAAATTTTGATGTATTTATTCAAGGAAATACAGCACAGCAAAATACAGAATGAACTACTGCTGCACACGATAATGCGGAGAAATCTCACAGACCTAACATCGAGCAAACAACACCAAAGACTATGTATCGTACGCCTCTATTTATGTGAAGCTCAAAAACAAGCTAAAATCTTCAGTGATAGAAATCAGAAGAGCAGTCACTTCTTGGAGGTGAAGACTGACAAGCAGCTTTCCGGGCTACTAAAAATGTCCTGTATCTTGATCTGAGTGGGTGATTACATAGGTCAATATAGATATTTATACATATATTTGTAAAGCTGTGCATTTAAGAGTTGTGCCTTATGCTATATGTAAATTATACCTTTATTTAAAAAAAAACAGAGAAATGAGTGACAAACCACCTTCAGAAAAGAGAGATAAGAAAAGAAATAGAAAACAAGAAGAGAGCTGAGATTAGATCACATGGCTCCCCCTTTTTTTTTTTTTTTTTTTTTGAGATGGAATCTCACTCACTCTGTCCCTCAGGCTGGAGTACAGTGGCACAATCTCAGCTCAATGCAACCTCCACCTCCTGGGTTCAAGTCATTCTCCTGCCTCAGCCTCCTGAGTAGCTGGGATTACAGGCCCATGCCAGCATGCCCAGCTAATTTTTGTATTTTTTATGGAGACAGGGTTTCACCATGTTGGCCAGGCTGGTCTTGAACTCCTGACCTAAAGTGATCCACCTGCCTCGGCCTCCCAAAGTGCTGGGATTACAGGCATGGGCCACTGTGCCCAGCCAGATGGCATGGTTCTTTACCCATATAGCAAGTAATGGCTGTGCTGTAACTTAAGTATATTAATGCTGACTTAATTTCCAAGTCTGAACTGAATTTTGTATGTACTTTTCCTTCCTATATAGTAAGAACGTAACATCAGTGAAGTGACAGGCTTATATAACAGAGAGCTATCGTACATTAAACCACATCAAAATTGTGACTCTGGCATGCTTTTAAAGAATGCCATGATGAAATAATATATAAAGAGAAGAATCTTTTTATAACGAACAGTTCTTAGCTCTTTTCTTTTCCCTTGTTTCTAAATATTGCCTTTAAAATACCTAGTTTGCTTAAAATGAGGAACATATTTCAAGGAAAGGGGGTTAATGATATGGGATAATGGAGGACAAAGGAAGAGATACCATCTTGAGGACTGTGTGGTAAAAATTAATATGGTTGTGAAAGTTGTCTGAATCAAAATGGAGTCACTTGTGTTGAACTCTGACAAAATGGAGTTAGGGAAGGCCATGAAGCAGGGTTCTCACACGAGGTTGCCTGATAATAAGCTATCACAAAAGACTGCCAAAACCACAACCTTGCACAAAGGCCATTGCATCTTCACACAAAAAATATTTTTGGGAGGACATCTGCATAGCAACTGCCTGTCCAACCTGGAACTAATGTTACCCTTGTTATTGATGTGAATAGGCAAGGATAATTGTTTCAAAACAACTTCTGTAACCTTCCTCATTTTACCTTTAAAATCCTTGCCTTTCTGAATATGCCCATAGGGTACCAAGGCACATGCCTTCTGCATTGCAATGCCCACTCCTGCATAAATTCATTATCTTTGGAGAGTCTCTCTATTGTTACTTTAGGTTTACATGGTCACAGCAGAAAAAGAGTGCAAAGAGACAGCTGGAGTTTGTGCATCATAAAAACCAGGTAAGCGCTTTTAGAGAACCATGTTTATTATCATCACAATGTACTATTCAGTTTGGTGGACATCACTTCTCTTTGGTGGACAGTTGCTGAAAGACTCTTTTATGGAGACACTTTTTATAAGGCTTGGGTGACTAAGAGGGGTTAGAGCAACATACCCAGGAAATACGTATGAAAATTTATCTCAATAAATTCTACCTACATCTTGCTAAATATGCCAGTACTTGACAGGAAGACGGAGGAGTGAAAAAGATAGTTGCCTCCCTCTGGTTTAGAAATGGGAAAGATTCTAGCTGGGCTGGAGATGAAAGTACTCTATAAAGTGAATAGTTCTTCTTTCCAGAATGTGGACAAGAAAAGAAACCTGGAAGCGGAGGGGTGTCTGTCTTTAGCCATGGGCACAGGTCCACCTCAGGAGATCAGAAAAGCAGAGGATGGGAGGATATGAGCCACTGGCAGCAGGAGTAAGCAACACAAAGGCTCCCAGACAGAAGACACCCGGTGGTGGGTGCAGACCCGGGAATGCAGGGGCTCTGTAACAGGAGAAGCAACATCTGTGGGTACAGGTAGGGCTGAAATTGGCTGACAAATGATAAGTGAAAAGTGAATGGGAAAAGCTCCAGTGTATATGACAGGGATTTGTTCATGTACCTAAGTTGCTGTAAAGCGGCAATAACAAACACCCCTCTGTGGGCCACCTGCATCCAGTCCAGAGGGGAGGAGCTTAATGATGCCAAGGCCCCTTCAGAAATTCTGACCTGGACCCGGGCTAGTAAGCATTGCTTTGAAGCACTACCTCTCTACCTATAACATTACTGCTTTTAAAAATGGAAAAAATGCATGACAGTACGTGATATTTTGAAAAATCAAATACAAAGACTAAATCTTTTTCCTGTTCTCCTCCCCCAGAAATAAACATTATCATCAGCTTTTCATTATTCTTCTATAAATAATCTATATACTTATGTTCCCGTTTTTATTTACATGACAGCAAAATTAACTTAACAATGCACTTGAAAATCATTCTATATCAGCATATGAAGACACACCTCATTCTTTTTCATAAAATTCAGTTGTATTAATACACCATAATTTATTGAACCAGTCCCCTATTGGTTGTTTCCACTCATACAGTGTTATGTGAATAGCTCTAGCTGTATATATTTTTGTACTTTTTAATTTTTTTCTATTGAATATATTCCTAAAATTGGAGTTTCTGGGTCAACGAGTTTGTTAAAATGCTTTTTTTTTTTTTTTTTTTGAGGCAGTCTCAGTTTATCACGCAGGCTGGAGTGCAGTGGCATGATCTCTGCTCACTGCAACTTCTGCCTCCCAGGCTCAAGTGATTCTCATGTCTCAGCCACCTGAGTAGCTGGAATTACAGGCACACACCACCACACCTGGCTAATTTTTGTATTTTTAATTGAGATGGGGGTTTCACCATGTTGGCCAGGCTGGTCTCGAACTCCTGGCCTCAAGTGATCCTCCAGCCTCAGTCTCCCAAAGTGCTGGGATTACAGGCTTGAGCCACTGTGCCCAGCCAACTTTTAAATACACACACACACACACACACACTCTCTCTCTCTCTCTTACACACACACACACACACATACACATATATATGTAACTTGGCAAACAGTTTTACTTTAATTTTTTTTTGAGATGGAGTTTCACTGTTGTCACCCAGGCTGGAGTGCAATGGCGTGACCTTGGCTCACTGCAACCTCTGCCTCCTGGGTTCAAGCGATTCCCTCGCCTCAGCCTCTCAAGTAGCTGGGATTACAGGTGCCCGCCACCATGCCTAGCTAATTTTTGTATTTTTAGTAGAGATGGGGTTCCATCACATTGGCCAGGCTGGTCACAAACTCCTGACCTCAGGTGATCCACATACCCCAGCCTCCCAAAATGTTGGGATTACAGGCGTGAGCCACCATGCCCAGCCACTTACATTTTATTACTCTGAAAAATAGAAATTGTCTTTATCTTGATTTTAATAAGAATACTTATAACTTAAGTTTTAGTGTTCAGAAACATGACCATGATAACAATAATACTAATAGTATATGTTTGCCACTCAAAGAAACAGCAAATATCATAGGCTATTATTCTTCTGTGTATACCATGAACCAATGGACTATGCATGGGAATGAATCAAACCTCTGGCTCAGTGTTGGTATTGTGTGTTATCTTGGTCAAGTGATTTCACTTTTGGGCCTCACTTCCTCCATATATAACTAACTACACTGTTCTACTCCTTGGATAATATATTCATATCCCAAATATAGGTAACAGGCTGTACTAACTGGCACACTCTACAGACTGTTACCTAAATTTGGGATATTAATGAAGGAGTAGATCAGTTCAAAATTCAGGCATAACAGTGTGACTAGTAACCAAAAGGAAAGATCAAAGAGTTATGGTACTTGTGTTGTACCAAGGACAGATTCCTTTTAGATGCCGTTAGGAAAATATGCCACCATAGTTTCTAACTGAAGTACTGTATAGAAATGGGCATATTCTTTGACCCAGCAATTCTATTTCTAGAAGTTCACCATAAAGAGAAAATTGTGTAGGTATAAAGGGATATTTGTACAATAATATTTATTGCAACATTGTATGAAATACAAAAGAAAAAAAGGAAGAAAAAACTGGTAGAAACCTAATGCCCAAAAATAGAGGATTAATTAAATATACTGTGATACAAACACACACACATATACACACACACACTCACAATGTGATACCATGCAGCCACATGAAAAATAATTAGATCTATATTTAAAGTGGAAAGACATAGATGAGTATTGGGTCTGTTGATTTTACCTTAACTAAAACTAATAATTAGTCTGTTACTGTTTCGTGGATATTGGCAGAAGACATGAAACTCCTGGATCAGAGACAAGGGACTTTTTAAAAACTATGGCACTGGAGCAGAATAATTATCAGTATGTTTGCATCAGCTAACATGGGGGCAATGCTACCAACCCAGATGAATGCTGTGTACAGGTGGGTTTGTATCACATTCTCTGGAAAGGGATATAAACATGCTTTTTGTGCCATGAGCTTGGGAACTCACCATTTTATTGCAAGTGGTAAGCAAACTTGCCCTTTGTCCAGGAGGGAGACGTTGCCTCGTCCCTCAAAGTTGCCCACTGCAAACATAACCCCGAGAAATGACCTTGTAATCTTAGCATACTCAGCAAAATGTGTACAAGCACAAGAGACCCATAGAGAACTCTCTCTCCCAACAAGAACATATGGTTGAGAGAAGAAAGCAGGCTGTAAATAGATATAATACATTTAGGCAGATGCCTGAAAGAATGTTTACCCAAAAGTTAATAGTGTTTTTCTCCGGGTGGTAGGAGGTCAGGTACCTCCTACCTGAGGAGTACCTTTTTTCTAAGTACTTTTTTGCATTATTTGAATTCATTTCATGAGGATATATCAAAATTGGGAAGGATCACAGTCCAGAGTGAATTCCAAGACTAATTCTTACTCAGGAACACAGGTTGATAAAATCCAGAAGCAAACCAGAGAAAAGATTGGACATCTATCAGAAATATGAGAATGGGAGGTAACGAGGAAGGTGGGAGCTGACACGTATTTGCTGGTTGTTATGCCAAGGACAGGGGAAGAGCCAAGACCCTGATCAAATTCAGTTTGATTCATCTGGGAAGCCTGAATCCATGGTGCAAATCTAGGAATAACCAGGTGCATGCAGACCATGTTTCTGCACCATCTTAGCAGATCCTCTCCCTTAGAAATGACAAGTACAAATTAAGGAGAGTCAGAAGAAAAAACCAGGGTCTCTCCCATTAAGTCAGTGCCTTTCTATATCTCTGGGCTAAAGAAGTCACTTTTCAAATATAGCGCCACCCTGTTTAAACAGCTTGTTAGGATATACAATAAAATATGAGCCATGAGATGTAATGGCAAAAACATTGTGATTCCAGCCTAATTTAGGAATTTCACTATAATATCTGTTCAATTATATCATGTTTATTAACAAATAAGACATCTGAATTATAAGAATTTTGAATGCTAATGAGTAATTTCACCTGCTTTGAAAATAACAGATTAAGTCAGTGGCATTCACTTTTGGGGGTCCTGACTTTTACGGCATCAAAGCTGTTTTTCCTGGTTGCTCCTGAGTGTGACAGTTGTTTACATAGAGTTGCCAGAAGGCTCAGTCCCAGTCTTGCCCCAGAAAAGTGATTGCTAATAATGCCGAGCTGGGGCCCAGGTGAAAGGGGCCAAGGGACTGGGGGTTGTGGGTGCTGCAGTCTTCCCTCCATGTTCCCTAGTTACCAGATTTAGAAAAGAAGCAACTGGAGTTGGAGTTGCCAGGAGAGCTGTTTGTGGAGAGCTGGAAGTTAATGCGGCAGACAGGGAGCCAGAGAAGGAAGCCAAGGACACCCCACACCAAAGAGCCAGGAGAAGAATTAGAAATGAGCACAGCCTCCTGCAGCCAGGATGCAGGTGCAGGTGCAAGGAGTGGGGTCAGGCTGGGCCAGAGCAGCAGCACTCTCCAGCAGTTATAATGCTAGCCCTGGGCTCTGGCCCCCGCCCTCTGATCCTTACAGCAGCC
Organism: Homo sapiens; assembly: GCF_000001405.40. NCBI lineage: Eukaryota > Metazoa > Chordata > Mammalia > Primates > Hominidae > Homo > Homo sapiens. The sequence continues at coordinate 50,474,282 of NC_000018.10, read as the reverse complement.
CCAGCTCCAGGAACTCCTGACCTTGTGCAGCAGCTCAGAGAGGGATGGGACCAGACGATCTCCTGAAGCCCCTATGGCGTTTCCATCCACCCACTGGTCATTTTGTAGGAGAGGCTCTTTCTGTGGGCAGTGGAGAGCCTGCAGGAGTATTCCCAAGTTGGGCGGCTGGGGAGCAGGGCAGATCCCTGGCAGCTGCTGCTCCCTGAACCGGAACACACCTGCCAGTCCAATTCCCTACGGAAATGACCTGGAGCAATAGGATCCATGGCCATTTCTGCTCTGCTGCTTCCTTAGGGGAAGGTTAGTAATTCCTTTTCCATGGCTAACTGAAAAATGTTAAATGTCAGGTGAAAATCAAAGGAGTCTTGATTTTCTCTCTTCACAGATTTCATTTTTCATTTTAATTATGAGAGCACTGTGTACATGTATTCTTACTATTACCCTGTCCTTGGCAACATCTGTCTTCCAAGCTCATCTCAGACAAAAACACATGCAGTGACTTCCACAGAAAAAGCCCTCAACACCTACTTTGTTGAATAAACAAATGAAACATCCAGTGTGTAAGAGCAAGAATTTGTCCCTTCTCCTTTTTGTGTCTAGGAGGATTTGAAATGACTGTCTTGGGTATGGGAGGATACCCTGCCCAATAAACTGTCTTTACCTAAAAGCTAGAATTTCATTACCAACGAAAGGCCTCATTTCCAATCCTTTTATGTGTTTTAGGTAACTAAAGGCGTCCAACAGGGATTGATGGTTCTGTCTGGCAAGGTAGGGAAGTGGCCCTTGATTTTTAGGCACCTCTGAACCTCTGGGCGTTGTCTGTAAGTGGGAAAGAAATGTTCTGCATAGTAATAGAATGGGCATTAGGAGAAAGAGAGATTAGGACAGGTTATGCTATGTTCAAGAAAAAATGAGTTTCTCATTCCCAAAGCAGCTTAATACTATACAGTGTTCAATAATTACTCCTTGCTCACTGGAGGTGAGAGAGGGAGAGAATAGATGTGTGTGCATTTTTCTTATTGCATTGAAATGTTTTCCAACTCTTTCACTTTTTTCACCCTCTCATATGTTTATGTCTTATCTCTCCAACTAGATTGTAGAAACCCTGAGGGCGGAATTAGATTAAAACCTTTGCACATTTATGGTCAAGCAGATAGAAACAAACAGCACATGGCAAACTAAAGTTAGTTCCCCAAACACAAGCCACAGTGTGGCCTGCTCTGCTCTGATGAGAGCAATGGTTTGGCTAATTGTAGTAAAATGCATCCCTGCCAGGAAAGCTAGACTTAGAAAAGAACCAGGGAGACTTTTCCCATAAAATACCAGTTTGCTGCTGTCCAGTTTGATCCAGGAAACAACAAAAAAGTGACCCTCAGCCTTGCCTAGAGCCTCTGTGGGCTTGACTTTATGAAGCAGGGTAGCTCGCGGTGACTGATAAATCTTTCTTTTCTAGATTTTCTTATGAAAACGGGAAGAAAGTGACTTATTTTCATTAATCCTCTTCCTTTTCTCTGTGCCTGAGGAATACACATTTCCCCATTGATTGGGAAGAATTAAGTTTACTGGGATTGTCAATGATGTTATGAGAACAGTAAGAGGTAGCATTGTACCCTGTAGTGAAAATGCACTGGACGAGGGGACCTGAATTTGGCTCCCAGCTTCGTTTTCCAGTGGTGTGACCTTGGGTAAGCCACGGTGCACATTTGCTACAGGTAATCTATGGGGTGGCCCAATAAGTCAACGCATAGTCCTGAAGGACTCTGAATATGCAGTCCTAGAGCAGGGGTTGGCACACTAGGGCCCACAGGCCAAATCCACCTCCACCACCCATTTTTGACAAGAAAATTGTATTGGAACACAGCCACGCTTTTTCAGTCACATATTATTTCATGCTACAATGGCAGAGTTGAATGTTTGCTGCAGCGACTGTATGACTTGCACAGCTGGACATATTTATTACCTGGCCCTTTATAGAAACAATCTGGCACACCTTGTTCTAGGCTCATGCACTGACTCCTGTTCATCTTGGAATCCTAGTCCCTACATGTAGTTTTTCTTATCAGCAAAGCCCACGTGCTATAGGGACTAACTAATTATCGACTGCTTTTGAAATAAGATACCATGTAAGAGCACCATCATACCTTGGTGAGCTAAGGAGCATCTTTCTACAGAAACTCTGCCCTGTCTCAGTTTCACAGAACAAAGAGCAGGCACCTGCCTGCAATGCTGAATGGTCCTCACTTATTATTGATGCTGCTGGAGAGCAGAGGTGGGCAAAGCTCAAGCAAGCTCCAGGCAGCATGCATGTAGCCTTCTCTGCCAGCCTGCATTTGGTTTCTCTGAATTTTAAGAAATCAACTAACATGATAATTGGGCTAAGGGGCAGCAAGTGTGCAAATTCTTCCACGTTTATGGGAATGAGACACTTTCCCTAAACAATTGGAAAAGATTTCATCACTTAGTTCCTGAAGTGTTAGAGCTGGGAAAGCCTTGGACCTGTTCAGTTTCCATCTTCTCACTGTGTAGACGATGAAGTGGAACCCAGGAAAGAAGAGTGATTGGCTCAGGGTCACCCAGTTGGTTAAGGACAGAGCCAGATTCAAGTCCACATGTCTTACTTTCCAGACCACTGCTCTTTCCACGCATCCATGTAGTCAACAGCCACTCATGAGGCATTTGCTTTGAACCAGGAACTGCAGTGGCTGCTGGTTATAGAGTCATGAACAAGGCAGATACCCTCCTCAGACAATGGGCCTTTGAGTTAACAGCCAGATCTTATATGCATTATACATACATTAGTACACATATCATTAACAATTGTGAGAAGTGTTGTGATGGAAGTGAACAAGGGACAATGACGGAGAATAACAGGAAAATCCTATTTGCCATACTTCCTTAATTCTGGGCAGCATACATTTTTAAAAACATTTTGCTATTTCTGAAACCAAGATGCAACTTATAATAGATGCAGCCTGGGATGCTATTGAGTGGTACTTTTACTTTCTGAGACATCTTACAGTTGATGGTATCTTAGGTCAATAATAGAGAGTTGATAAAGCAGTCAGAGAAGACCTTTGTTCATCTAAACCAAGTCCTGGAGGCTGAGAAGGAGCCAGCTATGCCAGGAGAAGGGGAAGGAACATTTCAGACAATGGGATCAGCATGTGAGAAATGCCAAAGGCAAAAAGGAGCCCAGTGGAGACCAGGGTAGCTGGAGTGAGGATGGAGTTCCCACGATTGCCTCGAAGAATATGTAGCAGGTCTGGCCTCGGGACCCCTTCCATAGGGTAGGGAGGCAGCCAATGAGCAGAAATAAATGCAGAATTACAAACTGCGCCAGGGAAATGAAAAGAGAGCCATGTGTGCAACCTTATCAATAGGAAGACTTGGAGGTCATTCAGAGTCTTTCAGGTCATTCAGAGGTTTGCAACCTGTGGTCAGGAGTTTGGATTTAAACAGGAGAGTGACAAACAGCTTTGCATTTCTAACAGATTGCTTTTGAACAATTCCCCAGAAGGGAAATATAAAATCTATGTTATTTATTTATGGAACAATATTAGAATCAGGGAGTTGAGTTAGGGGGCAATTTTAGGAGTGCAGGCAAGAGATGGCCATGACTCTGATTAGGGCGGGGCAATAGAGGTGGAGAAGGGGCTGATTTGAGAGATCCTTAGATGGTGCCCCACACACCTCCCTCAATGTCTGGCCACAAGTCGGGGGGGATTATTGGGAAGAAGTGAGAGAACAAAAGCCTAGGTTTCTACAGTAGGTAGGTATGGTGTGTCTTGCTCACTTGTTTTTTTCATAGTTACACCTTCTGAGGATATTCTAAACTTTTTTTTTTTTTGGTAGAGATGGTCTGGTCTTGCCATGTTTTCCAGGCTGGTCTCAAACTCCTGGCCTCAAATGATCCTCCCACCTCCCAAGGTGCTAGGATTACAGGTGTGAACCATGCCCAGCCTCTATACTTTCCTTAAGTCTTTTCCAAATCTGGCACTATGGAACTTTCTTGAAGGAAAGGAGAGGGATCCCCATGGTGAAGAGGTGGCATTGCCTCTTTCTTCTCCTAAGCATGTCCTCCAGTTACCTGTGCCTCTTCCCCAGCTCCTCTTTCCCCCTTCTCAGATTTGCCTGATTAACCACTATATACAAATATGGTGGGGAGGTGGAATTCTGTATAATGTGTTTCACTGCGTGCTGTTGGCATCTTTCTCTTTCACCCCAAAATGGTTTTGCCCTGACTGGTCAGTGGTAAATCTTCAGGGCTCCTGGAGTCCACTAGAACCTGAGCCCACTCCCATCACACAGCCCCACTACGGCCATCAGCAGTTATAAGAAAGTGGTAAGAGAATGATGTCTGTGCTTAGGCCTCCAAAGCCCTAGAATAGTCCACAGCTGGGGCCCAGTGTGTGAGAACCTGGGACTCTCTGCTCTTACTAACTCAGCCTTTTGTCTTTCTCCATTTTTCTATCCTGAGTGTGTCAGCTGTGAAGTCACCAACAGAAATCTCACAGAGCATGCACCAGCCTCCTCCACCTGCGCATGGCTCCTCTGCCTGCTGCTTCTCCCGGGTTGTGGGGGCTCTGTGGGCAGAGATGAGTTTAAGTTCAGAAAATGACAAGGGACCCACGTGTGTGTTCCTGGTGATAAGGGCTCCTGCTGCTCTCCTCTCCCACTTCTGCCTCCTCTCATGGCCTCAGCCAGCACCAGGAGGCATCACCAAGCTCCATGGGCCCAGCCGGGCCAGCGGGGCACCCCCTCCTCCTGCCTGCTCATTGCACAACACCTGGCTCTGCCTCCCCATCATCTGGCACTTGTAGGACCAGTGCCAGGGACTGGGTCATGAATCGGGAGCAGAGCCCTATTTGCTATTTCCAAAAATATCTACCCCTGTGTGGTTTGAATTTCTCTGGCATTTGTCAACCCTCTGCTTATTTAGCATTTTGCCTCTGATGGCTGAAATTTTAGGTTCATTTCGCAGCACCATATCCTATCTCTCCAACTAGATAGTAAGCTTTTGGGGAACCAGGTCGATGTCCCTTCATATTAGCTGACCAAAACCTTGCTTGAGGTGTTAAAGATTTCAAAATTCCCAGAAGCACTGTCTCCATAATTTGTATCTTGGAATTGTTGTGATTCAGGTGGTCTTGGCCTCTTGGCCTCAAAATACCCAAGTTGAAGAGAGAAGGGAAAAGCCAGGAGTACATGGGCCTGATGCCAGATGAAGCCTCAAGCATGCCAGCAATTTAAACTAGAGGATCATGGTAAAGTGACATCATCTTGGATGTTATTGGCATCCAAGGGGTGGGGCCCTCCAGCCGTGAATGATGGATGGCTTTCATCTTGATGACCAACTCTAATGCATAAGAGTGACTGTCTGGGGTCCTATGTAGAAGAGGACCCTGAGGTTGCACCCATGACTGGTGGGAAAGATTGACGGGCTCATTGGCACTGTTTGCATGGGTCTAGGGAAGAGAGAGAGTGTGCTCTGTTGGGCACTGTTCTTCTCTGAACAGTGCTGGGAGTTTGGAGTTGGGTGAATGGCAGAATTCGTGGATCCAGAGCTCCTTCTGTGAAGAGCAGAACCATGTCCAAAAGTGAAAGTGGAAAAGGGTGGTCTTGTCTTCATGGCAGAATGGCCTGGCCTAGTTCAGGCTGCGGTTTACACAGTAGATTCCTCAGCACAGCTCTCCTTTGGGGTACCTGTAACACATATCTGGAACTCAACACAGAGCTACATACAGTCGTGGAGACAAGGCAAAAGGAGATGTGACCAGAGGAAGGCTTGAACTTTTGGGTTCATTTCACATACCCCAGATACTAAGCTATTAGCAACAGGATTAACTCCAGACCCTCCCTCATTAGTAGCTCAGAGCATTTTGATATAATGGCAGCCTTGTTCTGGATTTGCGTGTAAGGCTAGATCTCAGTGACTCCCAAAGAGCTGTGCTGCCAGGGCAGAAATTAATGAGCATTGAGATCCTGTTTGCAACCTAGATAAGCACAATGGCCTCCCAGCCTTCAGGTTTATTCCACTCCAATTCATCACTACTAATGCTTCCTGAATGTTCTGTCTAAAGCATATTTCTCATCCTCATGGCCCCTTGTTATGATTCTTCAATGAATCTCCTTCACCTACAGAATAAAATCTAAGCTCCCTAGGCTAGTCTGGTGAGTTTCCCATGCAATACGCTTTCTGTCTGTCTATGACCCTGTGCATCTCCATTTCTGTCCTTGCCTTATGTTCCATTCACATGGAACCACTTGAGGACACCAAAAGTCCTGAGTTGCTTCCTTCTGCCATTCCTTTGTGCATCCTGCTTTCTCTGCCTCGAATGTTCTCCCCAACCTTCACTGCTGAGGTCAGCGGAATCCAAAGATGACTCCCAATGACTTTTGCCTTTATATAATCTCCCCCTCTTGAATATGGGCCAAATCAATTAATATGATGGAATGTCATCATAATTGGTTTACTGTTTAGCTGACTTTGAGTTAATCAAAAGGGAGAGTATCCTGGGTGGGCCTGACTTAATTGGAAGAGCTTTTAATAGATGGTGACACATCAGAAAGATGTGGCCCTGCTGGCTTTGGAGACTTAAGCTTCCATATTGTGAGAAGCCATGTGAGAGTAGACTCAAGGAGTGGAGAGAGTCTCTGATCAACAGCCAGCAAGGAAGTAGGGACTTCAATCCTACAGTGACATGCAACAGAATTCTGCCAAGAATCCCAATGAGTTTGGAAGAGGTCCCCAAGCTCTAGATGAGAACCACAGCTGCCTGACACCTGAATTTCTACCTTGTGAGACCCTGAGTGGAGAACACGGCTAAGCCTCACCTGGACTCCTGAACCATGGAAACCATGAGATAATAAATATGCATTGTTTTAAGCTGCTGTGTTTTTGGTAATTAATTATACACCAATAAGAACTCTTCCTGATGTTTCAAGATTCAGCTCAAGAATTATCTCCTGTAAGATTTACTTGACTCTGCCAGGTGGAATGGGCCACCCCCTGTGTAGTCCCAGGCTCCCCCTGTAGCTGGGGCTTATTTGTTAACATGTCACCTGCTATGGACTGAATGGTATCCCCTGCAAAATTCATAATTGGAGCCCTAACTCCCAATGTGATATATATGGAGATGGGGCCTTTGGGAGATAGTTAGATTTGGATGCCATGGAATCAGTGTTTTTATAAAAGGAAGGCACACCTGGGTTCTTTTTGTGCAATGTGAGAACATGATGAGAAGGCGGCTGTCAACAAGCCAAGAAGAGAGCCCTCACCAGAACCCAACCATGCTGTCACCTTGATCTTGGACTTCCAGCCTCCAGAACTGTGAAGAATAAATTTCTGTGGTTTAAGTCATCCAGGAGATGGTATTTGGTTACAGCAGCTCAAGCTGACTAAGATGCTGTCTGTTTACTTGTCTGTTTGCCTCACTGGCCTGTGAGACCCTTGAGGGAAGCCATTGCCTTGTTCATCCTTATCTCCCCAGTGCCTGGCACAATGTCTGGCATATGGTAACTGCAGTAACCAAGGCTGGGAGCCACAGCTCCCTCCAGCCTAGCTTTGTTCCTCTCCAGCATCCCTCAGATATCCCCAGGGTCTGAGGCCTTGGAATGTCCTTCCTCTTAGGATTTCTCAGAGGAAATCAACGAGACATGCCTCTAAAGTAAACAAACAGGCACTGGGAGATACAAATGCCCACTTGTACCGAACCCCACAGCCGTTTCATAATTTATGGACAGTTCTAGGGAGATAAATATTGGTTTTGATTATTTTACTATGAATAATTGAAAGCAATCTCAGAGTACATTAAGCAGAATCCTAGTCCCATGAAAAGCTCAACAAAGAAAAAAGGTTACATAGTGAAGGAGGTTTGAGGAGTGCTTCTTCCCATTTCCCTTTCTTAGAGAGCCACAGAGCACCTGAACACATTGAAGACCACGAGAAGTCCTGCAGTAAAGAAACCTGCCTAATAGTTCAATCCAACACATCTCACGTTTATGTGTTAAAAATGAACTCAATGATGAAATAATATCTGTTAATTTCTCAAGGTTGGAAAATACCTCAGGAAGTCTTGTAGTATATGATCTAAAATTCTATAGCCCTAAAAGTCAGCTCCTTCTGCCTTCTGCTGTGAGGAATGTGGATATCCAAGCTGAGACAGTGAATCCTTGTGTTGCACTTGAGGGAAATGAGGCCGAGAAGAGGCAGAGTTACTTGTCCTAAGCACATAGTCAGCTTTGACTGAGGCGGGAGCAAAGCACAGTACATTCCTTACTGCCAATTCAGTGTCCTGTCCCCTTGTTACATTGGCTTGCTGAAAAGTAGACCAGTCAGCACATTCTTCACCCTGCTTATATGTTGCTGTGTAACAAATCAACTCAAACTTTGTAGCATAAAATATGAACAAACACCTTTTATTGTTATCTCTTCTAGTTTTGCGGGTTACTGGGATCAGTGAAGTGGTCCTTACTCAGGGTCTCTCGTGCAGTTGCCGTTAAATGATGGCTGAGGCTGGGGTCATCTCAAAGGCTTTCCTATTCCCATGTGTGATGGTGGATGCTGCCTGTCGCTGGAAACTCAGCAGGGGCTGCTGGCCAGAACACCTGCTGACAGCCTTCCAAGGTGACCTGGGTTTCTTCACAGCTTGGTGGCTGGATTCCAAGGGCAAATGTGCCCATGCACACCCTTTTATGACCTAGCCTTGGAGTCATGCAGCACCTTTTCTACTGCCTTCTACCACTTAGAAGCAAATCACTCAAGTTGCCCCATACTTAAGGGGAAGGGAATTAGACTCCAGGTTTTGTTGGGAAGAGTCTCAAAGTGTTTATGGACATGTTCTAAAACCACCATGTTCCTATTCCATCTGGTGACTCATAGTCTTGCCCTCTTCCTCCAGGCAAGTTCCTCTGGCCTCTGCATGTCACTTGTTGGTGGCAAAGAGATGTTACCGTTACAGAATTTTCTCATTCATAGATTACAAAACTTAGCAAATGTTGGTTAATATGTCTGTGACACTGGTGAAGGTTTTTTTTTAGAGGAGAGATTAGAACTAGAATCCAGGAATTCCTAAAATGTGGTATTCACCTTGAGCCCCAATTACACTCATCTTTATGCGGTCACATTCATTATGGTCTGTTTCTGACCATCAAAGTGTTCCCTTCATATATAGCATGGATAAATTTCAGTCCCCAAACTCAGATATGCAGGAAATAGTACTTCTCTTATTATTCCATAATTCAATCTCTCTCCAGTCACAGTTGTGACGAAGATGGGGGCAGCAGAATTTAATCTCAGCCAATTTATTATTTGCCCTCCTCTCTACACCAGAGCCTTGGAGGAGCAGGAACCCACCCCTGAGATGTGAGGATGGACCTTAATCTCTATAAGCCAGGCCTATAACAACCAGGCCTGCTCTTTAATGTTTGGTGGAACCATTCAAGACCTTGGAGAGTGAAGCTTGCAATTGTGTAAGAACTTTGCTGGAGCCACCACACACACCTCAAATGGTCCCCCTTGAGTCCCTAAAGTCTTGCTGACTCTGGGGCCTTCCCCACCCTGTGCAGCTGGGAACATGGCTGGCCTGACTGTGGCCAGGATGGTTCTACCTTGGTCCATTAGGATCAGTGTGATCTGTTCTCCTACACATCACTCCCTTGCCTATGTGATTGGCTTGGCTAAGTTAGCCAGCCTGGATCTGGACTCTCTCTACTTATGAAATATAATACTCATGCGAATGTAGGTGGCCAATATGCCTCATTTTATCATGCTCATTATAGTTTGTTTCTGACCATAAAGATGGTTATTCCCTATTTATCAGATGTATCTTTTTTTTTTTTTAAGAGGGATTCTTGTTCTGTCACAGGCTGCAGTGAACTGGCGCAATCTCAGCCCACCGCAACCTCTGCCTCCCGGATTCAAGTGATTCTCCTGCTTCAGCATCCGAGTAGCTGGGATTACAGGCATGTACCACCATGTCCAGCTAATTTTTGTACTTTGAGTAGAGACGGGGTTTTGCTATGTTGTCCAGACCGGTCTTGAACTCCTGGCCTCGAGTGATCTGCCTGCCTCGGCCTCCCAAAGTGCTGGGATTACAGGCATTAGCCACCGCACCTGGCAGAGATGTATCCTTATATATTCTCAGATGCCTCTGTTTAGTACACAGCCAGAAGAAACAAGAGCCCCAAGAATTTGGGGTTTTTTTAAATAGCTTTATTGCAATATAATTCACATACATACAATTTACCTAAAGTGTGCAATCTAATGTTTTAAGTATAATCACAGAGCTATGCAGTCATTATCACAATATAATTTTAGAACATTTTCATCACCTGAAAAAGAGCCCAGTACCCACCAGTATTCACTCCTCAGCTCAGGCTATAATATCCCCATATCCCCCTCTCAGCCCTAGGAAACCACTAATCCCAATAAATATTTTATTTTTTGTAGTATGTTCTCATTTCAAATAAAAACTAACTAAATATCTCTATATAGCTATATGTTTACATTTATACTACATGTCACCATGTTGTCAGTCATTATGGGGGCATAGATTAATGAGTGCTATGGTTTGAATATTTGTGTCTCTTCAATATTCACATATTGAAACCCTAACCCCCAAGGTTAAGGGCAGGGCCTTTGGGAGGTGATTAGCTCATGGGGACAGAACTCTCATGAATGGGATTATGCCCTTATAAAAGGGGCCTGAGAGAGACCTCTTGCTCCTTCTACCATGTGAGGACAAACAGAAAAGTCACCATTTATGAACAAGAAATCAGGCCCTTGCCAGACACTGAATCTGTTAGCACCTTGATCTTGGACTTCCTAGATCCAGAGCCAGTCTGATGCCAGGCCCCCAACCCAATGTGCCTCTAGAAGTGTGTGCAATAAAGTTCTGTTGCTTATAAGTCACCCACTATGATATTTTATTGCCGTGGCCTGAATGGACTAAAACAATGAGGGACTTTCATAATCACCAGCGATATTTGAATTTAAAATTCACTTTTGTATTCAGAAAAATTATAGATATCTCTCTTAATATAAAGCTCAGGAATGTCTTCAGCATTTTTATTCTCTGTGTGTGTGCAAAAGCTTATGGATATTTTCAAACAATATAAAAATACAAAGAAAAGTATAATAAACCCCCACACTCATCACTTATGCCTGGTAAAGTTTTAAATCATTGTATGAAGGAAAGAGTCTCTTGTGATAATAAAGAGGGGAAGATTGCTTTCCTGAAGAAGTTTTGTTTTAAACTTTAGTTTTCTAATTAAATATGATTTGTTACTAAAAAATTTTGGAAATACAGAAACTAGAAAGCTAACATCTTCCATAATTCCATCCCCATAAAAGTAATCACTGTAAAAGGTTTTGTATCTATTCTTCAAAATCTTTTTCTATGCATATCCTAACATGGAGATTTGCTGATGTTTTTAACAAAAATGCTATCATACATGTACATGCTATTTTGCAACTTCCTCCTTGTGGCTAATGCTATATTTTAGACAGCGTCTTTGTCAGTATATTTAGACCTGGGCAACTTAGGGAGAGAAGGAAGATCTTCTCTACTTTTTTTGGACTTGAATTTTCATAGCAAGAGTCCATCTCATTACCATCAGTGGCTTGCATGACCCCTACTCTAACTCCAACCACAAGATTAGAGTGAAAAGCACAACGTTGTCCCCATTTATGTTCAGGGAATGCAGAGATGGACCCTACGTGATGTTGATGATGATAATAAAGATGGTGGTAGTGATCATAATAATAGATCTTGACATTTGAAAAGCATTTGGACCTACCTTATGGTGGAAATTCAAAAAAATTATCTTTGTTATTAATAATACAACAAATAAAGGCCGAGCTCAAAGTTGGGGATGCAAAAAGACGTGGAGTAGTTTCCCCAACACAGCTTCCTGACTGTGCTCTTTCCTCCCCTCTAATGAGTGCCATTTATGTTTTCCTTTCTGCATTTCAAGGAATAGCAGGGAATGGATTTGTTTCCATTGTATCTGTTTCAAGTTGTTCTTCCTCCCATCTTCCTGCAGGAGTGAATGTTTCCTTCACTCATATATGAGTCCATATAACTTCTTTACAGTTTAGTTTCTGATATATTTAACAGAGGGGGAGAAATTTTTCCAAGTAAGGGCCTTTGGGGGAAGATGCCTCTGAGTCTTGTATAATTTATTAATGGGAAAAACATTAATTTCACATTTCATTCTGCTGCAAAATCCATATGACCCCAGTCAGTTTGGTACGTTTGCAAAGGCAGAGCTGGCTTTTAAACAAAGTAAGTGTGGGACACCAGCTGTGAGACTAGGATAGACCTTGGCCTTCAACTTTCCCAAACTCTTCTTTGCAGAGGGGAAAACTGAGGCCAAGAAGGGTAATGTGTATCACAGAAGGTCAGAGCCAGTCTGATGCCAGGCCCGCAACCAATGTGTCTTTTCTGGGTGAAGAAGGAAATAGAGGCCTTGACTTCGAGGTGCCAGCAGGATCTGATGGGACATGGATGCCTGAAATCTCCTTTAGTGATTAAAAAAATCTACCTTTATAGGTAAATGTCTATCAAGAAAGTTGCATAGAGAGACTCTGGAAGAAAAGAATTACATATTTCCCATAATGGGAGATCACTTTATTATATAAAAATGTTCAAAGCATTCAAAACTCAGGAAATATAATGAGCATATCAAAAATTATCTGCATCTGAAAAAATCTCCTCTTTTAAGACTGGAAATAGAAAAAAGCTGAGAGACAGGAGGAGCCAACTCCAACTTATACAAGGTTCCTTAAAATGGTGTAAGTGAGGGGAGTGCTGGGTGGAGGTTGGCTGACTGAATTATGTCACTAACTTACTGTGTAGGATGTGGGCAAATCACATCACCTCCCAAGAGTTTCATTTCTTTTCCTGTAAAATAATAGTCTTAAACTAAATAATTTCTAAGGACTCCTAGAACCATAGGAAGTTCCACCTGACATTATTCCAACCACCTGCAAATTCTCACCAGCTTCTTCCAACCTGATAAGTTTCTTGTTGATTGTCAGCACTCAAGAGACTTCAGTAATTCTTCTTCCATTTTAATTAAAATCTTAGCCTGCCTGAAAATTATTGCTGTCAAGCCAGGGACTCAGAAACCCATGCTAATTAACATGGATTGTCATTCTCAACATTCTCTGTCAAATGGTACTTTATTTTTCATCTTGGAGACAAGTATTTTTTAACGTCGTGTTATTTCTGAGTTGTCTTTAATGCTTAACACACCTCTGGGTATACATAATGTGTGGCTTACTCTCCTTTCCAGATCATTTAAATTAAAAACAGTTTGGCCTAAGAATTATTCTTCCAGTACTCTGCCTGATGCCACCAACCAAGCCGCCATATGGTCCTTTGTCCTGAGTGCAGCCTTTCAGGCTGAGACATTTTGTTTGAAATTAACAGATTTTGAATGTCAGGCTCAGTGTCCTGACCCTTGTATTGTTCTGAGTGCTTTCCTGTTTTAATGAAAAGCTGTGATTCATATCTTCAATCTACACCTTAGAAAACCTCAATTGCAAGACAGTAGACTTATCTGAGGAAGGTAATGGTGATGTTGATGACAACAGATAACATTCATCCACTAACGGTTTATGACACCAGCCAGGCACTGTGCTAAGTATAACAAGAAATATATTTGGTCTTTGTCTCCAGTTGCCAACACAGTGCTCCCAAAACTATTGGAATTTTCTGAGTAATGAATTGTTATTCATAAGGAACCCCTTTCAGTCACATCTGAGTTTATGCTAATGCAGTGACTTAGGTAGGACTCCTAAGTAGCCTCAGGAAGTGGTTGATCACCAGAAAGACGGAGCGATTAGAGAGTGGGAACCTTCAGCCCCACCTACTACCTTCTGGGGGAGGGCTGGAGATTGAGCTGTATAAAAACTATTGAAAAATGAGATTTGGAGAGCTTTCAGGTTGGCAAACACATGGAGGTGCTGGGAGAGTAGTGCACCCAGAGAGGGCACAGAAACACTCTGCACTCCCCAGACCTTGCCCTATGCACCTTTTCTGTTTGGCTGTTCCTGAGTTGTATCCTTTATAATAAACCAGTAAACAAAAATATTTTTCTGAGATCTGAAATGCATTCTAGCAGATTATCGAACTTGAGGAGAGGGTTGTGGGAACTGCACATTTATAGCCAGTTGGTCAGAAGTTCAGTGACCCTGGACTTGTGACTGGTATCTGCAGTTGAGGCAGTCTTGTGGGACCGAACCCTTAAATCTGTGGAATCCGACACTAACTACTTAGAGTTAGTGTCAGAATTGAATCAAATTGTAGGACACCCAGTTGGTGTCCAGAGAATTGGAGAATTGGTTTTTGGTATTGGAAAATACTCTGGAATGACACATGTATTATCCCATACTGAATCCTCTCAGCAGTCTTATAAGTATAGTCATCATGGTCATTGTACAGATATGGACCCTGAAGCCCAAAGAGATTAAGTAGCTTCTTCAAGGTCAAACAGTCAACAGTACAGGCAGGATTCAACTCCAACCATCTGACTCTAGACCTATTTGATACTATATTAGTCCATTTGTGTTGCTATAAAGGAATACCTGAGACTGGGTAATTTATGAAGAAAAGAGGTTTATTCAGCTTATAGTTCTGCAGGCTATATGAGCATGGCACCAGCATCTGCCTGGCTTATGGTGAGGACTCAGGAAGCTTACAATCATGGTGGAAGGGAAGGGGAGCCAGCATATCACATGGCAAGAGAGGGGAGGTGCCAGATTTTTTAAACAATCAAATCTCAAGTGAATTAATAGAGTGAGAACTCACTCTCATTACCAACAGGACCATACCCAGCCATTCATGAAGGACCCTCTTCCATGACCCAAACACCTCCCATGAGGCCTCACCTCCAACATTGGGGATAACAATTCAACATGAGGTTTTAGAATGGACAAATATCCAAACCATATGCGAAACCTTAAGGAATGAAAGGAGAGTGACATGGTCCCCAAGTCTGTGAGTGCCCCAGCATATCAGCAGCAGAAAGAAAAAGACTCAGTTCTGAGTTAGTTGGTCTGCACTTGTTTATGCAACAAGCATTTTTGAAAAGTCTACTGTATGCCTATGTGAGGCACGTGTTGGCTTAAGTTGACTAAAATAGAGTCTGCACTGCAGAGCTTGGGATCTAACACCAGGAGCAGCTAAGTGTGCATAAATTATTACAGAGGAAGAACAGAACATGATCCATGCCATGGAAGGTACAAAGTACAGGGAATTCAGGACAGGCCCAGCGTTTCAAGCAGGAGTCATCATCAGAAAGTTGCAAGCTATTTAAATAACTTTTGTTCTCTGTTTCAGTGGAAAAACTGACACTACCTCAACTCAGGGGGTCATTTCTTTCTTTTTGTTTGCATGTGTCTTTTTTCTTTTTAAGAGAAGCAAGCCTTGATTTCCTTGTTTTGCAAATAAAGTTAGCTGAGTTTGTTGCTTTTCAGTGATTAGTCAAAGAGACCAAATTCCATATCCTCCTCTGACTCTTCCTTGGCTTCAACTTTGTTTGGGGCTGCAGCAGCAGTAGTAGCAGGAGCGTCCACAGGAGCAGCAGCCACAAAATGCAGATGGAGCAGCAAAGATGGCCTTGGCCTTTCCAGCAAGCAGGAAGGCGTAATCAGTCTCCACAGACAAAGCCAGCACCCATTTGTACCTGCTGATGATAGGATAGGGAACTGATGCAACAGTTGGGTAACCAATCTGCAGACAGACACTGGGAACATTACAGACACCCTCCAGGAAGCAAGGATGCAGTTTCCTCTGCCATGTCAAGCACTTCAGGGTTGTAGATGCTGCAGTTGTCAAACACCGGCTGGATGATCAGCTCAAAGGAGGAGGGGGAGATGTTCCACATGTTCACCAGTGTGGCTTCACTGGCTCCCGCTTTGTCTCCAGTCTTAATCAGTGGCACCTCACTCAGGATTTCAACGGAGCCCCTGAACATCTTAGTTCCTGATGCCGAAAACCTGTAAGAAAGGTCTTCTTGGGCCCCAGACCAGGGTTCCAGGTGAGCATAGTGACTTCACATGGGGCAATAGCACCAGCATAAGTGGCAGCAAGTCCCTGATCTCAGTGAGGTCCTACTTGGTGAACACAAAACCTACATACCCCCAGAAATGAAATGAGGCAATGGTTTCTCCAGAGCTGTGTTGTTTTCCAGATGTCCTTGGATAGCCTCATGCATCATGGTGCTCTTGTCCACCAGCCTTCCCTTGCAGGGACATTTGGATCTGCTTCATCTGCTCGGAGCCCACATTGTTCACTCCCACAATGAAGCATTTTGGATAATCATCCAAATGTTCGATGACCTTAAGGAAGTAGTTGGACTTCCAGGTTGCCCTGTCTTCCCTGGGCATCACAGTAGTGTGTCAGGGATTGCCATGCAGAGTTTTAAAGATGATGTCATTCTCAAAGGATGCCTGGAGAGAGTTGCTTGTGTCTTTTCAAAAAAACATGTTAAAAATCAAATGCCTGTTGTCTGATGGCTGCAGGTGAACCTACTGTTTTATGCCTTATCCATTTGTGTGGAGTGCAGAAAGTTCTACCCCCAGAGAGGAGCAAGAAGCAAAAAGGGTGCAGGGCCTGCTATGACCATGGCACCTCTCCTGGAGGACCCAGAGTTTCAGTGTCTCCTCCTCCCTGTGATAAAACAACAGTTCTCCACCATCTGGTCCGCTCACCAAGACTGCCTTGTTAGTAGATCTCAGCAGGTGAGGCTTTGGAGCACAGGCACCAGGTCAGCCTAATACAGAGCTGGGAGACACTCTCAGGGCAGTCCTGATTTAAAATGCTATCCTGTTGTCCCAGGTATAAACCAAAAATAAAATTCTAAGCCCCCTCAGCCATCTGAATAGACCCCTCCTCGGGGCCAAGGGCATTTCAAAGTTAACCTGAACAACTAGTTAGTTCAGGCCATGATGGGAATGGGGAGCTGGACATGCCTCATTATACCCTCCTCCCTTTTGAATTACTGACAGAACAGACTCTTTACGTCTGATAAGAAACATTTGCAATCCATTCTCTCTGAAGCCTGCTACCTGGGGGCTTCATCTGCCTGATAAATACTTGGTCTCCACAACCCTTTATCATAACCCAGACATTCCTTTCTATTGATAATAACTTTTAACGAATAGCCAATCAAAAAATCTTTAAATCTACCATAACCTGGAAGCCCCCCACCCATGAGTTGTCCCACCTTTCTAGACCAAACCATTGTACATCTTACATGTATTGATTGATGTCTCATATCTCCCTGAAATGTATGAAACCAAGCTGTACCCCAACCCCCTTGGGCACATGTTGTTCGGACCTCCTGAGGCTGTGTCATGGTTCTTCCTTAACCTTAGCAAAATAAACTTTCTAAATTGACTAAGACCTGTCTCAGATACTTTTAGTTTAGGCAGGTGTGCCCTCCCACTTGTCAAACTCAGTCCTAAGTTTATGAAAGGTGGTCACTGGAAACTTAAGGAAGGATACCCTGAAGTGGGAGTCAGGAATCTTGGGTCCTGGGCCCAGCTTTGTCACTGACCTGGGCGATCTTAGATAAAAAAACTTCATAACCTGAAGCTTCAGCTTTCTCATCTGTATAATGGGGTGATTGGTCTAAGTTAGTGTTTCCCAATGGAGGCTGATATGATTTGGCTGTGTCCCCACCTGACTCTCACTTTGAATTGTAATAATCCCCACATGTCAAGGGTAGGGCCAGGTGGAGACAATTGAATCATGTGGTGGTTTCCCCTATACCATTCTCGTGGTAGTGAATAAGTCTCATGAGATCTGATGGTTTTATAGATGGGTGTTCCCTTGCACAAACTCTCTTGCCTGCCAACATGCAAGATGTGACTTCGCTCTTCATTCACCTTCTGGTATGATTGTGAGGCCTCCCCAGCCATATGGAACTGTGAGTCAATTAAACCTCTTTCCTTTATAAACTACCGTCTCAGGTACGTCTTTATTAGCAGAATGAGAACAGACTAACATAGAGGCACTACTGACTTTTCAGTTGGGATCATTCTTATGTGGAACTGCTCATATATAGGGGTTAAGGATGTTTAACGCTCCTTGACATCTGGTCTCTAATTCTCAGTTATAAAGCTGCCCATCCTCAGTTATTATGAAAACCAGAACCACACCCAAACATTTCCAAAAGCCCCATGACAGGAGATGGGGTGGGTAATGTCACCTGGTTAAGAATTATTGAACTAAGTAGTCTCTACAAGGGCCTTCCAACCAGATGATTCTTATCAATAAATGTTAGGACAAAGAGTTATACCGAGGCCATCTCCCTCCAATACTTGAGGTACACTGTGTCAACAATGGCTTTGTAAAAGTTTTATCAGTAGAGACCTACTTGGTTATCATGATTCCTGCAGTATTGTGTGTTTTGCTGCTGGTGTTTTGTTTTGTTCCATCTAATGCCTACATTTGTATGAGGCATTGATTTGAAGCCATTTAGGTCCCAGTAAAATGTCCCAGCTTTTTATTCCAACTACACAGAACATCCATTCATGTGATAATGAGTTTGCTGCTGCTTCACCTTCTCCAACAGGTCTGCTATTTCTAATTTGTACCTCTTCTTACCTATCAAGTAAAGCTCATGTCAACCTAAATAACAGAGAGAGGATCTCTAAAAGAAAAGAGATTTATTTGCGCCTAGGCATGGCAATGGGAATATGCATGCCAAATAAAACTACACAATTGTACAATACTTTACACAATTGTTTTGAAATAATTATCTTTGGCTATGAGGGTCACCACCAGTCTGATGTTGAACAGGCAGTTGCAGGGCAAATGTCCTTGCAGAAGTATTTTTTGTGTAAGGTTGTGATGGCCTTTGTGCAAGATTGTGGTTTTGTTGAGTTTTTAAACTCAGGCATACATGTGTGAGAACACTCTTCCCATTGCCTTCCCTAGCTCTATTTGTTACAGTTTTCTTCACATTAGTGACTCCATTTTGATTATGACAGCTTTCACAGTCAAATACTAAGACTTTCTGGTTTTGTACCACAAATTAAGAAAAACATAAAAATGCCCAAATATCTTTCCTAGAGCTGAGGACGTTAGTCTTTCCTAGATTTATTTGTTTTTCTTTTTGTTTTGTTTTGTTTTGTTTTGAAAACAGGGTCTGGGTCTGCCACCCAGGCTGGAGGGCAGTGGTGTGATCTTGGTTCGCTGCAACCTCTGCCTCACAGGCTCAAGCCATCCTCCCACCTCAGCCCTCCAAATAGCTAGGACTACAGGCACACACCACCACGCCCAGCTAATTGTACTTTATATAGAGATGGGGTTTCACCATGTTGCCTAGGCTGGTCTCAAACTCCTGAGCTCAAGTGATCTGCCTGCCTTGGCTTCCCAAAGTGCTAGGATTACAGGCGTGAGCCACTGCGTCTGGCCTTTTCCTGTATTTCAATTGGCCACTGTAGCATTGGGCTTGACAGCTTACTGCCTCCTTGCGGAAGCTCGCCTACCATCAGCAGCTGGCAGAATTTGAGCTGCAAATGGCCTCACTTTGCTGTTAATTGAAGTGATGCAGCATCCTGTCTTTAAGGGATTTGAATGTCTGTGTGTGCTTATGAAGCATGAATAAGTGATGACTTTCTGTCTAAGGATCTCTTTTGAAATTGACAGCCTGTGCTCCCAGCCAGGCCCTCAGCTTTGTGGTGCAACTCAGAGCCAAGACTGCTCTGGGGCTGTGGTTTTGCTTAGTACACACCTGTGACGTGGGGCTAATTGTGTTGTGTTTTGAAATCTCCTCTTCTTCCAGCCCAGTCTTCAGCAAGCGTCCTGTAAAATGAAACGCTTGTCACGTTCGGCTTTGTGGCTCTCCCTCCTGAGCCACCTGTGCAGGACGCTATGGCTGGAATTAACCTGTGCCAATGGGAGCCTGATCCAGTGTTTGGGGATGGTGGAGTTTAAGCTGGCCTTGCTGTATCTTTCTGCTCAGCCCTGCAGCCTGAGGGGGCCTCTCTCTGGTAGTGACAGACAAGACAGGCCAACTCAGAGGTGGGTGCTGGGAAGTCAGCCTGGAGCAGGATCCAGGGGCCACGAATGCTTCCCTGGCTGACAAGCACAGGCCAGGCAGAAATGCACCAACTGGAGAGAGGCCAGAGCCCACCTTCATTCATCAAGGCAGGTAGAAAAGTGGCAGTTGTTATTGATTGCCCTTGACTGTATTATTGCTACGTTGAAATATTAAATATTCTGCTCTGTGGAGAGTCCATCGTAAAATGTGCTTTCCCCGAGAATGTCCCGCTGTGCAGAAAGTGGAAGCATTTAAAATTTTTTCACTACCCCCAGCCATTGCAACATCATTCAGTTCTGTTATTGATTTCTTCAGGTTTTCAGCTCACCTTTCTTTTTGCCAACTCTGGCCAACAGACCCTCACTGGCTCACACTTTGACTATTGTTCCAAGCTCTAGGATAGAAACAAAATAAAGAGTAAGTGTTTCTCTTCCCACAGATCAAAGACCTTACAAGCTCCCCAAAAAAGAGCATTTATTAATAATTCTCTGTTGGTTGCTGTAGAACAAGTCGAAAGTTCTGGTTGTCCAAAATTATGTGAACATGCACTAGGAATAGACAGGTGTGGGATCCTAACTGCTTCAGCCCCACCCCACTCCTAACTACACCCATATGCCTTGTACAATAGGCACTTCTAGTTGGGAAGGATCCAGCACCCCTTGCTGCCTTAGGGAAGTGAGGAGGAAGCAGCGATAGAGTCAGAGAAGGAAAGACAACCTCATCTCCCAGAATCCTCAGGCAGCCACCATAACCCATTCAGCCTCCCAGCTTTGCAAATGCCCTAGGGCACTTGGTTATAATGCTATATTTGTGAATCATTCTTAATTACTCAATATTTAGAGACCAATTTGTGTTATGTTGATCCAAATCTTGCTATTCTGGGACATAGATTAAAAAAAAAAACTTTAAAAAAGCAAAATAGAATTTGGCTGTGTGTTGAAATTTCACAGGTTGCAGCAAGTACAACAGGGATGTATTCTGAGAAATGTATCATTAGGTGATTTCATCATTGTTTGAACATCACAGAGTGCACTTCCACAAACTTAGATGGTACAGCCTGCCACACACCTAGGCTCTATGGGATACCCTATTGCTCCTAAGCTACAAACCTGTACATCATGTTACTGTATTGAAAACTGTAGGCAATTGTAACACAATGGCAAGTATTGGTGTCTCTAAACACATCTAAACATAGAAAAGGCACAGTATAAGTACAGTTTAAAATATATTTTCTTAATTGTACACCTGTACAGGGTACTTAACATGAATGAAGCTTGCAGGACTGGAAGTTGTTCTGGGTGAGTCAGTGAGTGAGTGGTGAGTGAATGTGAAGGCCTAGGACATTACTGGACACTACTGCAGATTTTATACACACCGTACACTTAGGCTACATTAAATTTATAAAAAATTCTCTTCAATCATAACTTTAGCTTACTGTAACTTTTTTACTTTATAAACTTAACATTTTGAACACTTTTTGACTCTTATAATAATAGTTTAAAACACACATTGCACAGCTGTACAAAAATATTTTCTTTCCTTATATCTTTATTCTGTAAGGTTTTTCCTTTTTTTTTTTTTTTTGAGACGGAGTCTAGCTCTTTCACCCAGGCTGGAGTGCAGTGGCACAATCTCAGCTCACTGCAACCTCCGCCTCCCGGGTTCAAGCGATTCTCCTGTCTCAGCCTCCCGAGTAGCTGGGATTACAGGTGCCCACCATCACATTCAGCTAATTTTTGTAGTTTTAGTAGAGAAGGGGTTTCACTGTGTTGGCCAGGCTGGTCTCGAACTGCTGACCTCGTGATCCGCCTGCCTCGGCCTTCCAAAGTGCTGGGATTACAAGCGTGAACCACTGCACTCGGTCTACATTTTTAATTCTTTAAAAAACTAATATTCTCAGAACAAAGCCGGGTCCAGCTGCATTTGCCCGATAACAAGAAGCAGACAAACTAGGAAATAAGGGAATTCATTGCTGTAACTGGATACAGGGAGAAGGCCCGAGATAATTCCACCAGACCAACTCAAAGTGTTACAATTTTCTTAGTGCTTATATAGACTGGGGTTATGTGCCTATAAGCCGTATAGCATTCGCCTAAGTCTGTTGATAACTAATTTTGTTTCAACTAGAAGATCAGAGGCAAAAAATGCTTAGTTTGATTAAAAGGGCTCAGTACCTTCAGGCCTGTCCACTGTGGTACCAGGGTGATTATTTCTATCTTATCTCCTTTACAGCTTGGTCTGGAGAGCTGTGTTATGCTCTCCAATGAATCTATTCAAACAGCTGCCTCTGTTACCTTGACTTGTCTCAGTTTCCATCGACCCAAGATGGGTCCCGGCACTAGGAATGTAAGGCTGTCTCTATTACTTTGACTTGCTCCAGGTTAGGGAAAAGTCCATGCAAGGCTCCTACTGACCATATGTTTCACTTCTAGCTTTGATGTCTGGGCACCAATTTCCCCAGGTTTAACGATTTGCTCAATGTTAAGGCAGTGCTGTGGAAATTTGTCTGTGTAACTGGAGAGCTATGCAGGCCTGTCTGTGTGCCTGGCATGCAGGCCTGTCTGGGCAATTGTCAGGGAGAATTGGCCTGCCACACTAAGACACAAACACACACATTAGCCACCTCCACAGAGTCAGGATCAGCATGATGTGTCCAGGTGATAGGAATTTCTCAGCTCCATTATCATCTTACAAGACCACAATTGTATATGCAGTCTGTCTTGGCTAAAATATCGTTAAATGGCACATGACTGTGCTTAAACTGGATTCAGTCACTATTTCCTACAATGACACTTGTAATTAAAACACGGGGTCTTAATTCAGAATTTATTTTCTTAGTCTTTTACAATAGAACAAGCGTTGGCAAACTACAACCCACAGGCCCACCCCCTGTTTTTGTAAATAAAGTTTTATTGGAGCACAGCCACACCTACTCGTTTACATATTTTCTATTACTACTTTTGCTACAACAGCAGAGTTGGATAATTGGGACAGAGACCATATGGCCTGCAAAGCCTAAAATATTTACTATCTCCCCTTTGCCATCTCCTGTCCTGGAATTAACAAAAAATAACTAATGAAAACGCAAATGTTTCTTTAATGGGCAGGGCGATAGTTCTAGCATATGGGCTCTGCCTTCAGACCAACTTAAGGTCAAATTCCAGGTGTCTTTCTTACTAGCTGTGGGATCTGGTGTAAATGTGCAGCCTCATTTTCCTCTGCTGCAAGTAACAGATATCTCAACTCAAACCAACTAAAAAGATTATAAAAAGTGTCATCTCATATAGAAGGAAGTAAGGAAGAGAAACAGGATTTCAGGGTTAGCAGATTAAAAGACTCCAAGGCCCCGGGTTTCTAGCACCTCTCTCTCTTCCTGCCACTCTCAGTGATGTCTGCATGCTCAAACTGATAGCAGGAAAGATGCAGCAGTGCCAGACAACACATCTAGACTCAAAGATGTTCAAAAGACTTAAACTGATTTCCTTCTGGTACCCTCTTGGGATCAAGGACAAACTTTCCCAAAGCCTAACAACTGGTCTTCTCTCCTCTCTCATTAGCAGGTCACATGGCCATTGTTGAACCATTCATTGGAAAGAGGAATAGGATTGCCTGTATGCTAATCATGCCGCATGTAGAATTGAAGATGAAGTCAAATTCTGCAGAGGAACAGAGCTGCAAAAGGAAAAAGGAAATATCTGAACAAAATTGGGATTAGGAAGAGAAACGGAGGATGCCAATTCTGAGAAAGCAACCAAGAGAGCCCACTAAACTGGCCACTAAAATGTTTCATCCCTTACACAGGTCATGGACTAAGAAAAAAAGAAAAGAGAAAAAAATGTTTCATCCTTCCAAACACCTTTCTAGAACTATTTTGTTCTGCCCTACACACTCCCACCAAATGATCTCACTCACAGCTACATTTCAAGTGTCAGCTTATGAGCTGTTGGCTTATAAATTCATATTTTCAGCCCAGACCTTTTTACTGGGATCCAGATCTGTATATCAAACGGCCTTCTTGAAATCTTCTTTTGGATATCCCAAAGGCACTTCAAGTTCAGCTTGTTTAAAAGCAGATAGAGGATCTTCGATACCCCCCGCAACACAAACAACCCACATCTCTGCCCCAACCAGAACCATGCACAGTCTCCTCTATCCCAGTGAGTGGCAACATCATTCATCCAGGGACAGTAGCCTGAAACCTGAAGCCATCCTAGACACTTCCTTCTCCCTCACCTGCTTCTATCCAACCATCATCAGGTCTACTGAATTCAGCTCTTCCTCTCTGTCACCAATATTGCTCATGCTACTGAGAGACAGGACAAGCTGGATTTCCTAGGCTGACTAAGAATCCCTAAGCCTAGCTGGGAAGGTGACCACATCCACCTTTAAACATGGGGCTTGCAACTTAGCTCACACCGACCAACCAGGTAATAAAGAGAGCTCACTAAAATGCTAATTAGGCAAAAACAGGAGGTAAAGAAATAGCCAATCATCTATTGCCTGAGAGTACAGTGAGGGGGACAATGATCGGGATATAAACCCAGGCCTTCAAGCCGGCAATGGCTACCCTCTTTGGGTCCCCTCCCTTTGTATGGGAGCTCTGTTTTCGCTCTATTAAATCTTGCAACTGCGCTCTCTTCTGGTGCATGTTTGCTATGGCTCGGCTCTAGCTGAGCTTTTGTTCACTGTCCACCACTGCTGTTTGCTGCCGCCGCAGACCTGCCACTGACTTCCATCCCTTCGGATTCGGCAGGGTGTCCTCTGTGCCCCTGATCCAGCAAGGCACCCATTGCTGCTCCTGATCGGGCTAAAGTCTTGCCATTGTTCCTGCATGGCTAAGTGCCCAGGTTCGTCCTAATTGAGCTGAACACTAGTCACTGGGTTCACAGTTCTTTTCCGTGACCCATGGCTTCTAATAGAGCTATAACACTCACTGCATGGCCCAAGATTCCATTCCTTGGAATCCATGAGGCCAAGAACCCCAGGTCAGAGAACATGAGGCTTGCCACCATTTTGGAAGTGGCCTGCCGCCATCTTGGGAGCTCTGGGAGCAAGGACTCCCCCGGTAACACTACCATCATCTCTCATCTGAATAAGTGAAATAGCCTAACAGGTGCACTCACAGCCTCTCTTGCTGCATCCAATAAGCTCTCCAGAGGGATGTTCTTACTGTAATGTTAAAAATTGATCATGTGACAGCCTCTTCTCAATTTGAGGCCCTTTAAAAATCTTACCAATTTTAGAAGAATCCATCCTTAAAATAAGCCTTGAAGCTCTGCTAATCTGGTCCCTGCTTACCTCTCTAGCCTCATCTCAGCCACACTCACCCTTGATGTCTATACTCAATCACATGAGCTATGACAGAGGCAATATCTGAATGCCCTTCCTTTGGAGGATTTCCCAACTTATGAATCTTTGCAGGCAACAGTTTCTCCCACTATTAAAGCTGTGCTTTCATGGTGTCCCTTGCAGCTAAGGCACTGGCCTGTGACACTCCAGCCATCAGCTGTCCCCACACCAGACTCTGGCACTTATGACACAAAAGAATGCAAAATAGTACAATCTGTTGAAATGAGCATGGAAGTTATGATTGCTGTCATGAGTGTGCAGAGACAGCAGGGGAAGCAGACACAGCAACAGCCACTGCTGGTAGTGGTTAGGTAAGCAGAGCCAGCAGAAGAGTCTGTGCCCCATAAAAGCAGCACTAGGGGGGCTTCCTGAGGCCAGGTCTATAGCAGGATTTTGAATGTTCCTCTTGGGTGTGTTTCTCCTGTCTTTCCGGAGAGTTTGGGAACTGCTCAATATCCTGTAATCAATTCTTTTTGTGCTTAAATTAGCCAGAGTGGACCTATTTGCAAGGTAAAAACCCTGACTTCTAATTTGTTCCAGAAGTGATGACAACGAATAGACCCTTAAGATAATAGGATGAATCTGAACTTGATTATCTGGTACAGTTGAGGGTGCAGTGAGTAAAATGCAGCAAATCCACACAGTATGGTATCCAGTGATTAAACTGTTAGGTAAATTATTAACTGTATTATCTGGAACAGAGTGTCCACTAAAGGTAGGGCTTGGGGGAATTAAGTGGCATCTGCCATAGAAGAGTTATCAAAAGCACAAGGACCAGCTTTTTAATTCAAGGACCAGCTGGGGAGGTGGTTGTTTCTTAGTGACACTGAAGAGATTAAAGAAATAAGAATGACAAGCTCTAAGTCCTAAATACTCAGTTCAAGACAGGAACAGAAGTAATGACTGCTGAATTAATATGTCATAGTGTGAAGCTGCAGGCAGAGATAGGCAAAAACTGAACTGGAAATTTGATCCTATGGATTGCTGAATTACAATATCAGGTTAATGCATAGCATCATTTATTCCTATGTAGAAGTTTGGACATGGATTAAGAAACAGTAGATTGGAATGGAATGGGATATGAAAGGAGAATTCAAATGCCTCCCAAGCTTTCAAACCCCAGCTGAAGGAGTCTTTCCTTTCACTTCTGATGAAGCTCTCCCTTTTTGAGGACCCCAAAGATCATGGCTGAGACAGGTATCTTGCCAAGTGAGCCAATTCACCTCACGATTTAGCCCTGCCACCCTTATAGTTTCCAGGCTCATGGCTAGATTCCAGTCTTATGGCTGGAATTTATGACCTGTAATTACAAAGACAAGCCCAGTAGGAGATGTACATGCCAAAGGATATGCAAGCTATTGCTCATTTTCATTTTCAAACACTTGCAGAGTATTGGTCTAGACCAAAGAGGGAGAAACATAATTTTAGATCCGGCTGAATTTACTAGCCCCTCTGTGGACCAGAACATCTAAATTCAATATGCTAGCTTGAGCAGCTGGAAGTGACTTTAGTTGGTTCCAATTAATTGACCGATACCTGGGCTCAGGGGTGGCCTAACTGCAAGATGTTGAAATGCCAGAAATTCGCTGGCACAGCAAATTTAGGTTGGTGCTTTTCAAACTTTAACGTGCACATGAATAGCATGAGAGTCTTGTTAAAATTCTGATTCAGTAGGGTCTTTGGTAGAGTCCAAGATTCAGAATTTCTAACAAGCTCCCAGAGGATCCCAGTATTCCTGGTCCTCATACCTTATGAGCAGCAAATATACAGGAAAGGATCCAGTGCCCTAGGGATATAGGAATGTTGAGGACTTATTATGGGCATCCCATTTACCCATCTTCTATATATTGCAAGACAGCCCAGAAGATGCTCCTTTTATCACCCCCAGAAATTACAATGGTGAAATTATTGCCATCGTCTTCAAAAGTAATGGCACGAGCTTTTCTCTATAGGTTGAGGATGCTGGTGAGAGAAACTGAGATGGAAATGGGTTTTCTGATTTCAATGACAATGCTGGGATTCCAGGGCACATAAAGCCTAGAATCTGCATTTACCTCCCTGAGGCAAGATGGGGGTTGTTATTGAATAGGATGTGGGACTAGAGTAACAGGATGATTGATTTACCACAGGGATCTTTGGCAATGGTCATTGACTGTGACCTCCTTAGACTGAAATAGACATCCAGTCCACTTAATTCCTTCTTGGCCAAAATAACAAATAAGTAAACAAAATCTAAATCTGATGAACAGAGGCCAGAGACACCACATAGTTATGGCTCCTGTCTTGGGTCAAGTTCTTTGAAGTAAACCCTGAAATGAAGATTTCTATGCAAGTAATTGACTAAGAAAGTGTTCCCAGGAGAAACCGGTAAGGAAAGAGGAAGCATGATAGGAAAGGGAGAGAAGCCAAGAAAGGTTGCAGTTTCAGGCCAAGCCCTAGCTTTGGCCTGATCCCACATGGGAACTCGAGTTTAAATTATGCTTGAGTTTGACCCAACTCCAGACAAGGAAGCTGGACCAATCAGTCTTTGAGTAGAAGCCCCAGGAGGGAAAGAGGTCATGAATTCCTAGGCACATCCAGCTCTCTGCATGTGGCCAAAGTGCCTCCAATAGTTACAGGACACAGCTCTGAAAAGAGTTACAAGTATAAGATATTAGAAGCAAAAGAACCCCAAACAAGGGGAAGGGGTGCACAGAAATGGTAAAAAAGACCCAAGGGGCTATGGATGGGCAGAGAATGTCTACTATAATACCCCATCCCAGGCTTAGTTAATTCAAAGACCTAGAGTGACCTGAATGAAGAGGCATTGCAAGTGAAATATCCTGTGGATCACCCCAAGTATATGCTGTAAATATTCCTTTTAGACTTGTCAGGTGATAATCAGGTGATGTTTGAAGTTTGGCGTGAATCCATCTCATGGTGGGTTTACTGAGGCTTTAACACTAATTCAAGGTTATTCACCCATTCCTGGATGTAGAGTTGGAGTAGATATAGTCTACAATGGTCAAAAATCCTACATTGGCCTCCTGATCTGAGGAAGAGAGGTTATTGTAATAGGAAGAAATGAGAGGAAGCCCCTGGAACTTCCCTGATATGGTTTGGCTGTGTCCCCACCCATCCAAATCTCATCTTGAATTGTAGTTCCATAATTCCCACATGTCATGGAAGGGACCCAGTGGGAGGTAATTGAATCATGGGGGCAGGTACCCCCATGCTGTTCTCATGATAGTGCGTGAGTCCTCACAAGATCTGATGGTCTTATAAGGGGCTTTTCCCTCTTTGCTCAGCACTTTTCCTTCCTGCCGCCATGTAAAGAAGGATGTGTTTGCCTCCCGTTCTGCCATGACTGTAAGTTTCCTGAGGTCTCCCCAGCCCTGCAGAACTGTGAGTCAATTAAACCTCTTTCCTTTATAAATTACTCAGTGTCAGGCATTTCTTTATAGCTGCTTGAAAAGGAACTAATACAGTAAGTTGGTATTGGTAGAGTGGGATGCTGCTATAAGGATACCCAGAAATTTGGAAGTAACTTTAGGTAACAGGCAGAGGTTGGAAGAGTTTGGGGGGCTTAGAAGAAGACAGGAAAATGTGGGAAAGTTTGGAACTTCCCAGAGACTTGGAGGTCTCAGAAGACAGGAAGATGTGGGAGAAAGTTTAGAACTTCCTAGAGGCTTGTTGAATGGCTTTGGCAAAAATGCTGATAATAATATCAATAATGAAGTCCAGGCTGAGGTGGTCTCATTGAAAATGAGGAACGTGTTAGCAACTGGAATAAAGGTGATTCTTGCTATGCTTTAGCAAAGAGACCGGCAGCATTTTGCTGCTGCCCTAGAGATCTGTGGAACTTTGAACTTGAGAGAGATGATTTAGGGTATCTGGCAGAAATTTCTAAGCAGCAAAGGGTCAAGAGGAAGCAGAGCATAAAAGTTTGGAAAATTTGCAGCTTGATGATGCAACAGAAAAAAAAAACCATTTTCTGGGGAGAAATTCAAGCCCTCTGCAGAAATTTGCATAAGCAACAAGGAGACGAGTGTTAAACACCAAGACAATGGGGGAAAATATCTCCAGGCCGTGTCAGAGACCTTCATGGCAGTCCCTCCCATTACAGGCCCAGAGGCCTAGGAGGGAAAAATGGTTTCCTGGGGCCAAGCTCAGGGCCCCCTGCTCTATGTAGCCTTGGGATATGGTACCCTCCATTCCAGCTGCTTCAGCTTTAGCTGGGGCTAAAAGGGGCCAAGGTACAGTTTGGGCCATTACTTCAGAGGGTGCAAGCTCCAAGCCTTGGTGGCTTACATGTGGTGTTGAGCCTGTGAGTGCAGAGAAATCAAGAATTGGGGTTTGGGAACCTCTGTCTAGATTTCAGAGGATGTATGGAAATGCCTGGATGTCCAGACAGAAGTTTGCTACAGGGGCAGAGCCCTCATGAAGAACCTCTGCTAAGGCAGTTCAGAATAGAGATGTGGGGTAAGAGCCTCACCCCCCTCCACCAAGTCCCCACTGGGGTACTGCCTAGTGGAACTGTGAGAGGAGGGCCACCATCCTTCAGACTCCAGAATGGTAGATCTGCCAAAAGCTTAAACCATGCACGTGGAAAGCCTGCAGACACTCAACGCCAGCTGTGAAAGCTTCCAGGAGGGGGTGCTGCATAACAAACTACCCCAAAACGTAGTATCTTAAAGCAACAAACATTTATTATTTCACATACTTTTTAAGAGTCACTACCATGGTTTGAGTGTCCCCTTCAAAACTCAAAACTTGAAATTTAATTTCTGTTGTAACAGTATTAAGAGGCGGAACCTTTAAGAAGTGATTAGGCCATGAGGGCTCCACCCTCATGAATGGATTAATGCCATTGTCATGGAAGTGGATTAGTTACGAGTTGGGTTCTTGATAAAAATAATGAATTTGGTCCTATTTTCTCTGTCTTGTGCACTCACTTCTGCCTTCCACCTTCCACCATGGGATGACCCTCACCAGATGCCACCACCTTGCTCTTGGACTTCCCAGCTTCTAGAATCATGAGTCAAATAACCTTTTATTGTTTATAAATTATTGTTGCAACTGCTGGAAACTGAGCACAGCTAATCTTATTGTCACCACCCTCACAGTCTGTAGTATTATTGTAGCAGCAGAAAACAAAGATAGAAATCTAGGAGTGGGTTAGCTGGGTGGTTGTGGCTCAGGGTTTCTCTACAAAGCTGTAATCAAGGTGTCAGTCAAGGCTGTAATCATCTGAAGGCTTGACTGGTGCTGGAAGATCCACTTCCAAGGTGGTTCACTCACATAGCTGCTGGTAGGAGGCTTTGGTTCCTCCTTGGCTACTGGCAAGATCTTCAGTTCAGCCTCTCCATAGCCTGTTTGAGTGTCATCATAACATGGCAAACCGGCTTGTGCCAGAACATGTGATCCAAGAGAGAAAGCAAGGCAGAAACCGTAGTGTTTTTATAACCTAGTTTCTGGAGCTACATACCATCACTGCTGCTGTATTCTATTGGTCACCCAGACCAGTTCTGATACAATGTGGGAGATGGGGACTACATGAAGCATGGATACTGGGAGGCGAAGATCATTGGGAGCTGTCTTGGAGATTTACTATCACATATTGTTTCTTCTTGCTGATGGAGTGCTATTGGGCACATCTGCCTTATTGCTTGGAATATCAGAAATACCCAGTCAGTGAAGAGAAACTCACACGCTATGTCACTTGGTGACTAGGAACTCAATCTCTATTGACATCTAGTAGCAATCCAGGAATGATTTTTCAAAAGGAGAATAGTTACTTTCTAAGGAGAGTGTGATTTTACTTCAAGACTCTTCAGAGTTATGGCTAAAATCTTCCACTTGGGGCTAGAAGTAGGCCTAAATTGGTGGTACCAATGATGCCAGTTTTAATGATAACTTCATGGCACATGCTCCATGAAATTATTTCAGACATGGTTACTGGACTTGCTTCTTCAGTACTCCAAGATCTCTGTATACTATCCAATCTTTTAATAAATTCCTTTTCAGCAAAAATTGGCCAGAATTTTTTCTGTTTTTTTTTCCAGTTTGGAACCCAGAGTAACAAATTAGCTATCATTTATTCTCTCATATCAGCTACGTTTCTTTCTGCTACATGCCTTTACACATATTCTTTCCTCCATCTGCCTAAAACATGCTTTCTTCTCACTTTATTTACTTATTTTCTATTCATTCTTACAATCTTGGCTCAATTGTGCTTCTTAAGGAAGCCTTCCCTGATCCATCTCTAAGTATTCTCATAGTGCCATTTACCTCCCATTCCCATTACTAATCATGTTTGTGTGACTATTTTATCAATGAAGATATCCCCTCTAGCATATAAGCTCCCTGACTGCAAGAGCCATACCTGTTTGGGTCAACATTTTATTTTCAGAGACTACTCCTGTGCCTGGGGCATTATAAGCACATTTGTCTAATAAATGTGTGACAGAAAAGTTCTTTCTCCAACTATTCAAGGACTGGTAGCGAAGAATAAAATAAGCATATATGTAAAGCAGACATCAGAATTTTGGGCATAGAGAAGCAGACTAGTAAATGTTTATTCCATTCTTCCTAGTTTTGTTCACCCACCATCCCCAGCTCATCTTCAACCCTTTCTTGGTCTTCAGCCAAACAGGTAAAGGATATTTTATAAATTCTCAGAACACAGTCAATGGCGCATACTGGCACCACTACATTGTGAACATTTTAGTTACTTTGACTCTTTGGTAATCAAAACTAAATTACCAAATTGAAAAAAGACTTAAATTTTGTTCTACCTGCAGAAAGAATCCAAATCTCTCTCAAAATTCTGGCTTGTTAGAGCTCTTCCTGTTCCTAATACCTCCACCTAAATTATATGCCTCTAGAGCTCTCCAAGCTATGAACTGCTTTTTCGTTCTTAGCTTCATTTGTATGGCATAGGCTTGAGTGCAGGCTCTTTTCGGTCCCCCTCACTGATTAATTTATTTGATTTTACTTTTTGTTCTTAGCTTGAAGTACAAATTAGAAGCTTCTTTGGGTGGCTGATATAAGGATATATAACTAAATATATATCCTTACATGAGGATTTACAAGACAGGGTGATCCATGTGAAACACACACACACACACACACAGCATGAACTTGGAGGTTGGCACAGTCCCATCCACCCACAAGCAACTTCACAGAGATGTTGCCATGGCATTTCTTCAACAATGAGCAAGACTCCCTGCCTGAATGCTATTGTTCTTCTAGAGATTCTCCAGCACCTGCAAATTCTGTTTAAATGTCAGATGACAAAACAAGGCCCCTAACTATTTTACTATTCACTTTTGGTCGAACTGAACACAAAGCCACCAGTTAAGAGGATGGGTTCATCAAAGACATCAGAGGGAGGCACTTTCCATTCAGAGGATTTTAAGGGCCGATCCTCATTCACTTAATGTTTTGTTAATTCAAAAATGGTAAAAGCTTTTTAAAAAATCTGTTCATTTCTAGTTCTCCATTTTGAAAGTCTAAGTTACCTTAGTGAGAAGGCAGCCCAGTCCAAATTGCATTTTATGTAATTTACCCTAATTAGACTGCAAAAATTCTCAGCAAGGAATCCGGGAAGCACTCTGAAGCCTTTCTCCCCACCCGCTGAAATTAGAGCTGTCGCCCATTTTTCTGTCACAAAAACTAGACACATAACATTCTGTAAATTATTCTACCAGTGTAGGAGGAAAATATAATAAAAGGAAGTCGTTTATGCAGGAAAGAACATTCTAGCAGCACTGAGATAAGCCTCTCCCAGCCTAATCCTATTTCAATTTCTTTATCCTAGAAAATCAGTGAGCTGCATCAGGACCCTTCTGCACATCCTCCCAGATCCAGGGGAGCTCCTGGCAATAGACTGAGGGCCTGCCCCAACAGTGGCATCATAAAATTATTGGACATCAGCCTGCTCTGCGAAGTTGTACTGAAGTTTCCAGAGGTGTGTGGGCTCTTACATTTTATATCTGCTTTATCTGAAATATTAACTTGCTGCTATAGGCCAAACCATGACCTTACTGAACTGAAATCCAAACCCAGCAATTTAATCAGTCTTGCTTCCAAGAACGTAAACACATTTTTCTCTTTTGGGGGGTGGGGGGGCAGAAGGAGTGTTTGTTTTTATTAAAACAGGAGAGTGCATTAACTTTGAATTGGTAAACTTGAGTTCTAGTCAGGTGTGCTGTATTAGTCCATTTTCACACTGCTATAAAGAACTGCCTGAAACTGGGTAATTTATAAAGGACAGAGGTTTAATTGACTCACATGACTGGGGAGGCCTCAGGAAAATTACAATCATTGGAGAGGTGAAGGAAGTACCTTCTTCACAAGACGGCAGGGGCAGAGTGGTAGGGGCAGTGGCGGGGAACTGCCAAACACTTTAAAACCATCAGATCTTATAAGAACTCACTATCATGAGAACAGCATGGGGGAAATCACCCCCATAATCCAATCACCTCCCACCAGGTCCCTCCCTCGACACGGGGTATTACAATTCAAGATGAGATTTGGATGGGGACACAGAGCCAAACCATATCATATGCCCACGGACTAGTTGTCTATTTTAGCCAAATTACTTTCTTTCTCATTGGTAAAATTAGCATTGGATTAGATAATCTCTAAATATTTGAAATCCAGATGGAATTCCGTTGAGCCAAACCTAGACTGTTAAGTAAAACAGGCATTAACTAGAGATACAACTTCAGAAGAAAAGTAAATAAAAGGGATGTCTGAGTGTCCTCTGCCAGTCAGCAGGTCAATGAATATTTAATGACCACCTGCTTTATGCTAGGCACTTTCAGAAGTGGTCTGGGTTCAGCTTGTTTTCTTGGTGGTTCCAGGAAAAGGACTCTGGGGACTCAAATTTTGTCCATGGCACTTACTACTGCTAAGCTGTGAAGGCCTAGCTTCTCTAGGAAGTCTTACCGGATAGCTCAGTCCAGTATGCACTTGAGGGACAGGATCTCTGAGTTCGAGTGCCTTCCCTCTGACCCTTGCTTCTAGCAGGACTCAAGTATGCAATAGCCTAACTGCCTGAGGCTAGCTGGCCATAGAGTACCTTCAGCAGGGATATTTGAAAATATTTAACAATTGGCAAGGCACATGCTCTATCAGAGTAAATACTGGACATCCTGATGGTCTGACCAGTGCAAACAGTTGAATGTCAGCCCTGAGACCACTCTAATCTGGTGCAGCATAATGCCACAGGACCTTTGCACATGCCTGCCTGGAATGATTACTTTCCTCTCTTCACCAAACTAATGGCTACTGATTCATATGGGTGAGGTGAATCCAATCAACCTATGCTACAGGTGCCCTAGAAACACTAATTTTCTATGCAGATCCAATTGTCCTTGGTCTTATCCCCACCCACAAGCAGCAGCACTGATTAAACACTAGCAGTAAGCATAGCATTGAAACATTTATGTCTGTAGTTCTCCACCTGGGCTGGGAATGAGGGGAGTAGTATGGCAAAAATTCCCAAGGGATATTATTAGTTTGGCTAGGCCTGGTCTCTCACATTGATGAATAATATGTATAGACCAATAAATAATATTGAATTCAGGTATGCTTTCACATAATGAAATTGATATGTTCTTGAAAGTGGTCTCTAAGGCAAATGTTTCTAGCCTGAATCAACATTTCCCATTGGTTTCCATTAGAATTTCAAAGCTAATGTTGCCACTGAGAAAAATAATTGTCTTAAAGACAATTAAGAACACTATTCAGGCTGGGTGCTGTGGCTCATGCCTGTAATCCCAGCACTTTGGGAAGCCGAGGTGGGTGGATCACTTGAGGTCAGGAGTTTGAGACCAGCCTGGCCAACATGGTAAAATCCTGTCTCCACCAAAAAATATAAAAATTAGGCCGGCATACTGGCGGGTGCCTGCAGTCCTAGTTACTCAGGAGGCTGAGGTGGGAAAATCACTTTAACCTGGTTGGCAGAGGTTGCAGTGAGTGGAGGTTGCAGTGAGCAGAGGGTGCCACTGCACTCCAGCCTGGGTTACAAAATGAGACTGTCTTAAAAAAATAAAATAAATAAAAAATAAAAGAATACTATTCAGCAATAAAAAGGTAATAAACTGTATGACTCCATGTATATGACAAAACCATAGGGACAGAAAACAGATCACTGGTGACTGGGGATAGGGGAAGGGGATTGACTGCAAAGGGTATGACAAAACCAAAATGAGTGACAGATGTAAGTCTCAGCCATTGAGGTTTATCGAGCCAGCTTGAGGGTAGGCCCAGAGAAGAAGGAGAGTCACAGATGCATCTGTGTCTGTTTTTTCCCAAAGAGATTCTCAGGAGGCTTAGTATTTTATACATTTTCCTTTAAAAAAAAAAGTGGAGGTGGCAGTGAGACAAATGGTTACATGCTTGTGAGACTTTAGTTAGTGCCACTAAATCTACATGTTACATAAGACAAGCTGAACATTGGAAGAAAAAGGGAAGAGAGGATGTGGACATCTCAGGGAGGGGTGAAGGAACAATTAATCTCCTCTTGTCTTTATTCTGTACCTGGGAAGATAAGCTGGTAATGGACATTATCAGTGTGGAGGGTTCTGAAAGGGCTGGTTTCTGTGTGGCCCTTAGGGAAGAAAGTCTAATGGTGGTTAGGGTGGGAGATGGTATAATGAGGCCTCCCCAACCTCCCTATTCTGTCATTGCTGGGAACTCAGCTTCCAAAGTTTCTCTGCAATCCCCCTTTCCAATAGGGGGTCCATTCAGTCAGATGGGGCTTAGAATTTTATTTTTATTTCTCAGGTAGGAAGGAACTTTGGGGTGATAGAAATTTTGATTATGGTGGAGGTTACATGATTGTATGTGTTTGTCAAAATGCAAAAAAGTAACACCTTAGAAGAATTTTACTGTATTTAAATTATACCTCTATAAACGTGAATTACCAAAAAACAAAAATCAAAAAAAAAAAAAAAAACAAAAACAGAAAAAGTACAATTAAAGGTGAAATAATAAAACTCCAAAACTTAGCATGTAAGGCTATTTCATGACTTTCTAGATAGAACAAAAGTTGCGTGTGATGAAATCACCTTTTTTTTTATGGCATAAGTGTCCCTAAGATTAATAAGCAAGACATCTTGCATGACATTCCCTTGCCAGGGCAGCGTCTGAGAATGGGTGGAAACAGGGAATGATGTGCATGTCCCCAGGCCAAGTCAAAGGCCACACCACTTTGTGTCAGGCCAAATGCATGGGGCAAAAAGTTGGAGATAAATTCTGAGCTGGATAGTGGGAAGGAAAGCAGTGGGCTAGGAGACTGGACAGAAACACAGAGAAATGTGGATGCTAAGATTGAGACGGGCAGAAGCAAAGGAAACTGGCAGAATACCCTGAGAGGCCACACATGGGCCTGTGCTCTAAAGGTGTGGAAACCAAGGAATCCCGTCACTCAAAACAAATCTCTGCACCTTTAAGTCTCTACTTAATTCCATTCAAGTATCTTTAATGTGACTCTTCCCATACAAGGATAACCTGAATAGATGGGGAGTGTAGCACATGAATTAAAATCCCACTAAATTTGGAATTTTTAACAATTCAGCTTTTGGGTATTTGTTTCTTACTGCCTAAAAAATTACACATTTTTTCTTCTGTAATTTTTTAAATTATACTTTAAGTTCTGGGATACATGTGCAGAATGTGCAAGTTTGTTACATAGGTATACACATGCCATCAACCCATCATCTACATTAGGTATTTCTCCTAATGCTATCCCTCCCTTAGCCCCCCACTCCCTCACAGGCCCTGGTGTGTGATGTTCCCCTCCCTGTGTCCATGTGTTCTCATTGTTCAACTCCCATTTATGAGTGAGAACATGCGGTGTTTGGTTTTCTGTTCCTGTGTTAGTTTACTAGGAATGATGGTTTCCAGCTTCATCCATGCCCCTGCCAAGGACATGAACTCATGCTTTTTTATGGCTGCATAGTATTCCATGTTATATATGTGCCACATTTTCTTTATCCAATCTGTCATTGATATGCATTTGGGTTGGTTCCAAGTCTTTGCTATTGTGAATAGTGTTGCAATAAACATACATGTGCATGTGTCTTTATAGTAGAATAATTTATAATCCTTTGGGTATATACCCAGTAATGGGATTGCTGGGTCAAATGGTATTTCTGGTTCTAGATCCTGGAGGAATCACCACACTGTCGTCCACATGGTTGAACTAATTTACACTCCCACCAACAGTGTAAAAGCATTCCTATTTCTCCATATCCTCTCCAGCATCTGTTGTTTCCTGACTTTTTAATGATTGTCATTCTAACTCGCATGAGATGGTATCTCATGTGGTTTTGATTTGCATTTCTCTAATGACCAGTGATGATGAGCTTTTTTTCATGTTTGTTGGTCACATAAATGTCTTCTTCTGAGACGTGTCTGTTCATATCCTATGCCCACTTTTTGATGGGGTTTTCTTTCTTGTAAATTTGTTTAAGTTTCTTGTAGATTCTGGATGTTAGCCCTTTGTCAGATGGATAGATTGCAAAAATTTTCTCCCATTCTGTAGGTTGCTGTTCACTCTGATGATAGTTTCTTTTGCTGTGCAGAAGTTCTTTAGTTTAATTAGATCCCATTTGTCAATTTTGGCTTTTGTTGCCATTGCTTTTGGTGTTTTTAGTTATGAAGTCTTTGCCCATGCCTATGTCCTGAATGGTATTTCCTGGGTTTTCTTCTAGGGTTTTTATGATTTTAGGTCTAACATTTAAGTCTTTAATCCATCTTGAGTTAATTTTTGTATAAGGTGTAAGGAAGGGGTCCAGTTTCAGTTTTCTGCATAGTGCTAGCCAGTTTTCCCAACACGATTTATTAAATAGAGAATCCTTTCCCCATCGCTTGTTTTTGTCAGGTTTGTCAAAGATCAGATGGTTGTAGATGTGTGGTGTTATTTCTAAGGCCTCTGTTCTGCTCCATTGGTCTATATCTCTGTTTTGGTACCAGTAGCATGCTGTTTTGGTTACTATAGCCTCGTAGTATAGTTTGAAGTCAGGTAGCATGATGCCTCCAGCTTTGTTCTTTTTGCTTAGGATTCTCTTGGCTATACAGGCTCTTTTTTGGTTCCATATGAAATTTAAAGTAGTTTTTTCTAATTCTGTGAAGAAAGTCAGTGATTCTTCCTATCCATGAGCATGGAATGTTTTTCCATTTGTTTGTGTCTCCTCTTATTTCCTTGAGCAGTGGTTTGTAGTTCTCCTTTAAAAGGTCCTTCACATCCCTTGTAAGTTGTATTCCTAGGTATTTTATTCTTTTTGTAGCAATTGTGAATGGGAGTTCATTCATGATTTGGCTCTCTGTCTATTATTGGTATATAGGAATGCTTGTGATTTTTGCACATTGATTTTGTATCATGCGACTTTGCTGAAGTTGTTTATCAGCTTAAGGAGATTTTGGGATGAGATGATGGGGTTTTCTAAGGCGACGCCCCACCCTGCTTCACCTCACCCTCGGTGGGCTGCACCCACTGTCTAACCAGTCCCAATGAGATGAGCCAGGTACCTCAGGTGGAAATTCAGAAATCACCCGCCTGCTGCATTGGATCTTGCTGGGAGCTGCAGACTGGAGCTGTTCCTATTTGGCCATCTTGCCAGCCACCCTCTTCTGTAACTTTTTTTCAGATATTTTACCACTTATCTGCAATCTTACAACACCTTTAAACTAGAGGCATAGTAAGATGCAAATTTTTAAATATACCATCACTACGTCTAGCGATGAGTTGTTTTAATTTAGAAAAGTACTTTAAATACAATGCATGACGCCTTAATATAAAATGTAAGCCTATTATGAATCCTCATTCTTTGTCAACTTCCTTTATCAATATGCCCTTTTATTGGCATTTACAATAAGTACTCTGATATATACTAGAATGTATCCTCTTATTACTATATATAAATACATGCCTGTGCATACACATACAAGTCTGTATAAAGTATATGTACGCACATATGTATACTCTCTCTATAGAGAGAGAATTTATTCTCATATATATGCTTTTCAATGTCTTTGATTTTCCTGTCATCTCACTGAGTCAGACTGCCTTTGCCACCAGCATTTTGAGTTACAGCGGTGAGATTCTACTATATGCAAAATAAACAGGTTATCATCAGTCAAAAAACATATGGAAATCTCAGAGTTGTGGCCATAAGGTAGAGAGACAGATCTTTGGACAAAACATACCAGAAGTTATACATCAAAATAGTACAGCTCTCTTCAGAACCATCACATTGGAAGGTAGACTCATCAGGGGTCAGATTTGGTTGCAAACAACAGAATCCACCTCTGACTGGACAGATAGGACTGGGGCATGGGCAGGGTCAGGGGAGTCTGGGCAGCTGGAATCACAGTCAAAAGTTCAAAATCACATCACAAGAAGAGTAGGTCAGGATACTGTTGCTCGTCTGGCCACTGCTGCCACCCGGGAATGAGTCTTCAGCTCTTGCCTGTTTCTTTGTGCCACTCATTTCAGATTCAGAGACTGGAGGGAGTGTCGGATTGGCCCAGCCAAGGACATACGTCCAGGAATTGGCTTCCCTGGAACATCTGCTCCCTTTTCAGGTTCTGGAATGAAAGGCGGGGACAAAACTAGAAATGTGTCCCCTAAAATAGGAAGGGTAGCCAAAAATGACTAAGTATTTGCCAAAAAAGTTGAATCTGAATTTGATTATGCCTCTAGATCAAACAGGAAATACAGAAAACAGGATATGTAGGCCAGGCACAGTGGTTCATACCTGTAATCTCAGCACTTAGGGAGGCTGAGGTGGGCAGAACACTTGAGGTCAGGAGTTTGAGACCAGCCTGGTGAAACCCTGTCTCTACCAAAAAATACAAAAATTAGCCAGGTGTGGTGGCGTGTGCCTGTAATCCCAGCTACTCCGGAGGCAGGAGAATTGCTTGAACCTGGGAGGCAGAGATTGCAATGAGCTGAGATCACACTACTGCACTCCAGCCTGGGCAACAGAGTGAGACCCTGTCTCAAAAACAAAAACAAACAAACAAAAAAACAAACAAACAAAAAAACAGGATATGTCAACATCACCATGGGGATGCAATCTTCTACAAAATCCAGACTGGGAGAGCTACAAAAAAAAAAGTCTTCAACAAGCAAATTGCAAAAAGGAAAAATTAGATAGAAGGGTAATGTATAGATTAAAGCAGTCTTAAAAATATGTAAATTAAATATAATGTAGGGGTCTTATTTGAATCGTGACTCACAAACTTTTCCTAAAAATCACAAGTTAGAGAAATCTGACTGGAGAATGCTGACTGGATATCTGATAATATTAAGAAATTATTAAGTTTTTAGGTGCAATAATGGTATTGTGCTTAAGCTTCAAAATAAAGGCCTTCAAAATTAATGTGTGTATTTGAGGGTCCCCTAAGACACCCTCGGAGTCAAAGTTTCACTAGAAGGACTCACAACTCAGGAAAGCTGTTTACTCAGAGTTACAGTTTATTGCACTGAAAATATATAGATTAAAATCAGGAGCGGGGCATGGGGGCTCACACCTGTAATCCTAGCACTTTAGAGGCTTAGGCAGGAGGATCACTTAAACCCAGGAGTTTGAGACCAGCCTGAGCAACATGGCAAGACCCTGTCTCTACTAAAATAATAATAATAATCAAATCAGCAAAGGAAAAAGGTGCATGGGGAGGAGTCCAGGAGAGACCAGGCACAAGCTTCCATTGTCTTTATCAGTGCGGTAGCAGAGAGAGTGCTTACTCCTCCTAGCAGGGATGCGTGATGACTCACACAGAGTACTGTCATCCAGGGAAACTCATCCAAGCCTTGGTATTGAAGACTTTTATTGGAAGTTGATCACATAGGTATGGCTGAATTCTCCACTTGGCCGGTCTTCAGTTTCTAGCCCTTCCAGAGGTCAAGTTGATACCCTGTGGCCCAAGGCCCCACTACAAATCACATTGTTAGCATAAATATCTAGTGTGGCCCAAAGCCTCTGATATAAAAAGACACTCTTATCAGGCCCAATATTCCAAAGGTTTACAGGTTATCTCCTAGGAAATGGGCAAGAGACAAACTTTTCCTTGGAATGTGCAGGGTTTAGACCACACAGACCTGCTGAGTGAATCCTTTACTGGGCAATATGCTATTGGAAATCAAAATAACAGCCACCCTCGGGGCAGGCAGTGACGGGAACGAGACATCAGTGTGGCTTCTGGAATGCTGACCGTGTTCTGTATCTTGATCTGGATGTGTGCAGTTCATGGACATGAATTGAGCTGCTCACTTCTGATCTGCGAATTTTCTGTATCCATATAATACTAAAAGTTTTTAAACAGAACCCTTTTAGAGTGGTTATTTCTCAACCCTGGCACTTATGACATTTTGGGCTAGATAGTTCCTTGTTGTGGAGCTGTCCTGTGCACCATTGGTCCCTAACCTTTTTGGCACCAGGGACAGGTTTCATGGAAGACAATTTTTCTACAGACCAGGAGGGGAATGGTTTGGGGATGACTCAAGAACATTACATTTATTATGTACTTTATTATCATTACATTGTAATATATAATGAAATAATTATACAACTCACCATAATGTAGAATCATTGGGAGCCCTGAGCTTGTTTTCCTACAACTAGATGGTCCCATCTGGAAGTGATGGGAGACAGTGACAGATCATCAGGCATTAGATTCTCATAAGGAGCATGCAACCTAGATCCCTCACATGTGCAGTTTAACAGGGTTTGCATAATAGGGTTCACATTCCTGTGAGAATCTAATGCCACCACTGCTGATCTGACAGGAAGTGGAGCTCAGGCAGCAATGCCAGCAGTCGGGAGGGGATGTAAATACAGATGAAGCTTCAATTGCTGACCACCGTTCACCTCCTGCTGTGCAGCCTAGTTCCTAAGAGGCCATGGACAGGTTGGGGATCCCTGCTGTGCATTATAGAATGTTTAGCAGCATACCTGGCCTCTGCCCACTAGATGCCAGGAGCAACCCCCAC
This sequence comes from Homo sapiens, assembly GCF_000001405.40. Classification (NCBI taxonomy): domain Eukaryota; kingdom Metazoa; phylum Chordata; class Mammalia; order Primates; family Hominidae; genus Homo; species Homo sapiens. The sequence goes on along the minus strand of NC_000018.10, from coordinate 50,431,882 downwards.
TTCATTCCCAGTTGTAAAAACCAAAAATGTCTCTATCTATTGCCATATATCCCCTGGGTGGCAAATCACCATTAGTTCAGAGCCATTGTTTTAAACATATATATTGAAAAGTTTACAATTGAAATGACATATCAGAAATTTGCTTCAAAATAATCCCAAGGGAAGAAGTAGCTGGGGGTATAAAGAAAACAAGGTTGGCCATGAGTTGTTAGTTGTTGAAACTTAGTGATGGGTACATGAGGATTCACTACACTACTCTCTATACTTTTTATGTCTTTGAAATTTTCCACAATAAAAGGTTTTCAATAGCAGGAAAATGTTTATGGCATAAGGTTAAATGGAGAAAAAATAATCAGAATAACTTATATAATATACACATAGTAAAAAAGAAGACAACAGGGCAATATGTGATTGCCTCTGGATGGCCATGCTGTGAGACAATTATGGGCATTTTGTTTTATTTTTTTCATAATTGATGCATTTCTCAATTTTTAGTATTATGAACTTTTTTATAATTGGAGAAAAAAGCAAGTATTTCAATTTTAGCATGATAGTTATTGCATAGAAGCTCAGAGGAAGGAATTTACTAACCCTGGCCAGGAAACTTTAAGCTAAAATTGACCTCTGGCATCTAGGTTGAGCTTAGAAGGATACATAAATAGTTCTATAGGTTAACTAATGAGGTCTGGTTGGGATACCTGGGTATAGGAGCCACATACATACCCGAAGCAGAGGGACAAGAGAAGATGTCACTTTTAACAAAACACAAGGTGTTTATCACAGCGGAAAGAGGGGCTATGCCTGGGAGCATGCACTTGCAGAGAACATGTAAGGTAAGGCCATAAGGAGAGTGTCACATTGGGGAGGATATTTTATTCTTGGCTCCTTTTTATTATGTCAACTTCCTTGCCAAAAACTCTCAAAGGCTTTCCATCATACTCAGAAGGAAATTCATCCTCCATGCCATGGCCTGCCTGCACCCTCTGGCCCTGCCTGCACCCTCTGGCCCTGCCTGCCTCCCCCATCACTCATATGTTCACTCCAGCCACACTGACCTCTCAGCTGCTGCTGGAACCCACCAAGCACACATCCCCCGGAGACCTGGGCAGCCGCTGTTCCCTTTGGTCTCTATGCCACCCCCACCCACCACATGCCATCCAAGGATCAATGACTTTGCTCCTCGCTTCACTCTGGTCCAGTGACACCTCACCAAGGAGGTCTTACCTGACCACCCTGTCACCACAAGCCACCATCATTCTGCATCTTCTCACAGCACTTGATGTTTCCACGGCAGTTTCCACTATCCAGCATCGGCATGTATTTATTTATCATCTCTTACTCCCCTGTATCACAACTGGCCCTCTCCCCCAACTTCACACACAAAAACCACACTAGAACGAGGGCAGTCGCTGCATTCTTCACTGCTGTATCTTTGTCACCTAGAATAGTCTCTGGCATATGTTAAGAACTCCATATATATTTCTTAACTGAATAGACCGTATACATCACATGGTGGGCAATAAGTGCGGGGCTTAAAATCGTGGGTTTTGGAGTTAGGAAGAGCTGTGTTCAAATTCCACCTCTGATTTTCACAGACCACATGACCTTAGGCAATTCAGGTAACTTCTCTCAGCCTCATCTATGAAAGGGGGCTAAACTGTAACAGGGTTGTTTTGCAGGCTAAAGGGGATACTGTACGTAAATCCCTGAGCACAGTGCCCATTAGACAGTAAGTAGCAATTAACCAAAGGTCAGAAGTGTCAAAAAACAAAATTACCACAAATTTTTAAATATTTTAATTGGCTTTATTTGCAATTTTAGAATCAGGCAACACTTCATTCCATAAAATAGAATAATTGTTCTGCTGAGCTGAGCAGAGGAGATTGGTTTATAGACAAAGAAAGGCTGAGGAAAGCAGAAACAAAACAAAAAGCAAATTGGTCATTTCAAAGCGACTTTCCTTGTAAAAAAAAAATGTTAAAGCAGAGGGGACTTCCTTATGCTGGCTGGGACTGGTCTGTTTGGGGATTTGGCCATTCTCTCTCTCTCTCCTGATTTCTCAGAAGGTCAGATAAACAACTTATTTTCAGCTTGGTGATATGTAACCTTAGCATGAGTGACTCCATTTTGGTTTGGTCTGCTGGGGCCTAATCCAAAACAAAGGCCTCCTGTAAGTTTTGTCCAGCACATATGAGCAAGTGGCTAGACTTGCAGCCTAAATCTAACCCACAGAAATGTGAATGACACACCCAGAGACTGGGAATTAAAAATTAGTTGATTTCCTACACTGAAACATTGGGCACTCTTACATAAATACCTGGTTCTGGAGCTTCTCTTTAGCAACTGGCCCGTCTTCTTCAGGGCAGCCATAAGCTGGAACTCAGTAGAGGTTCCCCCTTTGGAGAGGGAAGTGTTGGACCATTTCCATGTTGTCCCAGCCCACTTCCCTGTGACATCACCTACCTGGTCGCTGTGAGCATGCCTGTTTGCACCCCAGCAATATATGGAGGTAGTAGGGTTGATGTTTTTATGGTTGGCACTTGAACAGCTGCTATTCTCTTTTAGGGTTACCCACCGTTTAAATTTTCATGGCCACTAGAGGGCAATACAGATCTATTTTTTTAAAATACAGCAAAGGTTTTTGTTTTTTTTTTTAAATGTTACACGTTCTTAAATATGTGAGTAATTTATATAAATATATATTATATATTTTTATGTGCACATATATACAGGGAAGACTTTTTCTTTTTGATGATGATGAGGAGAACAATGCTATGTGCCAGGCCATGCTGATTGTTAACATTGTTAGATGTAAACAGGAGACACCATCAGTCCTCAGCAGAGACCTAAGACCTGAGTAACTTAGACTCCACCTAGGTAGTTACACATGGAGGAGAAGCACAAACAGATGGTTTTCTTCCCTTTGCTTCCAGCCTCCTAGAGCTATGAATTCTAGCATTCACTTACGTAGCACAGGAGGAGTGAGCTAGCAGAAAGTTTAAGAGCAGAGACCATAGGGGTGTACTACTACCCAAGTTCAAATCCTGGCTATGCCACTTAGAAGACATGGGATTGTAAAAGAAAATAAAACCTCAGGATCCCTAAACTTGTTATGCCCAAGGGACAATTAAGCCTGGGAACTGAGTCATACAACACAGCCATTCGTTTTCCCCCCGAACAGATAGCTGTAATTTCACAGCCCTGTGTTGTGAAATAAGCCAGGTTCTCACAATGACAAAAGGCCATATAACTCTCTGGATGGCCTCCCTCACAAATTACAAGGAAATTCCTTGCTAGCCCCTAAATATTTCAGATGACATATCCCCCCTATAAAACAAGCACATGCCCATGGTAACCTTGGGTCTGCAATCTAAGTTTAACTCCTACAACCAAGTTCTGTTAAATCTCACACTGACAATGTCGATTACAAACTTATCTTCCCAGGTGTAGAACAAGGACAAGCTGAGATCAATCACTCCTCTGCCTCCCCTGAGATGTGTGTGTAATTGACTCTTGCCTCTACTCCCTCTTTTCAGATATTCACCTTATCTTACATAAAACGTAGACTTACTGAGCATGAAGGAGAGCCTTACCAGAATATAATCATTTGCCTCACTGCCTACCCTCCCTCCCTTTGCTTGCTCTGTCCCCTTAAATACTGAGTTCCCGAAACCCTCTTTGGAAACAGCACAGGTCACAGATGTTTCTGTGGCTTGTGTTTTTCCTGGGCATGTCCTCAAACTTTGGCTCAATAAACCTCTACTGATTGAGACATTTGCCTCAGTCACTCATTTATTGGTTAACAGGATGTTTGGTTGGTTACTTTCAGTGTAACATTTTCCACATCTGTACAAGTGGGTTGTTGGGAGGATGAAATGAATTAATATGTGTGGGGCCAGCTTCCTCAGAGAGTGGCCAATGCAGTCTCAGCCCCTGGCTCCTCCTCAGAGGGCCTCTTTTTTGGAGTAATGCTCTCTGGTTGCTGTCTTAAAATTTTTCCTAATTTTCTCTTGGAATCTGTGTTTTATAAGTGAGGTCTGATGAGCCAATGAGGCACATGCCAGGGACTTGGAGCCTCAACTCAGACGTGGTCCTGCCTCCCACTATGTCCCCAGGATGAATACTCTGCCACCTCCTCCCTGGCCCCCTGGGGCAATAGCCACAGGGAGCTAAGCACCAGGAAAGTGTCCTTTGGGAACATAGGTCACTGACAATTGGCCCAGCTTTCAGGGAATTGGGGGCAGCCTTCAAGCTGAATTCTGAGACTCAGCCTTACTGCAGGTGGAGAGAGTAAGGAGTCCTGGGAAGTGAGGCCCAGAGAGGTAAGCAGAAGAATGACAAGAACCAATTTGCTCTAAGCCAACAATAACTGCCCAAACAGTACAATTAACTACAGCAAGAATGGACCCAGATGGAATGAAGAAAAGTTTAGCACATCCCTCAAGATTAAGTATGTTTCTAAAACATCCTTCTTAAAGGATGCTTCTAGATGATCAAGAATCTCTAGTACAAGAAATCATCTTTGAGCTAACTACTAATGATCCCAAAGTAGCATAAACATTAGTTCTTAAAGCACTAGAGATTAAGAAATTCTAAATCAGATGGACATCAACAAGACAACAATATTTTGGGATTTTTCACTAAAATTTTAAAGGAGTCATAAACTTTTATGAAATCAACTGAGAATTCCACAACACCCATAAATTCATCTTATCAGTGATAATATTATAATAAGGACAGCAGTAATAAGTTTATTACTGAATAAGGTAAGGGAAGCAGAAACACTAAGGAGAAAAATTAAATGATGGTTGACTTCAATTAGGAAGACAATAGAAAAAGATTTAAATACTTTTCAACAGTAAATAGAAGACTGACAAGTTATTTCAATTTTAAAATATGCATCAAAAATATTGAAATTCCTGAGGGCAATATATTATGTTTTTAAGCAGTTTACACATTCTAATCCAACAAGTCAAGTCTACTTGGACACAGTAAATTTAGACTGATGGTTTATGACGCTCCAAACTAAAATCGGTATCATAAGACCATAAACAATCCCATTTATGTTTATTTTAATTATGATTAATGGTTTGCCATTTGTGTAGTTTTAAATGCTTTAAATAACCTGAACTTGGAATGAATCAACCTCCCCCTGAATTTACATGAAGTATTAGTTTTTTACCAAATTTGATTACAAATTATGAAAGCAAGTTTTAAAATTACCCTCCTTTGTTTTGTAATGGTAAACATCTTTTTTCAGACCTAAAATCATTCCATTCTGATATAATGGTAAACATTATTTTAAAATATTATTATTTTTGTTGTATGGTTAAATCCCATGGCTTTTCATATTTTGAAGAGTTCTGTAGCACTTTGGTAAATAAATATCAACAAATGATAAAGTTATCATGGAAATATAAATTGAAAGCCTTATTTATAAAAATGAAGTCATAATGCTTTTTCTACTCTTGCTGCTTTCACAACCAAATTTTTCTTTGTTGTATCACCTAATCAAAGTATGATGAGTGGGTCTCAGATTCAGCCTAAGAAAAGGAAGAAATGCTTATAGAAGTTCTAAAGCTAGAAAGATTTATCTACACAACTTACAGACTTTTTTGAGATATAATGTTTATAAAAATTTGGAAGAACCCAAAATGCCTAACAATACAGAACTAATTAAATATATCACATGAGAAAGTATGTATTTATTTTTTTATTTTATTTATTTATTTATTTTTTTTGAGACAGAGTCTCACTTTACTGCCCAGGCTTTGATCCCTGGGATCAAACCAGGAGGTTGGAGTGCAGTGGCATGATCTTGGCTCATTGCAAACTCTGCCTCCTGCATTCAAGCAATTCTCCTGCCTCAGCCTCCAGAGTAGCTGGGACTACAGGAGTGTGCTACCACGCCTGGCTAATTTTGTGTTTTGTAGAGATGGGGTTTCACCAAGTTGGCCAGGCTGGTCTCAAATGCCTGATTCGGGTGATCTGCCTGCCTTGGCCTCCCAAAGTGCTGGAATTACAGGTGTGAGCAACTGCACCCAGCCTGTAGGTATTTAAACTATATTATAAAACAGTATTTATTAACATGAAAATGTTTATAATCTATCACATGTTAAAAGCCAGTCATACATGTATTACATAAGGCTCTTTTTGTAAATTTGATAATGTGTATCTTTTTGGAAAGGAAAAACACTAGAAGAATTTGTTTTCACTCTTAATGGTGATTACCTTTGGGGAGATGGTGCTGTTGCGGGAATCAGGAGACTGGAGAGACCTCTGGGTGGAACAGGAAGATTTTATTGAATGCACTTAGGCCCCGTGGATTAACATCCAAAGGCTGGGCTCTGAACAAAGACAGGGCTTGACTTTTATACACACTTCTGAAAGGTGGTTGGCTAGTTTGAAACAAGTTTACAGTGGCGTGGAGTGCAGTGGCATGAAAGCAAGTGTACGGAAGCAGAACAAAGGCAGTTAATCAAACTGTGACAGGTTCATAACTCAGGCTTTCATGTGACTCTTGCTATGCGGCCCAGATGGCTGTTATCTCAGCTTGCTCAAGAGCCTTGCACAAGCTTATCTCATATCCTTCACTATGGTGCCTAGATGGCTGCAGTCCAGTCCTGCTCAGGCATGTCTCATGACCTTCACTGTGCTACTCAGATGAAAAACAGAAATTTACAGTCACTAGTTACAGAAAATAGGAATCCATAAACTCATAAAACTTGCAGAGCAGAGTACAACCACATGGAGTGGGGAGGAATTTTGTGGGGGACGTTTACTCATACCAAAGGAGAGAGGAAAATTTGTTTTTCTTTTTCACATTTCCTGCTTCAGTGCATTCTCTAATGACTTTTTCTCTTTCTTTCTTTCTTTCTTTCTTTTTTTTTTTTTTTTTTGAGATGAAATCTCACTGTGTCACCCAGGCTGGAGTGCAGTGGCGTGATCTCAGCTCACTGCAAGCTCCTCCTCCTGGGTTCACACCATTCTCCTGCCTCAGCCTCCCAAGTAGCTGGGACTACAGGTGCCTGCCACCACGCTTGGCTAATTTTTTGTATTTTTTAGTAGAGGCAGAGTTTCACCATATTAGCCAGGATGGTTTCGATCTCCTGACCTCGTGATCCACCCGCCTCAGCCTCCCAAAGTGCTAGTATTACAGGCGTGAGCCACCGCACCTGGCCTTTTTTTTTTTTTTTTTTTTTTTTTTTTGAGAAGGTATCTTGCTCTGCCACCCAAGCTGGAGTGCAGTGGTGTGATCTCAGCTCACTGCAACCTCTGCATCCCGGGTTCAAGTGATTCTCTTGCCTCAGCCTCCCCAGTAGCTGGGATTACAGGCACCCACCACCATGCCTGGCTAATTGTTTGTATTTTTAGTAAAGACAGGGTTTCACCATGTTAGCCAGGCTGGTCTCGAACTCCTGACCTCAGGTGATCTGCCTGCCTCGGCCTCCCAAAGTGCTGGCATTGCAGGCATGAGCCACCACACCTGGCCCCTTATGACTTTTTTGTTTCCTTATGAATGTCTATGCATAAGACACTGTCTGGAACATTAAATCATCTTGAAAGTGCATGTCTGTGGGATCATATCTGGACTCTCAGTTAACAGAAAACTTGTAAATAATTTACGATTTATCTTTTTAAAAAGTTAGAGCAGATTCATATTTATCCCTACAATGACTTATTGCTCACTTTATATTCTTCTACATGCTCTCTTAAGCAGGGAAGAAAAGGGTAAGTATAAGATACACTTGAAGGTTGGGCATACTCCTGGATTCTCACCTGTATATGTGTCATTTATGGCTATGTTAGATGCTGTTCCTTCTACTTGGAACCCATCTCTTCCTAATCACTCTCAGGTCTAAGCATAAGTGCAACTTCCCCCGGAAATTTTCCTTGATCCCTTGTGTTAGGCTATTCTTGCATTGCTATAAAGAAACACCTGAGGCTGGGTAATGTATAAAGAAAAGAGATTTAATTGGCTCATGGTTCTGCAGGCTGTATCAGCATGGCTCCAGCATCTGCTTCTGGTGAGGGTCTCAGGAATCTTCCAATCATGGCAGAAGGTAAAGAGGGACTGGGGGAGCAGGTGTGTCACATGGGGATAGCCAGAGCAAGAGAGACAGGCAGAGGTGCCACACACTTTCAAACAACCAGATCTCATGAGAACTCACTATCAGGGGGACAGCATCAAGCCATGAGGGATCCACCCCAATGACCCAAATACCTCCCCTCAGGCCCCACCTCCAACATTAGGGATTGCAATTTCAGCATGAAATTTGGCGAGTACAAATATTCAAACCATATCATCCCTATACATTTATATTAGGTGCTTTCACATGTCCCTGTAATATCCTCTATGCCCATATCAAAGCATTTATCACACTACTATTTTTCATTTACTTAGCTGTAATCCTTCCTAGAATGTGAGCTTCGTGGAAGAAAAAACTTATATCTTTCTTGAGATCACTGATCCTCAGTCCCTAAGACCATGCCTGAATCCAAGTAGATGCTCAATAGATATTTGTCAAGTGGACAAACAGATCTATCTTGTCTATTAGAGTAGGGGAAAAAAGATGAAAAGCCACTATGGGAAAGTTTCTCTCAAGATCTTCCCCAGAAGCCACTGACTAAAAAGGGCATGAAAGAGTATATTTCAGGGGACCAAATGTTCAGACCACATGCAGCCAGGAGAGGCTGAGGATAGGGCTGGGTTTACGAATAGATACAGGATGAACCAAAGAGTAGATGGAAAAGATTATTGAGAAATGGCCAACATAGGAGGTCGAATCAGATAAGGAAGATAAATTAAAGGCTAAGGAGACTGGGATAGTTGCTTTTCATCCTTATAAGTAATCCATGTGATCTTTTACGGCAGGGAACAGACTCTCGCTATTTGAGATTATAGCCATCCAGAGGAGGACTGTCAACATCACATGAGATTTAACCCCTTATAAAATTAGCCATTAGACTCTTGGGGCCCAATCTCTTAATGTTGCAAATGACTATTATAAAAACATGATTTTTAAAAATCATTCTGTCTCTGCCCTTATGGCATACACAAGCAGCAAATCACATCTGCCACATGAACTCCTAGGCTACAGGGTTAGAACACTGCTGCTTTCTAATCTTAAAAGGACAAACTGGGCTCCAGAACTGGGAATCTGGCAGTTTACATGACAGGGCTGCTGCAAATCCAGGAGTCTCGTCTCAGAGCAAGTTAGGAAAGCAGCAAGAGCTGTTCTCTCTAAGGTAGAAGCCAGCTTATGCTCATAATGGCATTGGTGTTTGTGAATATACATCTCTGAATCCAATCCCACCTCCAAGGAAATCCTCAGAATAGAAGAGAACACCTACCTCCATGCCCTGCATATGGAACAGCAGAGGTTTGGGTGTTCAATTCAGGGAAACAAATTATTGGTATGATTTATCATGCTCTCTAACTTGGAAATGCTTACCAGAAGTGAGTCATTTATTTCTAGATTACGAATACTAAAAGCTGCTTCTGATAAAATGAAGGACATGAAAAAAGACAGCTGGCAGAAGTATTTACCTTAATTATTATCTTTGATAATAAAAATATAAATAGAGACACAATTCTCTCAACATTCATCCAAGCTGTGGAAACAGGCCAGAATTAAGTGTAGCTATACAGTTGTCCCTCAATATCTGCGGGAGATTGGTTCCAGGACCCTCTGAAGATACCCAAAATCCAAGGATGCCCAAGTTTCTTTTACAAAATGGCAAAGTATTTACATATAACCTACGCACCCTATGCACATCCTCCTGTATACTTTAAATCATCTCTAGATTACCTATAAGACCTAATACAATGTAAATGCTATGTAAATAGTTATGTTGTATTTTTAACTTTTAAATTTGTTGTGTTGTTATTTTTTATCATTTTTAAAAAATATTTTCCATCCATGGTTGGTTGAATCCCCTCCTGGATGTAGAACCTACAGATATGGAGGGCCCACTATACATGTGTCTTTCCTGAAGAAAATCTTAAATCCAAAATACAAATGTTCAAAACAGAAAAATGTGGCTCTCCTTACCCTCTACTCTCAGTAGAAAAATATTAATGGACCCTGCAGAAAATACAGCAGGCACATAACCTTTTGGATTACCAGTAACCAAGGGAGATGAGGGGTAATATCTACAGTCTAAAAGAATACTTTGCTGCTCTGGTCAAAAAGGTAAAGAGACAGCTTCCTAGGTTCTGGTTCCAGTAACGGAGTAGCTTAAAATGTACTAATTCTCCCATAGATAACAATTGTAAATTCTGTTCAAAATGTTTAAAAAACCAACTATTTGAAGGCTTTTGAAAATGACCAAAGCAGGCAGAACTGGAAATGAGAGTATGTCTCTGAGGGAGGTGGCCAAGATGGCTGACAAGAAGCAGCTACTGTGCGTGGCTCTCATGGAGAGGAATAAAAGGAGCGAGTAAATACAGAACCTTCAACGGAAACATCCAGGTACTTAGATTGGAACCAATCAAGGAAACAACTCGACCCATGGAGAATGGAGAAAAGCAAGGCAGGATGACAGCCCACCCAGGAGCAACATGGAGCCGGGGGAACCTCCCCTGCTCAGGGAAGCCGTGAGTGAATGTGTGACCCCAGGAACCCATGCTTCTCCCACGGATCTTGGGTCAGGAGATCCCCTTGTGAACCCCCCCCACCAGGGCCTTCATTCTGATGCACAGAGCTACGTGGGGTCTTGGCAGAGCAGCCACTCAGACACCTGTGGAAATCTGGGAGCCATCAATACCCAGGCTTTCTGGGCTTCCTGGCAAAAGTAGCTGCAACTCTGACAAAGCAGGAGGTTAGACCCTCCTATATACCCCTAGGAATGAGGCTGAATCCAGGAGGCTGAGAAGTGAAAGTCTGCAGGCCCCACTTCCACAGCATCTAACAGGATAAGACCCACTGGCTTAGAATTCCAGCCAGTCCCTGGCAGCAGCATTGCACCTCCCTGAGAGGAAGCTCCCAGGGTGAAAGGCAGGCTGCCATCTTGGCTGTTTGGGCAACTTAGCCATTTCAGCCTTGGGGCTTTGGAGAATCCAAGGCGACCAGCGGTGGAAGGGATACCCCAGCACAGCATAGCTGGTCTACAAAAACGTGGCCAGACTGCTTTTTAAAGTGGGTCCCCGACTCCATTCCTCCTCACCGTCAGGACCTCCCAACCGGGGTCTCCACCCACCCCTGCCGGTGTTTTCTGGCCAACAGAGATTTGAAAGCTCCCTGGGACAGAGCTCCCAGAGGAAGGGATGCGTTGCCATCTTTGCTGTTTGGATGACTTAGCCATTCCAAGCCCAGTGGTGGTAGAAGTGGTTCCCCAGCACAGCAAAGCTGCTCTATGAAAATATGGCCAAACTGTTTTTTTTTTGAGATGGAGTCTCGCTCTGTCACCCAGGCTGGAGTGCAGTGGCGCGATCTCGGCTCACTGCAAGCTCCGCCTCCCGGGTTCACGCCATTCTCCTGCCTCAGCTTCCCCAGCAGCTGGGACTACAGGTTCCCGCCACCAAGCCCGGCTAATTTTTTGTATTTTTGGTAGAGACGGGGTTTCACCATGTTAGCCAGGATGGTCTCGATCTCCTGACCTTGTGATCTGCCCGCCTCGGCCTCCCAAAGTGCTGGGATTACAGGCGTGAGCCACCTCGCCCGGCCCAAACTGCTTTTCTTAAAGCAGGTGCACGATCCCATTCCTCCTCACTGGGTGGGACCTCCCAACCCGGGTCTCCACTCACCTTTGCTGGTATTCTCCAGCAAACAGATTTGAAACCTTCCTGTGTGGGAGCTCCCAGAGGGAGGGGCAGTCTTCTATCTTTGCTGTTTGGGTGAGTGTAAATTAGTTTGAATAATTTTGGAAAGCAGTATGGCAATTCCTCAAAGAGCTAAATGCAGAACTACCATTTGACCCAGCAATCCCATTACTGGGCATATACCCAGAGTAATATAGATTATTCTACCATTAAAGACACATGCACACGAATGTTTGTTGCAGCACTATTCACAGTAGCAGAGATATGGAATCAACCTAAATGCGTATCAATGACAGATTAGGTAAAGAAAATGTGGTACATATACATCATGGAATACTCTACAGCCATAAAGTAGAACGAGATCATGTCTTTTCTGGGAACGTGGTTGGAGCTAGAGGCTATTGTCCTTAGCAAACCAATGCAGAAACAGAAAACCAAATACCGCATGTTCTCACTTATAAGTGGGAGCTAAATGATGGGAACTCATGAACACAAAGAAGCAAACAACAGACACTGGCGTCTACTTGAGTAGGGAGGGTGGGAAGAGGGAGAGAAGCAGAAAAGATAGCTATTGGATACTGGGCTTAATACCTGGGTGATGAAATAATCTGTAGAACAAACCGCCATGACACGAGTTTACCTATGTTACAAACCTTCATGTGTACCCCAAACATAAAAAGTAAAAAAATAAAAAGAATATGTCTCCAGAAAGAAAGGAATTAAACTGGGTAAGATCTACATGTAGACAGGTATTTTTCCCTGAGGGTATTTCTCAGTCGCTAGCCCTACAACTAAAAATAGAAAGCAGTCTTACTGGCTTGAGGTGTCAATGGGAGGACTGGGAAGTTCCAGAATGGCTGATAATGGAGGGCAAAATTCTAGAGAAGAAGGAGCCACAGAGGGAGAAGCCCCCAAATCTACTTACACATTCCATCCAGAAGAGGGGCCTCCAAGGAGTACATTGGAAAGCAACAGCTGGAAGGCAAAAAAGTTGAGTAATGATATCAGCTGCTACCTACAAAAAGGGAGACAAAGTTTGGATACTGAATCCTGCTAAGTTAGAGGGGCTTTTTAAACAGCTTTGGCTTTCTATGGAAACAACAGAAGGGCCTTAGGAGTAAATAACCTGTGACCCAGGACTAATGAGTGAACAGCTGGGAAACATACATGTAATAGAAATACAAGGAGTGGAAAGAGAGGATGGAGAGAAAGAAATATTTGAAGCAATAGTGCCGGAGAATTTCCCAAAATTAATGACAGATACGAACCACAGATCTAAGAATCTTAGAAAACACCAAAGATAAATACCAAAAAACCTATACCAGAGCATATTGTATTAAAACTACAGAAAGCCAAAGAAAAAGAGAAAATCTTGGAAGAAGTCAGGGCAAAAAAGAAAGAACCCCACTTCACCTATAACAGCAACAAGAATAAGAATCACATCAGACTTCTCATCAATAACTATGCAAACAAGAAGACAATAAAGTGATAGATTTAAGATGTTGAAAGGAAAAAAAACAGAAAAGTATCCTTCAAGAGTGAAAGAAAAATGAAGACTTTTCAGACAAATAAATCTGAGGGAGTTTGTTGTCAGTTGACCTGCTTTGCAAGAAATGTTAAAAGAATTTCTCCTTCCTTCCTTCCTTCCTTCCTTCCTTCCTCTCTCTCTCTCTCTCTCTTTCTTTCTTTCTACAGTCTCCCTCTGTTGCTGAGGCTGGACTGTACTGTCGTGATCTCGGCTCGCTGCAACCTCCCTGCCTCGGGCTCCCCTGATTCTCCTGCCTCGGCCTGCCGAGTACCTGGGATTGCAGGCACGTGCCGCCATGCCTGACTGGTTTTTGTATTTTTGGTGGAGACGGGGTTTCGCCATGTTGGCCGTGCTGGTCTCCAGCTCCTGACCTCAAGTGATCTGCCCGCCTTGGCCCCCCAAGGTGCTGGGATTGCAGACGGAGTCTCGCTCACTCAGTGCTCAATGTTGCCCAGGCTGGAGTGCAGTGGCGTGATCTCAGCTCGCTACAACCTCCACCTCCCAGCCGCCTGCCTTGGCCTCCCAAAGTGCTAAGATTACAGCCTCTGCCCAGCCGCCACCCCGTCTGGGAGGTGAGGAGTGCCTCTGCCCGGCCGCCACCCTGTCTGGGAGGTGAGGAGCGTCTCTGCCCAGCCGCCACCCCGTCTAGGAAGTGAGGAGCCTCTCTGCCTGGCCGCCACCCCATCTAGGAAGTGAGGAGCATCACTGCCCAGCCACCCATCATCTGGGAAGTGAGGAGCGCCTCTGCCCGGCCGCCCATTGTCTGGGATGTGAGGAGCACCTCTGCCCGGCCGCCACCCCGTCTGGGAGTTGAGGAGCTCCTCTGCCCGGCCGCCCCGTCTGGGAAGTGAGGAGCGCCTCTGCCCGGCCGCCCCATCTGGGAAGTGAGGAGCGCCTCTGCCCGGCCGCCCCGTCTGGGATGTGAGGAGCGCCTCTGCCCGGCCGCCCCGTCTGGGAAGTGAGGAGCGCCTCTGCCCGGCCGCCCCGTCTGGGAGGTGAGGAGCTCCTCTGCCCGGCCGCCCCGTCTGGGAGGTGAGGAGCACCTCTGCCTGGCCGCCCCGTCTGGGAGGTGAGGAGCGTCTCTACCCGGCCACCCCATCTGGGAAGTGAGGAGCGCCTCTGCATGGCTGCTGTGCAATCTTCCAAGTGTGAAGTGACAGCCTTTCTGCAGGTGTACCCAACAGCTCCGAAGAGACAGCGACCATTGAGAATGGGCCATGATGACGATGGCGGTTTTGTCGAAAAGAAAATGGGGAAATGTGGGGAAAAGAAAGAGAGATCAGATTGTTACTGTGTCTGTGTAGAAAGAAGTAGACATAGGAGACTCCATTTTGTTCTGTACTAAGAAAAATTCTTCTGCCTTGGGATGTTGTTAATCTATAACCTTACCCCCAACCCCGTGCTCTCTGAAACATGTGCTGTGTCAACTCAGGGTTAAATGGATTAAGGGCGGTGCAAGATGTGCTTTGTTAAACAGATGCTTGAAGGCATCAAGCTTGTTAAGAGTCATCACCACTCCCTAATCTCAAGTACCCAGAGAAACAAACACTGCGGAAGGCCACAGGGACCTCTGCCTAGGAAAACCAGAGACCTTTGTTCACATGTTTATCTGCTGACCTTCTCTCCACTATTATCCTATGACCCTGCCACATCCCCCTCTCTGAGAAACACCCAAGAATAATCAATAAATACTAAAAAAAAAAAAAAAAAAAAAAAGAATTTCTTCAGGCAGAAGGAAAATGATATATGTCAGAAACTTGATCTGACATATATTTTCAGAAAGGAAGGGCATTTGGAGAAGGAATAAATGAAGATAAAATAAAATCTTTTATTTTTTATGTTCATAATTGTTCTAATAGATTATTGTTGGTTTAAAATAATAATAGCAACAATGTTTTAGGTGATTATAATTTGTGGGTAAGTGAAATGATTGATCTTACAAGGCACAGTAAGAAGAAACGACATATTCTTGTACAAGGTACATATACTACCCATGAACTGGTATACTGTTATTTGAAATTGGACTTATATTAATTGTAAATATATATTGCAAACTCTAGGACAAACAATAGGAAAATGTTTTAAAAGAAGATAATATATATTGCTAAGAGAGGAGAGAAAATGGAATGATATAAAATCCTTAAAACAGAGAAGTCAGAAAAAGAAGGGAATGTTTTCTGAAAACAAAAACAAAAACAAAAACAAGTGCCACAAATAGAAAACAGTAGCAAATATGGTGGATATTAACCTAAATATATCAATAATCACTTTAGAGGTGAATTTTCTAAATATATCAATTAAAGGACAAACACTGTCAGAGTAGATTAAAAAAACCAAGACCCAAGTAGAGGCTGTCTAAAAGAAAACCATTATAAATATAAATATGCAAATAGATTAAAAATAAAAGAATGGAAAAAGATATATACACCTTGCTAACACTAATTGAAAGAAAGCTGGTGTACCTATATATAAGTTTTAGACAAAGCCAACTTTAGAACAAAGAAAATGACCAGGAAAAGAGAGACATTAATGATAAAGGGGTAAATTCTCCAAAAAGACATAATAATCCTTAGTGTGTGTACACCTAACAACAGAGCATCAAAATATATAAGGCAAAAACTGATGGAACTGCAAGAGAAATAGACAAAGTCACTATTATAGTTGGAGACTTCAATACCCCTCTATCAGTAATTGATAGACGCAGCAGGCAGAAAATCAGTATAGATGTGGTTGAGCTGAACAATAAACCATCAGTCAACTGAATTTAATTGACATTTATAGAATACTTCATCCAACAACAGTGGAATACACATTCTTCTCAAGCTCACATGGAATATTCACTAGGATAAACCACATCCCAGTCCAGAAATCACAACTTAATCATACAATAGAAATCATACGAAGTATGTTCTCAGAACAACATGGAATTAAACAAAAAAATCAATAACACAAAGATATATAGAAAAATCTGAAAATATTTGGAAATAAAACCACACACTTGTAAATACACATGGGTTAAAAAAAGGAGTTTTGAGAAATTTTAGAATATTTTGAAAGAAGGTAAATGAAGATACAACTTATCAAAATTTGTGGGGTACAGAAAAAGCAGCGCTTAGTGGGAAATTTAAAATAGTACAGCCACTCTGGGGAACAATTTGACAATTAAAAAAAGAAAACTAAATAAACAACTACCATAGGATCCAGCAAGAACACTCTGGGGAACTGCACTCCCAGAGAAGTGAAGACATGTTCACACAAAAAGGATCCTTGTGGTGATGGAAATGTTCTGTATCTTCACTGTATCAATGTCAATATCCTGGTTGTGATACTGTACTACACAGATTTGCAAGATGTTACCATTGTGATAAAGGGTACAGGGGATCTCTCTGTTATTTCTTACCACTGCATGTGAATCTATAATTATTTCAAAATAAAAAGAATTTTATTAAATGACTAAAAAAAGGATAGAGGTGTGGGTTACATGGCTATATGGACTGGTCAACACTCACTGAGCCATATCCTTAAGATCTGTACATTTCACTGTATGTAAATTTTATCTTAGTTTTTTAAACAAGATTTTGTTTCTAAGTTGCCTAACTTAACTGCTTTTCAATATACCAGGGCAAAAGAGTACTCATAATAAAGAATTTGAGGCACAGTCTGCTAGTCACATTATAATTTCTCATAAATACTTTTGTGTGTTCCTTAGAGACTTGAGTCAACCTAATTTTAACAGAGCTAAATTGATATTATATTAAATTATATTCAACTCTCTAATCATATATAGTCTTAGCTCCAGTTTGAGTCACATTCTTTGCAATGTATCAGGAAGATCCCTCAATATCTTGAGTAATTCTTCCCTTTTGCCACTTATATTAGTAAGTATATTTGTGGAACAATGGCAATGGTTTATTAGGAGATGGGATATTTCATAAAAGCAATCATTTAATATTATGAAACAAAACTGCATACTATCAAATATAATGCTACTCAAAGCACTACACTCATTTCATTTATGATTAGGTATAATTTACTTATAAATTATAAAATATTAAAGCCATACTTAATAAGCAAAATAAATTAGAAAACTAAAAATATTGACTGAAAAAAAGGCCACGTTTTTATCAAGGTCCTTAGTCAATGAAAGCTTCTTAGTTTTTATTACGTAATTAGTAACAGAATTTCAGTATTTCTTGAAGCCTAATTTAGAGACTCTTTTCTTAAAAGATGAGACTTGCGTGTAATTATCAGAATGTTTTTTACATATTTTATGACCCATCCAGACGGAATATCCTTTTTTTTCTCTTTCCACCTTTTATTTCAGATTTGGGGGTGCATGTGCAGGTTTGTTACATGGGTAAATTTCATATTGCAGGGTTTGATGTACAGATTATTTTGTCACTCAGGTAATAAGCATAGTACCTGATAAGTAGTTTTTTGATCCTCACCCTCCTCCCAACCTCCACCCTCAAGTAGGCCCTGGTGTCTGCTGTTCCTTTCTTTGTGCCCATGTGTACTCAATGTTTAGCTCCCACTTATAAGTGAGAACATTTACTATTTGGTTTTCTGTCCCTGTGTTAATTTGCTTAGGATAATGGCCTCCAGCTCCATCCATGTTGCTGCAAAGGACATGATCTTGTTCTTTTTAATGGCTGCATAGTGTTCTATTGTGTATATGTACATTTTATTTATCCAGACTACCATTGATGGGCACTATGAACATACATGTACATGTGTCTTTATGGTAGAACAATTTATCATCTTTTGAGTATGCCCAGTAATGGGATTGCTGGGTTGAATGCTAATTCTAAGTCCCTTGAGAAATGTTCAAACTGTCTTCCATAGTGGCTAAACTAATTTATGATCTTACCAGCAGTGTATAAGTGTTCCCTTTTCTTCATAACCTTGCCACCATCTGCTGTTTTTTGACTTTTTAATAATAGCCATTCTGACAAGTGTGAAATGGTAGCTCATTGTGGTTTTGACTTGCATTTCTCTAATGATTAGTGATGTTGATCATTTTTCCATATGATTGTTGGGTGCCTGTATGTCTTCCTTTGAGAAGTCAGAGAGAATATCCTTTAATTTCATCATAAATGTATTGCCCAGAAGTAACTAGAAATATTAGAATCATAGAATATTAAAACTAGAAGGTCCTTAGAGAGATGTTTATGCAACCATCTTGATACATACAGGAGGAAGCTGAAGCATGGAAAGAAGTCATTTGCCCAAGGCCACCAACTTTCAGTTAATATGCATTCAACAAATGTTGACTTAGTGCCCTCTATTGTAGAGCCCTATTGGAACAGCTTTCAGACACAGCAGTGAACAGAAGGGACAAAAACTCCTGCTTTCATTTATTAGAATTCTAGTGGGGAGAGAAAGACAAATAAAATATATAAACCATCAGATGGACGTAAGTGTGGAGAAACTGTTGCAGAATGGAGCTGTAATTTTTAACATAGGGTGATCCAAAAAGGTCTAAAGCAGGGGTCCCCAACCTCTGGGCCATGGACTGGTACTGGTCCATGACCTGCTAGGAACTGGGCCACACAGCAGGAGGTGAGTGGTGGGCAAGTGAGCAAAGCTTCACCTGTATTTACAGCTGCTCCCCATTGCTCGCATAACCGCTTGAGCTTCACCTCCTGTCAGATCAGCAGTGGCATTAAATTCTCATAGGAGCACGAACCCTACTGTGAACTCTACATGCAAGGAATCTAGGTTGCACACTCCTTATGAGAATCTAATGCCTGATGATCTTATGATCTGTCACTGTCTCCCAGAGGGGACCGTCTAGCTGCAGGAAAACAAGCTCAGGGCTCCCACTGAGTCTACATTATGGTGAGTTGTAGAATTATTTCATTATATATTACAATACAATAATAATAGAAATTAAGTACACCATAAATGTAATGTGCTTGAATCATCACCAAAGCATCCCCCAACCCCGGTCCATGGAAAAATTGTCTTCCATGAAACTGGTCCCTGGTGCCAAAAAGGTTGGGGACCATTGGCCTAAAGGATCAAATGACATTGAACAGAGATGTAAGGGAGGTAAGGAGGAGGTCACTGGCAGGGGCGGAGAGCTTCCTGGGCCAAGGCAACAGCCAGCACAATGGTGTGAGGTAGACTCATATTTAGCCTGTTCCAGAAACAGAATGGAGGCCAAAAGGTTTTGGAGCAGTCAGCATAGGGAGGCTTAGAAGATGATGCCCCTGCGTTGAGGTGTGACCCGTGAAGGGCCTTATAGGCCTTGGTAAGAACTAGGCTTCTACTCTGAGAGAAAAAGGAAGCTACCAGAGGTTCCCCAGTAGTGGAGTGACCTAATCCAACTCTGGTGCATGTGGAGACTCCACAGTAGGGGCAAGAACAAAATCAGCAGGACCGGTTTTTTAATAATCCAGTGGAGAGATGATATTGTTTGGGACCAGTGTGGTAGACACCAAGTTTGTGAGAAGGAGCCAAATTTGGATTATATTTTGAAGGTAGAACCAAAAGTGAGTAAACGGCAGAGCTAGGCCTAGACCCAGGTTTTCTGATGCTCACAGGTTTTTTCATGTGTTCTCTTTGGTACAACATGTTGTTGGATAATTTTTAAAGTTAAAGAGTATTCCTGAAAATTTAATTTGAGTCACAATTAAGGATCAGAGTTGCAATTTTTTTGTATGAAAATGAGGCACAGCTCACAATCACTATACCAAGAAAATATCTGTAATTGGAACAGCCCACATTTATCAGGTTGAACTATCTGAAGAAATAAAATTGTAATTACCTGAGCTTTTTGAGTTGCCTCACTGATCCTAGATTTAAAATATTAGTCTGAAATTGCATTACAGTTGTTACAAAGAATAATAGTCTCATGATAATAAAGATAAACCTGCATTGGTAATGAAAATCTGTCCATGTTAATCACCTGCAGTCCTAAGCTTATTTGAAAATGTAGTACTTTAGCTGGGCACGGTGGCTCACGCCTGTAATCCCAACACTTTGGGAGGCTGAGGCAGGCAGATCCCCTGAGGTCAGGAGTTTGAGATCAGCCTGGCCAACATGGCAAAACCCTGTCTCTACTAAAAATACAAAAACTAGCTTGGCGTGGTGGTGTGTGCATGTAATCCCAACTGCTCAGGAAGCTGAGGCAGGAGAATCACTTGAACCCAGGAGGCGGAGGCTGCAGTGAGCTGAGATCGCACCACTGCACTCCAGCCTGGGCAAGAGTGAGACTCCATCTCAAAAAAAAAAAAAAAGGAAGAAAATGTAGTACTTTAAAAATGACAGAGTTTTCAGATATCAAGCTTTATACACTGCATATCATTTCTCCATGGATAAGTCAGAAGCCAAATACATTGCTTTGTGTATAGACATAATATTTATATACAGTATAACTCAAGAAATTCATATCTTCACCCCCTTAATCTAATACAAAAGTTCAAACATTCAGCCTAGGCTCAGTGAGTAGTGTCGGGAAGAATGCATGCAGATGGGAAGCACTGGACAGTGAATTTCACCAGAGTACTGGAAATAGCATATGAGCTCATAATTGATTACTAACACTTCTCCCTTCTTTCCCAACTTCACCAGCCCACAAGTTCTTATCAATGAACATTTCATAAAATGTAAATATCCAATCAGTACATTTGTTTCACACAGGCATTAATTGTATTAGGAAATATTTTTTAAAACATTCAGAAAGTTAGAAAGAATAATACAATGAACACTAAGATGCCCTTCAGCTAGGTTGAACAATTAACACGTTGCCTTATATGTTCTATATATGTATGTAACTTTCCAATTATATTGCTGGACCCATTTTAAAGCATATTATTTACATCATATATTATTTTACCACTAAATATCTCAGCATGCAGCTGCAGAAAATAAGGATATTCTCCTGCATAACCACAATGCCATTATCATAACAAAACAATTCCCCTTTGACACCTAATATACAATCCTTCTTAAAATTTCAACAGTTGTCCCTATATCTTTTTTTTCCCCCTCAAAACTGAATCCAGTCAAGGTTCATGGTTTATATTTGGTTATGCTCTTAAATCTTTTAATCTGAAAGAGGATCTGTTTTTTCAATGACATTGACTTGCATTTAAGAGACCAGGTTATTTATGTTATACACAGATTTGCCTGATCATTTCTTCATGGTGATATTTAGCTTGTTTCTCTTTCCCCTATGTTTCCTATCAACTAGATGATAGAGCTAAAGCCTTAATTAGATTCAGGTTTAATGTTTTTGGCAGTAACACAGAGACAGCCAAATGCCTAGGCAGATAAAAAGGGGTCCCTGGAGAATCTCCGACATGCCCCATAAGTGTTTACATCGGATGCTTTTGTGCAGATGAGGGAACCTGCTCAGGGCCTTTTCTGCACATGCCCACATGTGCACTGGGGAAACGGGGTGGAGCCATGGGCAGGTGGGAGGAGCCTGGCCTCTTCAGATCCTGTGTGGTGGCCTGGGATTCAATCTGTGAGGTGGGGAGCTTGTTAGCAGGACTCCATCTCACTTTGCTGATATTTTTTTTTCCCTTTTCACCCAATAAAATCCTGCCCTACTCACCCTTCAATGTATTCGTGTGCCTAAATTTTCCTGGTCATGTGACAAGAACTAAGGAACAAAATTCTGCAACAATACTTCATAGGTAGTACACAGAGGAATGTCTACTTCATATTGTATCACATTTAGGAGGTGCATAATGTCCGAATGTTCCACTACTGGTGATGCAAAGTTGAGTAGTGTATTCATTATCTCTTATATAACAAATTATGCAAAAACATGTCTTTAAACCACCATAATTATTTAGTATTTTTCATGATTTCTGCAAGTTCTGAATTCGGACAAAGCATAGCTGGAACAGCTTGTCTTTGCTTCTTGATGTCTGGAATCTCAGCAAAATAACTTAAATGAAGGTTGGCAGCTAAAATCATCCGAAGGTTCATTTGCTCACATGACTGGCAGATAGTAATAGCAGTTATGTGAACTCTCCATTTGGCCTTGGCTTTCTCACAACGTGGTGGCAGGGTTCTAAGGGCAAGCGTCCCAAGAGAGAAAGTGAACCAGATGAAAGCCGTATTGTAAGAGCTAGCCTTAGAAATCATGCAGTGTCGCTTCTCCACTCTGTAGGTTGAAGCAGTTAAAGATAGCCCAGATTCAGACAGAGGGAAAAAAGAACCTGCCTCTTGATGGAGGAGTGTTGACATCACACTGAAAGAGCATATGGGAATGGGATATAGAATTCTCCCATCCATCTTTGGAATATGCAATCTGCCCCAAGTAGTGAAAGCCAAATCTCTCCATTTAAAGTTACCGCTCCCCTCTTCTGACTACCAAGTAAAGGCATGGTTTCCTACCAGTGTTTTACCTTATGATTTTAGCGTGCATTGATGACCCTTATGTAAATCAATTATTAGGAGTTACAAAAAAGTAATTTTCTAGTTTTACCATTCATTTGACATATATAGCTGGCCTCCTTCTGTAAAGAACAGTTTCCCTTATCCACTTGGGCTATTTGGTTATCCTGAAATATGATTCTAAAAGCAGGATAACTTTTACTTTAATTACCAATGTTCAGAGAAAGAAGTTGGTGTAGAAGAGTCCACCAATACTAGGAATTTGGGCTTTCTCTTTTTGGGGGGAATCATAAGGAATGCAAATATTTTTATATGTGTTTGAGTCAATTGGTATTATTTTATGTTTAAGTTTAAATTGCTCCTAATTTGGCTAGTGGGAATCAGGTTCTAGTCAGGAAAACAGAAACCACTCTAGGTATTTCAATGGCGGGGAGGGGTGTTGGAATTTAAAACTGTAAATTAGATACACAGGTGATGGAAGAGCAAAGAAGCCAAAGGATAGTTGTTGTAACCAAGCGAGTTATAGAGAAACGCTACACTTTGAGATTAATTTAGGAGTCTTTTATTAGCTGGCGACTGAGAGACGGCCAGCCCTCAAAATTCTCTCAGCCCCGAAGAAGGGGCTAGATTTTCTTTTATACTTTGGTTTAGAGGGGGGAGGGGAAGCCTAGCTGTAGCAATCTTACAGAAGTAAAACAGGCAAAAAAAGTTGAAAAGACAAATGGTTACAGGAAAACAAACAGTTCCAGGTGCAGGGGCTTTAAATCCATCACAAGGTAATAGGTGCGAGGGCTTTGGGTGCTATCTACCAGACACAAACGCGGGGGCTTAGGGTACTATCACCTGGGTGAATTTCTGGGAACTGTGGACATAACTTGCCACAGTACCTTATTGGTTAATTGCACTCTTTGATGTGCTGGGAGTCAGCTTGTACAAGTTAAGTCCTTGAGGAAGGGGGTGGGTAAGGAGCCCTTGATGTCTTGCAAATGAAGGAGCCAAATGGAGTCCGTCCAGCTTTCTCAGCTAAGGGAGGGTCTATTCATATTAAAACAAGGTAAGGTAATACATTCCCCACTTGTGTTTTTGGGGAATCAAATCATTGATTCCTCAGTTATAACAAGGGTGTTATATTGGGTTTTAAGATATATAAGCTTGACAGAAGCTATGCGTTGCTTTATAAAGTTAAGAAACCAATTTAATATACACAGCCTGAAGACTAAGCCTAACAGTAGGAGGAGAAGGGGGCTAGCTAGCCTAGTGATTAAAGTAGTCAGCCATGGATTCTAGTTAAACATACTTTGGTACCAAGGGGTGCTATTTTCCTATTTTTGCTGGCGTTTATCTAGATTTTTTGGATGGTGAACATAGTTTTAACATTAAATCTCGAGATATAAAGCCTTAATCTCTATGACAGGTCACAATACCATTGAGCTGAACCAGGGTTACAGACAGTTATAGTAAGAGGGTTACAATTTTTCATAGTACACAGTCTAGGATGGGAAGTGTGAGTTATGGAGAGGGTTGAGGACCAGGTGATCCTCTAGGGTAAGTGGCTAGGGTCACACAAAACCAGTGAGGGCAGAAAAATTGGTAAGAATCGTGACAACTAGAGTCAGGGTGATTTTTAGGACAGAGGTAAAAGTCAATGCTCTGGAGTCCTTTTTTTTTCACTTTTAGAGTTTTTACATCCAGTCCGGCTTCCTGTGTGTCCGAACCCTGTAGCAAGGTTGATGTTCCCCGCTTCTATGCGGCAGGTTGCATTGTTCTTCAAGGTTATGGGCAGGCTCTGGGAACAAAGCACATAAATCGACTGCAAAAGAGACTTTCTTGGAGGTTCTTGCCTTCCAAGTAGTGTTTGCAAATACACGTCCTGTCGTGAAAGAAGTGAGAAGAATAGGAAGGCACGGAGGGCATAACAGGTGGAAATAAACAAGAGAGATAAATAAAAAGAATTAATCTAAAGGCTTCACTCGACTTAGGCACAGTTTTAAGGGGCCTGGCCTATGCTTGGGGACCTATGTTTCTTGTTGGGCTCTGTTGGCCTTTTTGATGTGAGTGATGAATCTAAGCAGGAATGCTGGCCACTTCCAGAGCTGTCGGCATGGTGAGGATGACAGTATGAGGTCCTTTCTAAGCAGGAGTGAGTCCTTCTTTCTGGAACTTTTTTTTTTTTTTTAAACTTTAACCTGGAACTTTTTAACACCAGGTCACCCGGTGGGAACGAGTGGCAGGGCCCCGTCTGGTCAGGAACTGGACTGGGATGAGCTCCCCAGACAAGTGGCGGATGATATCTCGTACCTGTTGGAGAGACTGTAGGTACTGTAATAAATTAGCTTGTGAGATTTCTGCTAAACGGGTATCCTTTAGCTTAGGCAAGATAGGCGGAGCCCTCCTATATGTGATTTCAAAAGGTGAAAACCCAGCCCGGTAAGGAATGCATCTTACTTTAAGAAGGGTTAAAGGAAGGAGTCTTACCTAATTTTTACCGGTCTCTAAGATCAATTTTGTAAGAGTATTTTTTAGGGTGTGATTCATGTGTTCTACCCATCCAGAGCTCTGGGGTCGATAGGCACAACTGAGCTTCCATTGAATGTTTAATGCCTTACTGACTGACTGAGCTATGGACGAGGTGAAGGCCGATCTATTATCAGACCCCATGGCAGCAGGCAGCCCATGTTGAGGGATGATTTCATTGAGTGAAAACTTAACTACCGTGGTGGCAGTCTCGTTTTTGGTGGCAAATGCCTCAGTCTATCCAGAAAAGGTGTCTACTAGTACCTGAAGGTATTTGTACCCTGCCCAGTGTGGTTTTATTTCTGTAATTTCCCACCTTTCTCCTGGTGAGTCTCCCTGGAGGCGGTCGCCTGAGCTGGGTTTAGGACCTTGCTTAGTGTTTACCTGGGCACAAGCCGTACACCAGAGAGCTGCTTGGTTAACTAAGTCCTGAAGGTTGGGGATCTTGAAACGGCTCCTTAGAAGCTGGGCCAGTTTTACTCCTCCTTCCTGATTTTTACTGGCCTGAAGATCCGAAGCCTGTTTTTCCTCCTCTGGGGAATATTCTGGGTGATCTGACAAGTCAGGTTGCGGAAAGGACACTGCAGGCAGCAGGGTCGGAGGCGCGACTGGCAGTTGAGCTGGCCCCCAGGCTGCAGAGTCTGCTCTTTGGTTACCATGGGCAACGGCCGTGTCTTCTTTTTGATGTCCTTTGCAGTGAATTACAGCCACCTGTTGAGGTAGGCAAACAGCTTCAAGCAGGGCCAAAATTTCTTCTTAGTTTTTGATAGCCTTTCCTGCTGAGGTGAGTAGCCCACGCACTTGGTAGATGGCTCCATGTACACGCACAGTAGCAAAAAGCATACCTGCTGTCAGTGTAAATGTTAATACATTTGTCCTTACCCGTCGGAGGGCCTGAATGAGAGCAACCAATTCAGCTTTTTGTGCTGAGGTACCTGCTGGCAATGCCTGAGTCTGCAGTTTATCCGTCTCCATAGTAACAGCCGCACCAGCCTTTCGTACTCCTTGTTTAAGGAGGCTGCTACTGTCTGTAAACACGGTAGCATCCACCTCCTTTAAAGGCACATCTTGGAGATCAGGTCGGACAGTTTCTGTAGTCTCTCACAGTTCCTGGCAGTCATGGACAGGTGTGGTGAAGTCTGGATCAGGGAGCAAAGTAGCTGGATTTAAACACCTTGTGGGAGAGAAAGTTAAACGAGGCCAATCTAACAGTAAAACTCTGATACTGCAGGATGCGAGCATTTGACATCCATTTGCCAGAAGCACTTTGCAGCAAAGTCTCTATGGCACGAGGAGCCGTAAGAGTTAAATTTTGACTTAGAGTCAGTTTATCAGTCTCCTGAATCAGGCTTGCTGTGGCTGCTATGGCCCACAGACAACTTGTCCACCTGGAGGCCACTGGGTCCAGTCTTTTAGACAAATAGATGCCTGGGCATCACCATGGCCCTCCGCTGTGACGGTCTCCATGGGCTTCCGGGGGCCAAGAGAGAGGGAGCCCCGGCCCTTTTAATCATCAGATTCCTCTGCTGCGGGGAGATTGAGGACCTTTGTGGGGAAAATAGAGAGAGATCAGACTGTTACTCTATGTAGAAAGAAGTAGACATAAGAAACTCCATTTTGTTCTGTACTAAGAGAAATTCTTCTGCCTTGAGATGCTGTTAATCTGTAACCCTAGCCCCAACCCTGTGCTTGCAGAGACATGTGCTATGTTGACTCAAGGTTTAATGGATTTAGGGCTGTGCAGGATGTGCTTTGTTGAAAATGTGTTTGAAGGCAGTATGCTTGGTAAGTCATTGCCATTCTCTAATCTCGAGTACCCAGGGACACAATGCATTGCAGAAGGCCACAGGGACCTCTGCCCAGGAAAGCCATGTATTGTCCAAGCTTTCTCCCCATGTGACAGCCTGAGATATGGCCTCGTGGGAAGGGAAAGACCTGACCGTCCCCCAGCACAACACCCGTAAAGGGTCTGTGCTGAGGAGGATTAGTGAAAGAGGAAGAAGCCCTCTTTGCAATTAAGAGGAAGGCATCCGTCTCCTGCTCGTCCCTGGGAATGGAATGTCTCAGTGTAAAACAAAATCATACGTTCTATTTACTGAGATAGGAAAAAACTGTCTTATGGCTGGAGGTGAAACATGCTGGCGGCAATACTGCTCTTTAATGCACCGAGATGTTTGTGTAAAGTCAAACATAAATCTGGCCTACGTCCTCATCAAGGCACAGCACCTTTCCTCAAACTTATTTATGACACAGAGATCTTTGCTCACATGTTTTCCTGCTGACCCTCTCCCCACCATTACCCTATAGTCCTGCCACATCCCCCTCTCCGAGATGGTAGAGATAGTGATCAATAAATACTGATGGAACTCAGAGACCAGGGCCGGCGCAGGTCCTCTGTATGCTAAGCGCTGGTCCCCTGGGCCCACAGTTCTTTCTCTATACTTTGTCTCTGTGTCTTCTTTTCTCACTCTTTTGACCCACCTGATGAGAAACACCCACAGGTGTGGAGGGGCTGGCCCCCTTCAGACCTTTTTCTTTTCTGGTTTCTCCTCTGGCTTTAATGGGCATTATTTTTCCCTCTGGTTTAAATGGGCATTCTTTTTTCCAGTGTCCTATCTGCTTGCAATAAGTGCATTGGTTTTTCTGTAGGGAAGCCTACTCACTTTTCTGGCCTTTCTGTTGTGGAACCGGGGTCCCCTGGCTAGTGTTCTGTGATGGGGGCCCCTCCTTTCTGGCTTCCCGGATGGCGACCACTAAGATTTTCGGTTGTCTTTTGGATGTTTCATCAGCAGCCTTTTCAGCTGCCTGTTTTTGTTTCTCGAACTCTTGACTGTCAAAAATTCTCTGGGCTACTTCTAAAAGCTGGCTAATGTTCATTCCAGCAAATCCTTCCAGTTTTTGTAATTTTTTTCTAATATCAGAGGCGCCTGAGCCACAAATGCCAAATTAATAACACGGCTCTTCTCGGGAGCCGCTGGGTCAAAAGGGGTGTAAGTCCGATAGGCCTCCTGGAGGCATTCTAAAAATGCTCCAGGTTACTCACCAGGCCCCTGGACAACTTCAGTTGTCCTAGACAGATTCATGGTTTTCGAGCGGCTCCCTTGATACCCGCAAGGAGATAACGGTGAAAATTATCCAAAGCTCTCTTCCCACCTGAGGAGTTCAGATCTCAATCAGGCCGGGTAGAGGGAAAAACCTCCTCAAGGAGGTTTTGGGCTTCCCCCTCCGGTCTACCGGCTAATGTAAGGAAATACTTTCTGGCTTCTCTTCGGATACGATCCCTCTCTTCAGAGGTGAAGAGGGTTAAAAGGAGTTGTTGACAGTCATCCCAGGTGGGCTGATGGGTCCAGAGCACCGACTCCATCAGTGAGGTCAAGACCTGGGGCTTTTCAGAAAAGGAGGGATTATGAGCCTTCCGTTGCACAGGTCAGAAGTAGAAAAGGGGACATAAACCAAGAATGGAGCTGAGCACTCATCACCCGCAGGGACTTGTGCCTCTCTCAGCAGGAGGAGGGGGGCTACCTCCTCCTGCTGTGGCCTCAATCAGGAGGCAATAGGCAGAGAGCCCACAGGGGATGTAGTCGAGGAGACAAGGGAAGATTCTAAGGGAGCAGGAGGGTTATAAGGCGGCAGAACTGGGTGAGGGAGACTTTCCTCTTCTTCAGAAGGAGGCAATACAGGAGGAGCCGAGCCGGCTGAGGGTCGAGGCGAAAGTGAGGTCTGGCTCAAAATGACCTTGGAGGTAGGATTAGGAATGGCGCATGAGTGGAGCCATGGATGAGAGCTCCGGACCAAACTCAGCCATTGATCAATGTAGGGAAACTGATCAGGGTGACCAGGAGTTCCAGCAACAACCCGCCACACAGCCTGAACAATTGCGAGGTTCAGTGACCCGGCTCCAAACTTTGGCCATTCTACTCCACAGAGTGTCCAGAGTTTGCCTTTTTTAAGGCGGACCCCATAATCCTCGGAGAAGCCTAGAGAGAAATTTTGTAACATACATTGGAGAGGGCTCCAATCTTTATGAGACTGGGAAGAAGAGTTTCCCATTCTGGAGGCAGTTTAACAAAGTTTGAGCAGAGATATTAAACCCAGCATGGACAGAGAAATTCATGACCTGGAGGGGCTGGAGTATCGGAAGAATAGAAGCATCATAACCAAAAGAAGTAGGAAAACAGCTATAGCCAGCGCTTCTTGCCACATAAGGTCTGTTTCCTTAAGCTCCAAGATTTAGGGAGAGGACAAGAGATGGGTGCGAGGCTAGTGGGACCTACGTGATCCCCCTCTCCTCTCTGACTTATAGTCTAAATATTTTTGGCGTCTCCACGACTTGAAGGCAAAAAGTTCAAACTTTGCCCTTTCTTTTAAGGATTTTAGGAGGGAGAGCGGAGCCAAGTCTTGGAGGCGCTGGACTTGCTGTGGCACAGGAAAACGGGATGTGCGGGGTAAGGGATGGGGATGAGGAGGAAAGGGGCCACTCAGATCTTTTCAGGCTGGGAGGAGCCCTGCTGAGCAGCACGGGGTTGCCAGGATGACTCCGCGGTACCCCGCCCCGCCTCCAGGCCCTGTCAGGCACTGCAAGCCCAGCTCAGAAGTCTGGCCCGGGGCCAAGGTCACCACAGCAGGCCGGGCCTCTGCGTTCTAAGCCAGGTGCAGATACGCTGGTGCTCGGGGAAGTCGGGGGCTTTGACGCCTGAAGGCGCAGGAGCCGGGAGCCTGCAGGGGTCTCTGGGGAAGGGGGTCCCCTCCCACTCCTCGCCTTCGGGTCTGGGAGCCCCTGCCAAGGAGGAGCGCCTGGCTCCTGGGCCCGGCAACCCGAAGAGACACACCTGAGACCTCCTGTGTTAGAAATCTGCACTCAGGACTTTGAAGTCCTTGCCCAGTTGTCTTGGGCAATATCGACGACCTGACATACGAAAGTTAGACACAAGACAGGACCGTAGACACTAAACAGGACAATAGACACTGGGGTATATAAACAATTATGACAATTTTTATAGACAGACAAGGGGAGGGGGTCCCATGATGGAATCAGTCAGATGCCCGCCTGGCTGTTCCCGAGGGGACTTAGGCTCCTCTTAGCATTGGCAGGCGGTATAAACCCCCGGCTCGGATCGAGCTATGCCCGATGCTGCCTTAAGCCTTATGAGGTCACCACGGAACTGCAGGTGAGGGCCCACTCGAACTCCGTAGCTTTCGCCCTGGAGGTACAAACTGGAAATTCAAGCGCAAGCCCTTGAACTCCACATTCACGCACTCATTCACACAGTTTACAACAGTTTTCTTATTCCCGTTCTATAACAGAGGTCTCCGGGAGACCTGAACGAGAGAAGCAGAAGAGATAAAGAAAGAGGGAGGGAGAGAGAGACTAATCTTAACAGAGAGGCCGGGCTGCCAGAAACCGGGACTCTGTCCTTCAGCATCCTGCAACGCAGGCAGAGTCAAGGGAGGGCCCTTGTCAGGGCCGCTTCCCTCCCAGAGAAACAGAGTCAGATCTGACTTACCTTCCCGGGACCAGAAACTGAGGATCAGGAGTTGAATTTTTGTGGGCACACACTGGTGGTCGATCCATTCCCCTCCGGAAGACGGGGTCTTATGGGGCCCTGGAATGTCTTCAGGTGGCACCTCCCCTATAAGTCCGCCGTCTGTCCGGGGGAGCCTGGAATGAGTCCAGCTCTCACCCAGAGGTGAATATCTCGTTGGGGCCTCCAAATGTTGTAACCAAGCGAGTTATGGAGAAACGCTACACTTTGAGATTAATTCAGGAGTCCTTTATTAGCTGGCGACCGAGAGATGGCTAGCCCTCAAAATTCTCTCGGCCCCGAAGGGGCTAGATTTTCTTTTATACTTTGGTTTAGAGAGGGGAGGGGAAGCCTAGCTGTAGCAATCTTACAGAAGTAAAACAGGCAAAAAAAGTTAAAAAGACAAATGGTTACAGGAAAACAAACAGTTCCAGGTGCAGGGGCTTTAAATCCATCACAAGGTGATAGGTGCGAGGGCTTTGGCTGCTATCTACCAGACACAAACGCGGGGGCTTAGGGTACTATCACTTGGGCGAATTTCTGGGAACTGTGGACATAGCTTGCCACAGTACCTTATTGGCTAATTGCACTCTTTGATGTGCTGGGAGTCAGCTTGCACGAGTCCTTGAGGAAGGGGGTGGGTAAGGAGCCCTTGATGTCTTGCAAATGAAGGAGCCAAATGGAGTCTGTCTGGCTTTCTCAGCTAAGGGAGAGTCTGTTCATATTAAAACAAGGTAAGGTATCACATAGTGAAGTGACTAAGAGGGTACAGCAAGACACTACTACTATACTAATGTGGCAGGCCGGGTCTCACTAACGCAGGCCTCCATAACAACTATTTCAGCACTGACTGAGTGGCTACATTAAATATTAAAAGCTGAAAGAGCCGGTACCCCAAAACAAGGCTAGAATGTAACAAAAGCCCACCAAGAGTTTTGCCCAGGCTTTTCCTGTACCTTAAAGCATGATTAAACAGGTTTTATTGTGAGTCTAAAGAAACTCCCCAGGCCTCCACAAACGAGTTTATTGGGGGTCTGAAGAAACTCCCCAAACCGCCAAGATTTAGCAGGAGACAAGATAAGGGTAATTACCCCAGCACCTGGACCCATTTAGATTAAGCAAATTTACTGAGGCTCCAGAGGAAGGTCTTCAAGACTCAGACCTTAGGTATAGATTAAAAGAAGTTAATCACTTAGGTCTTTAGATGAATGCACACTTACATATAGACATATAGCTTAGAAGGTATATAAGCTCTGGAAAACTTCGTAATTTTGAGTTTGTCTGGTGATAATTTCTAGGCCTTCTCCCTGTAAGTGGTTGCAGAAATAAAAACTCCCTTCCTCCCCAGTCCATCTGCATCTCGTTATTGGGCCACGAGAAATAGGAGCCCGGCCCTCAGTGTGGTCTGGGAACACTAAGACAGAAGGGATTATGGGAGAAAGTGGTATCACTAGAGGCTATTTGCCAGGCCATCCAGATAAAGCTACTATAGTTTCAACCTACAGAGTGGAGAATTACACTGCATGGTTTCCCATTGCCCAGTGGGAAATGGAACCACAAAAAGAGGGCTGGTTGGAGTAGTCAGTGCCACACAGGAGACACAGCCTGCCAAGGATACCAACCCAAAGCAAAGCGAGACAGGATGAAATTTCTGGCTTCTCCCCCTCTCCAACATGCCAATCTTCCACTAGCACTTCCTATTGGCTAAACCCAGTCAGAAGCCATTTGGTAAGGGAGACTGAAAAACTAGTTCCTTGCAAATCACAGCAGAGAAATAGGTGGCTGATGATACCAGTTCCTGATGCTACTCCCTACCCCGCATCCATGGCTCCTGCTCCATAGACAGGATCTGGATGGGGCAGCTGGTGAAAAACTGTTCCTCCTTTTCCCCCAGCTCCTACTCCATACTACAGAGGTTCAGTCCACAGGGGGTGGAAGCAAGTCTCAAAGACTAGCAATACCCTGCCCCTGCGAAGGGGCTTGACTGCAACTGAATCAGACTGTAGAGCAATTTAAGCCCCAGGGCACTGTCAAGAACAACAGACCAATCACCTAGCAATTAATGGAGGCTAACAGCCATGTGAGATACCAACAGAGGCAGACCTGCTAGAAGCTCAATGGGAAGATCAGGAAAGAAGATAGTCAAATCATTGAACTAGCTCAGCCAAATCACTGCAGCTGTTATACATGTGTTCAAAGATCTAAAGGGAACCATGTTTAAAGGAAGCCTAATGACAATGTCTCATCAAATATAGAATATCAATACAAAGATAGAAATTGTAAGAAAGAACCAAATGAAAATTCTGGAATTTAAAAGCACAAAAACAGGAACCAAAGAAAGAATCGGCAAACTTGAAGATAGATCAATAGAGATCATATATTTGAAGAATACAGAGAAAGAACAGAAATAATAGGAGGGAAAATAAAGACAAATGAGCAGAGCTTCAGAGAAAAGTGGGGCACCATTAAGTGCACCAACATATTTGTAATGCAAGTACAGGAGTGGAAAGAAAGTGTAACACCAAAAGGTTCTTGCCTTAGCCACGCCAAAGAATTGGTGTGGTGGCAGCCTGCGGCAAGAGAGAGACACGGATCGGACCGAGAGAAAAAAAAAAGCTGTAGGCTTTATTGAGCAGTGACAGTATAAAGCTTCCACAGCGTGGAAGGGGTCCCAAGCGGGTAGCCAGTGTTAGATTTTTCGATCACCTTTTAAACTCTTCAGGCGGGAAATACGTGCCGCAGGAAGATGTTACCAGAGCGAGAAACAAAGACAACACGTCTCAGATCTTGAGGAAAACTGGAATTGTAACTTAAGTTTTATCTACTTTATGACCTTGCAGCGACATGGCAAAAGAGACAGGATCTCACGGGAGTTTACAAATTGTGTTTAAAAGGAATTGGAATTGGGAGCATAGATACGGTCTGCCTCTGTGGGTCACAGAAAAACAGGCTTTTAACATTCCTTTTAGTTTCAGGGGAGGGGGAAGGGAGAGAGGGAGAGAGGACACAGGGAAGCTTACATCAAAATTTTCGCTGTTTATAGCTTTCTTGGGGAAGAAAACACAGGCACAAATTCTGATATTAGGAATATTTTAAGCATATATCTTCAGTATTATTCATCCAGGACCAAAGTAAGTCCTGATGCAGGAAATGAGTGAGTTTCACAGCTTTCTGAGCCCCAAGTCGACCCAGGAAGCCCAACTGGCACCTCCTCTGAAAAGGAGCACGCGCACACACACACAAATTAAAAGAAATAGCTGAAAACTTCCAAAATTTAATTAAAAACCATAAATTCGTGTATCAAGAAGCTCAGAGAACTCCAAGTAGGACAAATACAAGACCATCAACATCCAAATACATCATAATCAAAATGTAGAAAGACAAAAAAATCTTTTCTCCCTAAGTTGTGGCAGGCCAGGTCTCACTAATGCAGGCCTCCATAATAACTGTTTCAGTACTGAGTGGTTAAGTTGAATATTAAAAGCTAGTGCTCTTATACAAAGGCTGGGATGTAACAAAAGCCCACCAAGAGTTTTGCCTTGGCCTTTCCTGGGCCTTAAAGCATGACAAAATAACGAAGCAATTCTTAATAGGACACATTTAGGATTAAATAAGTTTTACTGTGGGTCTGAAGAAACTCCCCTGGCCTCCACAAACAAGTTTATTGGGGGTGTGAAGGAACTCCCCAAACCTCTAATTTAGCAGGAGACAAGATAAGGGTAATTACCCCAGCACCTGGACCCATTTAGATTAAGTAAATTTACTGAGGCTCCAGAGGAAGGTCCTTAGGACTCAGACCTTCTGGGAACATAGTGACTATTCATGAAGTGATTGCTACCATCTTTTCTTTCAGGAAATCTCTACCTCAACAGCAGGTTTGAGCCCTCTCCTTCCCTCTAAGCAGCGGCCTCCCTTGCACAGCCCCTGAGGCAAGAAACCCCGTCTTATCCCTTCCATATCAGCTTACACCCAGGGGACCCTTGCCCAACAGGCAGTCTTCCTGGAGGAGGTTGGCAGTATGTTTAAACCAGTCCACAGGATCCATAGCAAGGCGCTTTAAGCAGAGAAGTCCATGTGCTGTTCAGACATCTGGCAGGAACTTGCCCTGCCAAAGGGATGCAGACTGTCCTTTTTTTTTTTTTTTTTTCTTTTGAGGCAGAGTTTCGTTCTTGTCTCCCAGGCTGGAGTGCAATGGTGCAATCTCTGCTCATTGCAACCTCTGCCTCCCAGGTTCAAGTGATTCTCCTGCCTCAGCCTCCCGAGTAGCTGGGATTACAGGCATGCGCCACCACGCCCGGCTAATTTTTTGTATTTTTTTTTAGTAGAGACGGGGTTTCTCCATGTTGGTCAGGCTGGTCTCGAACTCCCAACCTCAGGTGATCCGCCCACCTTGGCCTCCCAAAGTGCTGGGATTACAGGCGTGAGCCACCCCGCCCGGCCCAGACTGTCCTTGTACTAGCTCCCCTCTCTCCTCTCCTCTGTATCACACTGTAGTGTCACTGTCACTGGGCACTGTATCAAGCTTGATGGCTGAAGAGGCATCGTGTTAATGGTGGAGGGTGTCCAGGTTCTTGGCATCTTGAACAAAGAATTGGACAAAATGCACAAAGCAAGGAAGGAATAGTTTTATTGAAAATGAAAGTACACTCCACAGTGTGGGAGCAGGTCTGAGCATAGGGACTCAAAGGCCCCGTAACAGAATTCTGGGGAGTTTACATACCCTCTACTTGGGGTATGCCCTATGTAAATGAAGAGGATGAAGTGATAAAATCATTTACTTGGCCTACGCCCTATGGAGAGGATATTTCCTGTCATAGCTGAAGTGTGAATCAGCCTTATGTTCCTTGCCTCCAGACCCTATTTTCCTGCCTCAATTGGGCTGGTTTTTAGGATATCCATCTCCCTTTAATTGCACTCTCAAGTTTCACCAGTACTTCTCTCACCTCCTACCCCCAAGTGGAGTCAGCAAGGGCAACCAGGTGACTGCCGTGATTATCTTGTTACAGAAGATAAGAAGACTGTGGTTCTAAGAGATTAACTAACTGAAGCTTGTACTGCGTGTCAGTAGCATAACCAGGATTTGAACTCTGGTTAGCCTTCTCACCCCAAAGTCCATTACACTGCCTCAATAAATGTCTTTTACATACATATATTTACTAATAAGATTGTGTAATGACATTTCATTAATAAAAACGAGTGGGGTTTCAAAACAGATTGCTTTATGTCAGGTTGCTTTACGTCATAAAGCAAAACAGATTGCTTTATGTTTCCAAAACATATTTCATGGAGCATTAGTATGCCCAGAGATATGAATACGTATTCCTCAGAAATAACGAAAGAGGTAATGGAAGTAACTCTCCACAAGTAGAATGTGTGCTCCACTACACAGCCTGTCTCTGTTGGAGATTTAGAAAATAAATGGGTAAGATGAAGGACTTCAGAAGTCATGAAATAATAAAATCTGCTTATCTTTACTTAACTAAGCACATCTCACACTCTTATAACCACAGAATCCTTATTAAAACCATCTATGGGCTGGGTGCAGTGGCTCACGCCTATAATCCCGACACTTTGGGAGGCCGAGGGTGATTGCTTTAGCCCGGGAGTTCAAGACTAGCCTGGGCAACATAGCAAGACTCTGTCTCTACAAAAAATACAAAATAAAAAAAAAAGCCAGGCATGGTGGCATGCACCTGTTTGGGAGGCTGATGTGAGAGGATGGCTTCAACCTGGGAGGTGGAGGCAGTGAACCAATATCACACCACTGTACTCCAGCCTGGACATCAGAGTGAGATTCTGGCAAGAAGAAGAAGATAAAGACAAAGAAGAAGACAAAGACGAAGAAGAAGAAGGAGGAGGAGGAGGAGAAGGGGAAGAAGGAGGAAGAGGAGAGGGAGAAGGAAAAGGAAGAGAAGGAGGAGGAGAAGAAAGAGAAGGAGGAAAAGGAGGAGAAGAAGAGAAAAAGAAAAATTGTATTAGTCTGTTCTCACACTGCTAATAAAGACATACCCAAGAATAGGTAATTTATAAAGGAAAGAGGTTTAATGGACTCACAGTTCCTCATGGCTGGGGAGACCTCACAATCATGGCGGAAGGCAAATGAGGAGCCAAGTCATGTCTTACATGGCAGCAGGCAAGAGAGCTTGTGCAGGGGAAGTCCCATTTATAAAACTATCAGATCGCGTGAGACTCATTAATTACACCATGAGAACAGCATGGGGAAAACCACCCCCGTGATTCAATTATCTCCACCTGGCCCTGCCCTTGACACATAGGGATTATTACAATTCAAGGTGAGATTTGGGTAGGGGCACAGCCAAACCATATCAAAAATCAAACAATACTTAAAATAAAGAATAATGCCATTATTTTCACTTAAGTTGAGGCATGAAAAATTAAACATGCCTGTATTTAAATTAAGGAAAACAAAAGGATAACAGTAAATATGCAGCGTCTGTGTGTTCATCACAGTGATGGTGTTAACCAGGCCACAGGCTTGGTGAGACACATTTTTTCTCTGCTACAGGGACAAGCCTGCCAAGCAGATGGCACAGACATAGACAGACCAGTCTCCCCAGGTGCCTGAGAGAAACATGGCTAAGTTCTTACAATCCCATTACCCATTTTTCTTGACTATTATCAACCTACCCACACATTATTTTATCATGTTTTTCACCAACAAGGGAAAAGCCTGTTTTCTTCTATACTACATTCACATAATATTTCTGACACCAAATGTGTGGAGTTTTTTTCCCCATCCCAACCAATTTTCCAATTCTCTAGACACCAACAGAGTATCCTATATTTAATTGAATTCTGACACTAAATACCTAGAGTTGATGCAGACCCCACAGATTTAAGGGCTCAGTCCCATAAAACCATCCCCAACTTCAAACACCAGTCACAACTAGCAGGTCCCCAGGTTGCCCATACTTCTGTCCAACATGGCTACACATGGGGGTTCCCACAACCCCCTCCTCAGGTTTGATAATTTGATACGGCAATACAGAACTCAGGGAAATGCTTTACTTGTGTTTAACAGTTTATTTTAAGGCTACTACAAAGGATACAGATGAACAACAGCCACATGAAGGGGTACCTGGGGCAAGGTCCAGAAGCATCCTGAGCACAGGACTTGCTGACTTCATAAAGCTGGAGTGCGTCACCTTCCTGGCACATCAAAATGTTTGCCAACCCTGAAGCTCCCTGAACTCCATAGTTAACGGATTATGTCTTGTTGACATAGGCCTGATGGATTATTGACACAAATCTCCAGCCCCTCTCCCCTCTCTGGAGGTGGGAGACTGAAAGTTTGAAACTTCCAATCATGATGTGGTCTTTGTGAGCAGCCCCCATCCTGAGTTATCCAGGTGCCCATCAAGAGTGACCTCATTAGAACAAAAAATTCTCCTATCACTGGGAAATTTAAAGGAATTTAGGAGCTTTGTGTCAGGAACTGGGGTCAAAGACCAAATACTAGAACAAAAGATGTACTCCATCACTTTGGAAATTACAAGGGTTTTAGGAGCTCTGAACAAGGAACTAGATAGGAAGATCAAATATATATTTCTTATTATATCACATTATCACATCAACTCAATGTACATTTATTACACTTTCATTACAGGTTGAAGTTTACAGACTGGTGTACACTAAATGCATTTCAGGTAAGCTGCTCCCTAAGGACCTATACGAAAGCCCAATAATCAGATGATAAACTGTCTCCAAATCCAGCTTCCAGGAAGTTTACCTATAGACTGAAATGCCATCGATGGAATTTAGACACTAGTGATCTTTAAGTCCAAAGGGCCTGGGTATCCTAACCTCATCAGCTTGATCTTTTTCTTCCAATATCACATCTGTACCCAGTCTTTTTTTCTTTTTTTCTGAGATGGAGTCTCGCTCTGTTGCCCAGACTGGAGTGCAGTGGCACGATCTCGGCTCACTGCAACCTCCACCTCCTAGGTTCAAGCAATTCTCCTGAGTAGCTGGGACTACAGGCGCATGCCGATCTGTACCCAATCTTATTAGGGTCTGCAGCATTGTTCACTCAACACAAAAACTGGACATGAGCATTTTTTAGTTCCATTATG
This sequence comes from Homo sapiens, assembly GCF_000001405.40. Taxonomy (NCBI): domain Eukaryota; kingdom Metazoa; phylum Chordata; class Mammalia; order Primates; family Hominidae; genus Homo; species Homo sapiens. The sequence continues at coordinate 50,393,104 of NC_000018.10, read as the reverse complement.
TGCCTAGTACAGAGGCGTATTCAGCAGGTAGTTAAATATTTGGTGAGAGGAGGTGAATCTTGAAAATATATAAGTTGGCCGGGCGCGGTGGCTCACGCCTGTAATCCCAGCACTTTGGGAGGCCGAGGTGGGCGGATCATGAGGTCAGGAGATCGAGACCATCCTGGCTAACACGGTGAAACCCCATCTCTACTAAAAATACAAAAAATTAGCTGGGCGTGGTGGCAGGTGCCTGTAGTCCCAGCTACTCAGGAGGCTGAGGCAGGAGGATGGCGTGAACCTGGGAGGCAGAGTTTGCAGTGAGCCGAGATAGCGCCGCTGCAGTCCGGCCTGGGTGAAAGAGCGAGACTGTCTCAAAAAAAAAAAAAAAGAAAAAGAAAAAAACAAGAAATAAGCTTTATCCAAAAAAGTTTTATTTTTATAAGAAACAAGAATAGGTCAGGTGTGGTGGCTCAAGCCTGTAATCCCAGCACTTTGGGAGGCTGAGGAGGGTGGATTGTTTGAGCTCAGGAGCTCAAGACCAGCCTAGGCAACATGGTGAAACCCCATCTCTCCAAAAAATACAAAAATTAGCCAGGCATGGTGGCGCACGCTTGTAGTCCCAGCCATTCAGGGGGCTGAGGTGGGAGGATCACTTGAGCCTGGGAGGTTGAGGCTGCAGTGAGCCATGTTTGCGCCACTGCACTCTAGCCTGCGTGACAAAGCAAGCCCCTGGGTGACAAAGCAAGATCCTGTCTCAAAAAAAAAAAAAAGGAAACAAAAAAGATTAAAAGTTAAAAAAATTATATATAAGAAAATTATAGAAATAGCCTCTATACTCTATACCCTGTTGGTATGTTCAAAAGTTCACAAGGGACTCAGGTTATAACATAACGAGTAAGTCCTCCCCCTCGGACCTCTGATAGCCTCCGGCAGTGTCGTAAAATATTCAGTAACACGTGAAACTTCTTGTCAGCTTTCAAAGTTGTGAACTCCTTTATGTCAGCTTCCACTATAAAATAACGACCTAAAAATAAAGATATTAGTGCTAATTTTTATAAGGCCAACTTGCAAAAGAGTCTTTAATACATTAAGTTGTGAATATGAATGGTATTAGTCGTTTTTACTGTTAGTATCCAATAAAACCAAGAACTAGTATTCTTGCTAAAATAATAATTATTCTATCAACAGAAGTTGCATGCATGATATTTATTAGGTCACTAGCTATCTGTTGGTATCGCTTGAACAATTCACTTTTCAAGAGGCAATGTGACATAGTGGTTATAAGAATAAAACCCGTAACAGTGTTATCATTTAACTGGATGACCTTGGACAAGTAAGTTAAGCTCTCTTTGCCTAGTCTACAAATTGGGAGTAATAACAGTAAGTGATACGGGTGTTGTAAGGATTGAAGCTCTTGGCACACTCTCTGCCATACAGTAAGTAGCTATATCAACAGGACTAGCTATTATCATTACTATTCAATTTCCTAAAACATTGGGCATAGTTTCACAATAGACTCTAAAGCAATGTTTCTCAGGCTCAGCACTACAGACACTGTGAGCCAGAGAATTTATTTTGTGGGTGCTATCCTGTGCACTGCCGGCTGTTATAGCAGCATCCCTGGCCTCTACCTACTAGATGCCAGGAGCACCCAGCTGTAACAACCAAAAATGTCTCCAGACATGGTAAAATGTCTCCTGGTAGGATAACTGCTCCTGGTTGGGAATTAACACTCTAGATTTAGAATTTTCTAGAACTAGCTACATTTCTCGTGATTTAGTTATACTCTGAACAGTTCACATGTACACACATATATGCTGCCATTTTACCTTTGGTATCCTTCGTTTCTTCATCAATAAATCTGTGATAGAGATTTCTGGTCACAGAATTCATAGACTTTTTTGGCTGATGTAGGATTTTATATTTACTAATTACTGCCTTGTTGATTTCTTTAATAACATCATTAATTTGATTATAGGTTAAGCGGGATTTCATGTACCTGTAAAAAAGTATATGGCTAATTATTGTTTTAAAGAATCATCATACAAAATTACTTTCCTTGAAAAACATAAGTATGATGACTTTGTACAACAGTAAAACTACAGTACCCTTTATAAAAACAATCTTATATCAACTTCCAAATAAACCAGACAGCTGAATAATTAAATAGAGATGACAACATATTGGTGCTTACCTTCTCTAATTATTAACCTCTATTGTTTACCTATGGAGAACTGATATTATAATTTTAAATAAGCTCTCAAATTCTGATTCAAATGGACTGATTAACTGCAACATATCAGTTTATTTAAACAGTTTTAAATGTGAGCAAAGGAAAAACTTAAATATTAATAAATTATACAACTTATAGCACTCTAGTGCTATACAAAAACTATTACTTGTTCAGAGAAAGAAAGAGAAAAAAAGGAGGAGGAGGAAGGGAAGATGAAGGGCAACAAAGAAGACCACAACAAAGTTGACAATGAAAATTAAGACAAAGGAGAACTGATGGGGTAGGGGATATATAGGAGTGAGTGACTGGAAGCTGCCTGGGCAGAGGAGAACCAAAGCATAGCCATGATGTTTTCTATGCCCTAGCTCAAGTTCCCTTAGAGCACTCTCTTTCACTCTGAATTCTACTCTTCAACCTCCCTCTTGTCCGTCCTCCCAGTCACCATGGAGTCTTACAATATAAAAACAGGAGACTCTCAATTTTGAATGTTTTGAACACACCAAAAACAAAACTTGATGATCTGCTTCAATTTGTCTCTTCAACAAATTGTAAGTTCAGTAGGTTAAGCTCTGTCCTTCATTTCTATTCAAAGTAGCAGCTTTCTAGTCAAAACTTCCTTGATACAATGATATGGAAGTTTATTTAAAAGAAAATGTTCATATTTCCAAAAAAACACTCATTTTCATTATTCCTCTCTTTTCTAAATTCATTTTTGCTGTCCTGTTTTTTCTAACCACAATTTCTACAAACTCTTATACCCCAGCTCTCCACAATGCACTTATGTATTCCTTCAAATCTTCTCAACTACCACCTTGATTTCCTCAATAGTCATCCCTAATCTCCTTCAATGTTTTCCACTTTAACTCTACTCTCAGCACCATTTGTTTTAAAGTAAATAAAAACTCTATGCTTGGAAAACATGATTTTTTCACCCTAATCTTCTAACTTCATTTCTCATTCATTAAATAACCCCTAGTTGAAAAATGAATACTCTACCATGACCATTCTAATTTCCTTCCAATAGCTCTTTATGGAAGCATTTTCCAAAAATCCTCTACTCCACTGTTCCTCACAGCCACATTAGCTCTTCACATTAGCTCAGCCAATGAGCAACAATAACAAAGATCAAAGCTGAATAGCATCAGAGCATCAAACAGTTTTCATGAAAATAAAGCTGTCAATAAAGGAAATGACTGCTAGTGTGGTGGCTCACACCTGTAATCTCAGCACTTTGGGAGGCCGAGGCAGGTGGATCACTTGAGGTCAGGAGTTTGAGACCAGCCTGGCCAACATGGCTGAAACCCCATCTCTACTAAAAGTAGAAAAATTAGCTGGGTGTGGTGGCACACGCCTGTGGTCCCAGCTACTTGGGAGGCTGAACCATGAGAATTGCTTGAGCCCAGGAGGCAGAGGTTGCAGTGAGCCGAGATCATGCCACTGCACTCCAGCCTGTGGGACAGAGTGAGACTGTCTCAAAAACAAAAAAAGTAAAAAAAAAAAAAAAAAAAAAAAAAGAAAGGTAAAGGAAATGACAAAATGACCCTCTCCCCCCCAGAAAAAGACTAAAGAGCAATGTCAACGTCATCACTAGTCTTGGAGTTGTGAAAGAGCCAGGTATTTTTCAAGTGGCTAATTGGTAGCAATTTTTAAGTAGGAGGTAACACTAGCAGGTGTGAGATTAGGTTGGGCTTTCTCACACACTACCAACAGGAGTAAAAACTGGTATGTAGCACTCTGACGTGTCAAGAGCTTGGAAACTGTCACTCCCATCCTCACAACAGGAGCAAACTGAAAGCTGGTAACTCTTTTCAGAGAATTGAGGTCACAGGGCCAAACACTGCCCCCAAAACAGGAGAGACAAACAAATGCAGAGAATGACAGCTTCCTAGGGACAGAAGCCACTGGAGTGAGTAACTGTAGGAACATTTAAATAGTAACGGACAAACTGCTAAGGCTCAGTTTGAACTAGCTTGAGAGTTAAAAACTCCTGGGGATCCAGTTTAGGGAGCCCCCCCATACTTCCATGAGTTTTACTTCCAGGAACCACCCCTGCCTTCCCCCCAAGTTTTTAAAATGAAGATCAGAGAAAAATTCTCTTGAGCATCAGCAAGAGGAAGGAAAAAGTAATTATTTTGAAATAGGCCAAGGAAAAGTAGAGCAGTTCTGTTATCCAAAACAAAGACCTGCCCTCAAGGAAAACTACTTGACCAGAACCTTATCTGACCTAGGGGAAGGGTAGTTAGATGATTTCAGCCCCGTCTAGCTAAGAAACACCTTAGAAGGTCACAGGCCAGAGATGCAGTACCCCTAAAAAGCCTGAGATTTAATCATAAGATTATAGAATGCTTCTCCTCTCCAACACCTTACCACCACTACAACAAGGTTACAGGAACGTATTAGTGAACTAACACTTAGCAAGCTACAAGACACAGAATCTATTAAGAAAAAATTTCTAAGGAAACCCAAAGACAACAGAGGAGACAAAAGAAATGGGAACTAGGGCCAGGCACAGTGGCTCATGCCTGTAATCCCAGCACTTTGGGAGGCTGAGGCGGGTGGATCACGAGGTCAGGAGATGGAGACCATCCTGGCTAACATGGTGAAACCCCGTCTCTACTAAAAATACAAAAAATTAGCCTGGCATGGTGGCGGCGGGCGCCTGTAGTCCTAGCTACTCTGGAGGCTGAGGCAGGAGAATGGCGTGAACCTGGGAGGCGGAGCTTGCAGTGAGCTGAGATCGTGCCAATGCACTCCAGCCTGGGCGACAGAGCAAGACTCCATCTCAAAAACAAAACAAATCAAAACAAACAAAAGAAATGGGAACTAGAAGAAATTGAAGCTTCTGACATTTACAACCGTAGCAACCATTAAACATAGCCCAGCTCCTAGACGTATCAACATAAAATCTCACACTAAAAGCCTATTTACTTCAGTTCCTATTATCCAGACACATCTTGTCCAGCTTTTAACAAAAATTACTAGGCATAAGATAAAAATACAGGCTGAGAGCATCACAAGCATCAGAAGCAGATTGAGAAATGACAGAGATTTTGGAAGTATCAAACCACTAACTCAAATAACTATGTTTAATATGCTAAGGACTCTAATGGAAAAAGGATAAAATGCAAGAATAGACAGACAAAGCAGAGATGGAAATTCTACAGAAGAATCAAAAGGAAATGCTAGAAATAAAGAACTCTAACAGAAATGAAGAATGCCTTTGATGGGCTCCATCAGCAGACTAGACTCAGCTAAAGAAAGAATCAGCGAACTTGAAGATACATCAATAGATAACGTCAATAGATACTTCCCAAACTAAAATGCAAAGAGAAATACAAAAAAGAACAGAAAACCCAAGAACTGTGAGGCAATCAAAAAAAGTATAACATACAGGTAATGAGACTACTAGAGGAGAGGAAGAAAGATATGCAAAGAACTCTTAAAATTCAATGACAAGAAAACAAACAACCCACTTTAAAAACAGGCTCAAGACCTGAACAGATATCTCATCAAAGAAGATATGCAAATGGAAAATAAGTATATCAATATGAAAAGATGCTCAGTGCTTCCTTCGATAGCTCAGCTGGTAGAGCAGAGGACTGCAGTACTTGCTGAAAAGATGCTCAATGTCAAATGTCACTAGGGAATTGTAAAGTAAAATAATTAGATACCACTATACACCTATTAGAGTGGCTAAAATCCAGAACACTGACAATACCAAATGATAAAGAGTATGTGGAGCAAGAGGAATGTTCTGTCATTGCTGGTGGGAATGCAAAATGGTATAGCCATTGGCAGGTTTTTACAAAACTGAACATACTCTTACGTGACTCAGCAGTTACACTCCTAAGTATTTACCCAAATGAGTTGAAAACTTATGTCTACACGAAACCTGCACATGAACGTTTTTAGCGCTTTATTCATAGTTGCACCAAACTGGAAGGAACTAAGATTGCTTCAATAGGTGAATGAATAAACAAACCAATACATCCATACAATGGAGTACTATTTAGTGTTAAAAAGAAATGAGCTATCAAACCACAAAAAGGTACAAGGGATCATAAATCCTTATTTCTAAGTAAAAGAAGCCAGTCAGAGAAGGCTACATACTGTATGACTCTAACCATATAACATTCTGGGGTTCAGTGGGAGATAGAAAGAGGTGGGATACAAGGCACTTTTAGGACAGTGAAACTTTTTAGGATAGTGAAATTCTTCTGTATGATACCGTAATGGTAGACACATGACATTATACGTTTGTCAAAACCCATAGATGGTACAACACAGAATAAATCCTAACATAGACTAAGGATGGTAGTTAATAGTAATGTATCAATATTGGTTTGACAACTGTAACAGATATGTCATACCAATGCTCTATTACTAGGGAAAACTGTGTGCAGGGGAGAAGCGGTATGAGAACACTGTACTATCTGCTCAATTTTTCTGTAAATCTAACAAAGGTTCTAAGAAATATACTTTATTAAATAAAACAACAACCAAAATGAACTGGTATGAAAAACTCTCTAGAAGCAAAATAATCATGATCTTTGCCTCAGGGACTCTCCTCCTAAGACTATCCCAAGGAAATAAAAAAATTGCAAAACAGCCTTGTCTAAAAGATATTTCATTGTACCATTATTTATAACAATAAAGTCAACCCAAATATGTAATGAGGAAATGCTACAAGTTATTGGATAGCTATATATTATATGACTATTAATGATAGAAAAATTATCACAATAAAAGGATAGTAAGTTGTATTTACAGTATAACTACATTGCTATAATAACAGGTATAAGAAATACCTGTTACATATGTATAGTCAAATAAAATCTGGAAAGCTATACCCTATCTTATCTAATGGTAGAATTACAGATGAGTTTTACTTTCTGACAACAAACACTTTCTAGTAACATGTATTATTCGTATAATAAAAAGGTAACAAGAAATGTAACATAACATGAAGCTTAGAAGTTTAGCAAAGCCCTGGAATTATGAGTTTAAAAATGTCGATTTTCATCATTGGTTCCCCATTATTGCCATATGTAAAAGGCAAGGGAGACCCGCCCCCCTCTTTGGGGGAAGCATTTTGTCTTATTCATTCCTCTATTCTGAGTGACCCAGGGCCTGGAATATAGCACAGGCTCAAACAAGTGCGGGGTGCAATGCACAAACGGAAACCAAACACAACACTGTCCATTCTCATTCTCAATTCTACACAACACACTCGATTTCCTTAAAATTACCACAAAACTGAGGCTACTTCTATAATATGATTGGTAAATCTGTAACACAAAAAGGTCCAACAGAGGACTTAAGCAATGAATTGATCCATCTCTAGATCTCTCTATGAAGGGGTTTTACAACAAAAATCTTCAAAAAATTTACTGCATTTTCATAGTATAATGTGAAACTTTTTTAAAAGATCAATATTTGAACATAGCATATTACAATTAATATAATTAAGCTTTATTATTTAAACGATCATTTATGTTTATTAAGGGGTTGAACATTATTTATCTTAAATACTTACGAAGGAACACCATTGAACTCATCACAAGTTATAAATGGCATTTCCTTAATACTTCTTTGCTCTTTGGGAGGCTTCTTTACGGGTTCAGGTTCTTCAACTTTGATTGGTTCTTCAGGATCAAGATCTGATCCCTTAACACTACAGAATACAGATGTACATACATACAGGCAATTTTCAGAAATAAGCAGCATACTGACAGTTTTCCCAACTGAAAATAATATTAAATACGTAACTCATCCTGTTATAATCTTATTGCCAACATTTTTTTCTATCCCTATGTCTATTGTTCATGAACATTAAACGGTGAAGGAAATGTTGAAAAATTAAGTTCCCAAATCTTCAGTAATATAGCTACATTTATTTACGTGTAACATGATATCTTCATCAGTTGTCCCACCAGCTCCTCAAAGTCAGTAAGTTAACAGCTTTACGGCTTAATAGCTTCTCTTTTTTTTTTTTTTCCTTTTTTTTTTTTTTTTTTTAATTTTTTTTTTTTTATTATACTCTAAGTTTTAGGGTACATGTGCACATTGTGCAGGTTAGTTACATATGTATACATGTGCCATGCTGGTGCGCTGCACCCACTAACGTGTCATCTAGCATTAGGTATATCTCCCAATGCTATCCCTCCCCCCTCCCCCGACCCCACCACAGTCCCCAGAGTGTGATATTCCCCTTCCTGTGTCCATGTGATCTCATTGTTCTAACCCCTTAACAGCTTGTCTTCCTGACGTCCCTAACTCTGAATCTGGAAACATCAGTTATCTTAGACTTCTATTTATTCTAATTTATCCTGATGGTTGCTCATGTCAGTCCCTGTGTATTGCGGAGTCATTTTAGTTGCCAGCAATGATCATGGGTCACCCCTGGATTCAATCTGCCCAATTTTTACAGCGAGTGAGAAGCCGACTAATATAGCTCCTGTCCCACTAGCAACAAAGTCTAGAAACACACTATAGCTTCTAGGTTCCTTAACTGCCAGGGATGTTGCCAGCAGCAAGTCAAGACATAGGAAAGACGACACCAGATATAAGAAACAGTAGGGGGCTGCTATAACTACACATAATAACAAGTATAAGAAATACCTGTAATATTTCTTATACCTGTTATTATGTGTAGTTAAGTAAAATCTGGAAAGCTATACCCTATCTTATCTGAATGGTAAATTACAGATGAGTTTTATTTTCTGACAACAAACACTTTCTAGCAACATGTATTATTTGTATAATAAAAAGGTAACAAGAAATGTAACATAATATAAAGCTTAGAAGTTAAGCAAAGCCCTGGAATTATGAGTGGGAGGATGGCCTCAGGAGCAAGCCAAGGGAATCCCCAGAAAGGCAGGAAGCAAGATCCCAAGATGACAGTCAAATGCCAGACACAGATGGCAACCAGCCTCACTGAGGTGGTGTGACTCGGCCACGCTGCACGCTGTCAAGATAAAGATGCCCAATGCATGATAATCCTTCTGTGAATCCTAACATATGAGATTCCACTGTGAGACTGGCTGAATCGTACCTGTACTTGTTTGTCTTGACCATGTGTTGAGGAAGCACCTGATTGGCTCCCTTATGCCCTGCTGTGTTTATCAGCTGAAAATAACCATTTTCAACTACAGAAAGGTTCTGCTCTCACCTATCCCTGAGAGTTGAGGCTAGGCCATAGTCAGCTTAGAAGAAAATTCCTCCTATTCCCCTGATCAAATTCTTACTGGATGTCCAATGACAGGTAATGGCTGAGAAAGAGCAAGACAGGATAAAGATGCCAAGTCCTCACCGAGGTGATGGGAGGATATGTGGGGAACAAGAGAAACAAGAGAGCCAGGTCTTCAAGATGGAAAATTTGAGGAGAAAATAGCAGGCCATTAAATCGCTGGAACTAGATGTCATATCAAGGCTAGAGCTGGACATTTGAGAGCATTAACAGTGGAGTTGGGTAAGAATGAGTAAAGCAGGTAGGAGAGATCTATAATTTAAAAAAGGGGAGAGAAAAAGGAGGCAGCCAAGTCAGAGAAGTGGGCTGACAACTAAGAAAGCACAGTGGCAGGGCAGAAAACAGAATTTCAAAAACAAAAAGGTGGTATGCAAAATGAAATCTTAGAAGTAGAACCAGGGCTGACGAGGGATTTTTGACCTCTTCATGACCTTCAACCACCCTAGGTGTGGTGGCAATGACAGCCAAAAGCCAGGTGTTAGGGCCTCGGGGAAAAAGCAGAAGCACAGACACACCTTGTAAGGGGGAAGAGAGAGAGGATGGACATTTGAGGGGAAAAAAGAGCTAAGCTTATTGTTCCTTTGGCTTTTATTTATTTATTTATTTTGAGGCAGGGTCTTACTCTGTCGCCCAGCCTGGAGTGCAGTAGCACCATCAGGGCTCACCGCAGCCTTGACCTGCCAGACTCAAGCAATCCTCCCGCCTCAGCTCCCTGAGTAGCTGGGACTACAGGGGTGTGCCACTGTGTCTGGCTAATTTTTTGTATTTTTAGCAGAGATGGGGTTTCACCATGTTGCCCAGGCTAGTCTCAAACTCCTGGGCTCAAGCAATCTGCCTGCCTTGGCTTCCCAAAATGCTAGGATTATAGGCGTGAGCCACTGTGCCCAGCCTCTTTAGCTATTTTTAAAATGGTAACTTCCTTAAGCTTATTTTTACCCAAAGGCAGTGGTTCTCAATGGTCGGGGAAGATTTTGCCCTCAGAGGCATTTGGCAATGTCTGGAGACATTTTTCATTGTCGTGAATGGGTGGGATGGAGGGATGCTACCAGAATCTAGTAGGCAGAGATCAAGAACACTACTCAATGTCCTATTCTCATAACAAAAAATTAACCTGCCTAAAATGTCAAGGAACAAACGTCAGTTGACAAACTGCTCTCAGGGAAAGAAATGAGTGAAAAAAGAGAGGCTAGAGAGACTTGCCCTTGGCAAACTGGGAAAGAAGTGTTAGATTTTCCTCAGAGACACCAAGATAAGAAAACTGGTGAACATGGAAATACTGTTTTTAGTATAGGTGACAAAAAACTAGATCATCGCTGACAAAACTGCAAGTATATGAAAGAACAAAAGGCTTTGAAGAACTTGTTTTCATGGGTTTATAAATCCAGATAGCAAGAATAATTATAAATACACTTACCAGCTCTGGGTTACTGTTACTTGAGGCAAATGGGAAGGAACGTTTTCTTTAAGATGTTCTATGTCTTTGTAATCTTCTTCAAGAGATTCACAGAGTTCCTAAAATTTAAAAGTGCTCACAAATAAGTCTCTGTCCTCCCCATGTGTGTTTTAAGATATTCTAAAGAGCAGGGAAAACAGTGAACCATAATCACAGTGACTGTGGCTGGACGCGGTGGCTCATGCCTGTAATCCCAGCACCTTGGGAGGCTAAGGCGGGTGGATCATGAGGTCAGGAGATCGAGACCATCCCCACTAACACTGTGAAACCCCATCTCTACTAAAAATACAAAAATTTAGCCGGGCGTGGTGGCACGCGCCTATAGTCCCAGCTACTCAGGAGGCTGAGGGGGGAGAACTGCTTGAACCTGGGAGGAGGAGGCTGCAGTGAGCTGAGATCGCGCCACTGCACTCCAGCCTGGGCGACAGAGAAAGGCTCGTCTCAAAAAAAAAAAAAAAAAAAAACCACATTGACTGGAGTACCGAAAATGCAGAATGAAGTGAAAAAGCAATGAATCCAGCAATAAAAAATTGGTTTCTAGAGCTGTTTTTGGATGGTGGTAATATTTTTCTCTACTGGATTTTTTTCAGGGAACAATCACTATAATCACATTGCAATTACAAAGCAGGACTAAAGTTAAGTCTTTCTCAAATACTTTAATCTTGGGAGATAACTAAGAAATATATAAAGAACTTATGTTTTTCATTCTCATAAATTGCGTTTGTTGGCTTACCAAATGCTCCCCAGTGTTACCTGTGTAACAGCAACCATATTATCACAGCATGGTAATATACCCAGCTGGCAAGCATGAGATGCTGCTTTAGGATGACTTCCACTGTGGGCTACCTACATGCCAGCTTAATGAAAATTTCTACTTGAAAGCTGGGGTGTTTTGGTCTCTAACTTTTACTAGAACTTGAGGCTATGAACTCATACACATTTTAATAAGGAAAATATTTTGTGCCTTTGGATTCCCGCCATCTGGCTCCCAATCACAATGTGAACAGAAATTCCAAATAGCCTTCAGTTCTGAGTTGAGCATTCTCTAGGCCCACACCTAACCCTGGACATTCTTGGGCAGGTTAGAACTGAAATGCCGGTATTGGTTTCTGTTTTGAATTTATATAATGTCTTTTCCTTGAAGAGGTGAATGACATTCATGGATACCAATTCCATTTTGACTATTAGAGTGATAGGCATAATCATGCCCATTCCTATAGCTGAACAATCTTTACAGACTTTAAGGATTATAAGGCTGAATGGGGTCAGGGAGGTCCCTTGTTCAATCCCACTGAGCAATTCCCCAGCTCTAACAATGTGAGGTAATTATGGTACAGATTATTTCCCCCTCAGGAAGTGCACCAGCACTTTTATTAGCTGAACTCAATTTGAAGGCTTGTTTAGAATAAAATGTGCATGTGAATGAGGCTCAAGTTTTTCTTTACCTGAGAACCCTTATATTACCTTTTATAAAAATATAGAAATATAGACATATAAGGGAGCTAAGAAACAGTTCAATATGATCCATTATTTTTTCAGATGAGGTTCTTGAAACCCCAACAGGTAAAATAGCTTTCTCAGGGTGGCAGAGAGTACCAAGGACCACCAAGGTAAGAATCCATATCTCCTCACCCAAAGCAGGTGTTCTTTACATACCACTCTACTAGAACATCATTGTTTAAATTAAAGCTACCAAGAATTATTAGCAAACTCTCCTTTTTAGTAAAGTTCAATTCCACTGGCCATCAGCAGAAAGTAGCAGCTGTGGAGCTCCAAATTCCACTATACTAGGAAAATAAAACATAAATGGCATACTGTACCATTAATAATTTATAAACAAAAAACATTATAAACAAAGCATCCTTAAAAATTACTTAATGATTAGGGAGTTTGTATGTATTGTCTTTTTTACTGCTTCCTCATTAGAGAAACATTACCTTGAGTGAATTGTTGGTTTGTTCTTGATACTGAATTTCCAATTCCAATTTATTTAGAAGTTCATTTATTACAATGATCTCATCTCCTATTTTATTTAATACAGTTTTCAAGGTAGGTTCCTGGCCTGTTATAAACAAAAATAAAATAGAAAACAAAGTGTATAGAAAAGCAGTAGCTATAAGTACTCATGCGAACTCTTAGAATAGATAGCTGTACCTTAGAGAGGGGTGGAAAAAGGTCTACTGCTTTAGCCCCTAGAAAATGACTCCATGGACAATCCTGAAACCTCATTTCTAAGTAGTATGGAACAGAAGGAGGCGAGAGGCAAGGACAATGTCTCTCCTGCGTCTTTTGTTTCTGGCAAATTCTTCCACTTATTAAAACACTTAGAAATGCGAGGTAAAACAAGCATCCTTCTACGTCCACAGCTAAGCTTTCATGAGAAAAAGGCAAATTTCCAGGGGTTCCAATATGAAGAGGGAACTGTGGTTCCCCCTCATACCAGGCAGGGTGTGTGAGCTGAGGCTGCAGCAGCCCTAATCTGAGGAGTGTGGAGCAATGCTGGACAGGAGGTTGTCAATCTCAGCAATTGAATATATTTGATTTTAATAGGGATAAGATCCAAGGTTTTGGGGCTTTAAAACACAGGGTGTTGGAAGTGAGAATCTCAAACGAGGCTAGGACTCTTCTTTATGAATATATTTTCAGTGAAAGTTGTAATCACTCACCAGAGAAATAAGCTTATGTTTTAGACAGGCCCTTCAGTGTGTGTGTGGAAGGGGTGGGAGTGAGGTTGAGGTGAAACTCTCTTTCAGAATTTGTAATATGGATTTGGAATTCATATTAACACTATCCACACTATTCAAAACCACCCCTAAGCAGACAAAGTAACATAAAAAGTCACAAGCTGGTGATAACCCTGGGTACCTGGCAAAAACAAACATAAGACATTTATAAAGTAGTATATTCTCATGGTCCCAATCCCACCTCCTAGCACCCCTCTCTAGGTGAGAAAATCAGAGTCCCTTCCTCCCTAGAAATAAAAGAAGTAGTTTTTTAAAAAATTTAAGGGCAGATTAAAAGCACAGAAGAAAAACTACCTTCATAATTGAAGCTTCCCATCTGCATTTCCAGCTATCTAACAATGACATACACATAAGTAAAAGCAGACTTTGGCAATATGTGTAGATTAAGGAGGCAGTAGAGTGAACCAGGTAGAAGGCCTGAAGTCAGAGACACCAAGTACCTACCTCATTACTGTGAAGATAGGTGAAAGTACATATAAGATGGGCTTAGCCCTGCATGTAGAACGTAATACTCAGTAAATGCTAACTGCCATTCATCATCATCATGAGTATATCATTCTATCTAATAGAGCAACACTACTTGCATTTGACACTCAGCTCATAACAAGTAAAACTAATTAATAAGTAAATGAGAGTACTGATGTCTCTGAGAATAATTTCAGTAGAATTAGTTGAACACAGTATTTCTTCCCCATACACTGGTATCTCAACTTTTAGTCACCTAAATTTTAGGGTGTTGTTTACCACTTTTTTTTTTTTTTTTTTTTTTGAGACAGGGTCTTTCTCTGTCACCCAGGCTGGAGTTCAGTGGCACCATCGGAGCTCACTGCAGCCTCAACCTACCAGGCTCAAGCAATCCTCCTGCCTCAGCCTCCTGAATAGCTGGGACTACAGGTAAACGCCACCACACCTGGCTCATTTTTTATTTTGTGTAGAGACAGGGTCTTACTATGTTACTAGGCTGGTCTCAAACTCCTAAGCTCAAGCGATCCGCCTGCCTTGGCCTCCCAAAGTGCTGGGATTACAGGTGTGTGTCTGGTCACTGTTTTTTATGTAGTAATCTAGTCAGTTACAGAAGCCAAAGTAGCAAACAAACTACCAGACTTTATTTTATAGGCTATGGAGCCACACAAATTATTATCCCCCCATACAAAATGACAGTTGACAACTGTGTAAGGATCTCATGGGTCTGACTGCTTCAGCCAGGCCTATGCTTTGGTGGGTCATGTGAATTCAAGGCTTGATAGTTGTATAGATCTCCAAATTATATTTGTTTATCCATGACTAATCATAACCTCAGAAAGTGAATTTAAACAAGACTCATTATTAAACATCTAAAAGTCTTTTACAAATTACTTCAATAAAAATGGCAACAAAATAGAAAGAGTACTAACATGGGAATCAAGAAACAGAAACTGTCGCCCAACCAAGTACTCATGAGCTGAGGGACCTGGGCCAGCCACCTGACTTCCGAGAGTCTCAGTTTCCTCAGGTGTGAGGTCAGGGGGCTCCTTAAGATGAACCCAGTCCCTTTAGCTTTAACTTTCCAGAGTATGTGAACCATAAACTGTAAAATGTATGAGGCTCCTTTATTAGTAGTTATCAATACAGGACTGAGAATATCAACGTCCCTGAGAGGGGAGGTATAATTCGAAATGGCCTATCTAACATTATAATTTCATATTTGAGAAAGTTTTCAAACTACCAATTCATAATACAAACTACAATACAAGTTCAACACAACCTTCCCAGCACATGGAATTCTGTCTGCCAATAAACCGTTACCCTCCCAGATAAGGTTAGGGAGTATGTAATTCTTTAGACATTTTAGATTTGACAAGGATCATCTGTTTCTCTGAACTTTCATTGCATCATCCAATTTCAGCACGTCAAAATATTTTCAAATATACTTAAAATCTCCAAGTTCATGGATGCTTAAATAATTTATTTCATTTTCAATTAGTTATTTCCCAGTGATATAGAGTAATAAGCTTCCTCCAAAGCAGGCTCTAAGATGGGTTATGAACTACTTTTACCCCTATGGAGCTCTACATCAGTTTTTTTAACTTGCCTTTTAATAATGTGCCACATAACAGTGATTCAGTCAACAATGGACCATAAATATGACAGTGGCCCCATAAGATTATAACGGAGCTGAAACATTCCTATTGCCTTGTGACATCGGAGCCATCATAACATCATGGTACAATGCATTATTCACATGTTTGTGGTGATGCTGGTGTAAACAAACTCTAATGCCAGTATTACAAAAGTACAGCACATACAATTATGTATAGTACATAATAATTGATAATAAATGGTTACTAGTTTATGTTATTTACTATACAATACTTTGTATTGTTATTTTAGAGTGTACTCCTTCTACCTATTAAAAAAAAAAAGTTAACTGTAAAACAGCCTCAGGCAGATCCCTCAGGAGATATTCCAGAAGGCATTGTTATCACAGATGACTGCTCCATGTGTGGTACTGCCCCGATGACCTTCTAGTGGAACAAGATGTGAATGTGGAAGACAGATGTTGATGATCCTGACCCTGCATAGGCCTAGGCTAATGTGTGTGTGTGTGTGTATTCGTTTTTGACAAAAAAATTTTAAAAAGTTAAAAAAAAATAGAAAAAAAGCTCATAAAGATATAAAAATATTTTTGTACACCTGTACAATGTATTTGTTTTAAGCTATTAGAAAAGAATAAAAAAGCTAAGCCAAACTAAGAAGTTTATTAAGTAAAAAAGTTATAGTAAGCTAAGGTTAATGTATTATTGAAGAAAGTTTTTCATTTTTTATAAATTTAGTGTAGCATAAGTGTATAGTACTTATAAAGCCTACAGTAGTATACAGTGATGTCCTAGGCCCTCACAGTCACTGTCTCACCCACAGCAACTTCCAGTTCTGCAAGCTCCATCAATGGTAAGTGGCCTATACAGGTGTTCCATTTTTAATCTTTTACTGTATCTTTTCTATGTTTAGATACACAAATACTCACCATTGTGTTACACTTGCCTAAGGTATTCAGTACAGTCACATGCTATACGGGTTTGTTGCCTAGGAGCAATAGGCTATATAGCCTAGATATGTAGTAGGCTATACCATCTAGGTTTGTGTACATTTACG
Source organism: Homo sapiens (assembly GCF_000001405.40). NCBI lineage: Eukaryota > Metazoa > Chordata > Mammalia > Primates > Hominidae > Homo > Homo sapiens. The sequence continues at coordinate 50,376,311 of NC_000018.10, read as the reverse complement.
TACATTCTATGATGTGATGTTTGCACAACGACAAAATCATGTAACGCTTTTGTCAGAACACATCTCCATCATTAAGGAACGCATGACTGTATCTCTATTTAGCTGTAGAACCATGGATGCCACATAACCTTCAAATCTCACCATTGGCCTATGTGTCTCAGAAAAACATAAGTAAATAATTCTAATGAATATTCAGTTCATTGTTCAATGTACCTTACATTTTTAGTATCCTCCACAATATTCAAAATGACATTGGACTATTTAAAAAATCGTTATGCAAAAATCTAAAATTACCTAAGATGCAGTCACTTAACCAAGCAAAGATATCATTCAGAGTGGAATAATCAAAATGCATTTTGTATATACAAAGTCAGTGGAATCTGTTTTACTTACCACAGTTTCTTAATGATAAGGTTTTCTTAATATTGCCAATCTTTTCATTAACATGAGAGCATAATTGTTCCAGATCTGACGAGGCCATCCTTTAAGCCTCTGAAGAAAAAAACATAAACATATTCGTAACAAGAAAAGCCACACAAATTTCTGTTCACTTTCGAAATCCAAGAATGGTCAATGTCAAGTAAATCACATGTCTTTGAAGGTTAAGCACAAAAATTCAAGAGCAATTTCTTTCATTTCTACAACATTCAGTTTCTAACCACGGTACCGTACTGACTTGTCTTAGAGCCTTAGGCCATCGATGGATCCCAAACCAGGGGAAAGAGGATAAGCCTGGGTCCTTTCCTTAAGGATTCAGGAGGACAAACGCACTATTTGTATATAAAGACAACATTGGTATTTTCTTTAAACACGCAAAATAAGGACACATTTTTTAAAAATGTGTTACACTGTCAAAGAAATGGGCCCAGGTAATCATTTTTCCTGTGCTGTGAGGGGTTGGGGCTTTACAGTTTGGGATCGGTAAGGAGGCCGAGAAATGGGAAAGAACCAGTTTCCCACCCACTCCGCCGGTGAGAGAGAAGGGGAGGGTCTAAAGCATCCAACCCAGCCTCCAGCCCCGTCCTCCCCCAAGCCCGGCGCGGTCCGCGGCCCCCAGCTGCCAAGCAGCTACCTCGGGCGCTTCCAAAGGCAGGGTCCCCAACACACAGACTCCAACCTCAAGTCCGTCCGGGAGCAAAAGGCTACTCGCCGCTGGGTCTCCAGCTGCGGATACCGCAGTCTCCGTTGGAAGCCCAGGATGGTGAGACGGGACTCTGTAAGCAAAATTCAAACCGCCCGCCGCGCCCTAGCGCAGCGCAGGCGCACATCCATGCTTCCGAAGCGCAGGCTCAGCCGCTGTTCCCGGTTTGCGTCATCCGGGGCCACAGCTGGGCGGGAAGGAGGGGTGGCCGAGCCGGGGAAAGGCGGGGCGACGGCGAAGGCGGGGCTTCCGGACGAAAGGGTAACCCGGAGGTGCTCTTTCCGCGCTAACCAGTCTGGGGAGATTTCAGCAGGTCATGCAGTCTTGACCGCAGCCCAGCCAGGGACCTGGCGTCACCAAGTCCTGGTCTTTGACATTTGCTGCACCTTAGAGTCACCAGGGGCAGCTATTACAAGTCTCAGTGCCTAGAGTACACCCCAAGTCGGTGAAATCAGACACTGGGGAAATGAGGCACAAGCCTTAGTATTTATAAAAACACCCCAGAAAATTCCAAAGAGCAGCTAAGTTTGTGTGGAAGAAACAGTGACCCTGTCTTCTGGGTCTTAGACAGCCTCTGTAAGTGTTCCCGGGCCAAACCAGGGGTTGGGCTGCTTATTCTCATGATGAACTGGGAAAGAAGAGTTTATTTCGGTAACCGGGTACAGGGAAAAGGCCTGGAAAATATCGCCAAATCGATTCAAAATTACAAAGTTTTCCAGAGCTTATATACCTTCTAAACTATCTGTCTACATGTAAGTGTGCATGTGTGTAAAGACGTAAATGATTAACTGTTTCTAATCTATAACTAAGATCAGTCCTAAGGAAGGTCTTTATTTAAGTAAATTTACTTAATCTAGATGGCTGCAGGTGCCAGAGGTGATTACCCTTATCTTGTCTCCTGCTAAATCATGAAGGTTTGGGCAGTTCCTTCAGACCCCCGATAAACTTGTTTGTGGAGGTCTGGGGGAGTTTCTTCAGACCCCCAATAAAAACTTGTTTAATCTTGAACAGGTCCTGTTAAGAATTCCTTCTTTATTTTCTCATGCTTCAAGGACCAGGAAAGGCCTGGGCAAAACTCTTGGTGGGCTTTTGTTACATACCAGCCTTTCTATAAAGACACTGGCTCTTTCAGCTTTTAATATTTAACTTAACTAGTGCTGAAACAGTGGTTACGGAGGCCTGTCTGTTCAGCTGTTAGTGAGACCTGGCCTGCCACTTAAGAGCAAATATAAATTTAAAATAAGAAAAACAAAAGTTTAATTCTCCCTGTTGAAAAGGAGGGAAAAGCACCCAAGGCTGGAGTGGTGGCACCGCCAGGTTCTGTCCATCCCTTGGCTCCACTGCGCTATTATTATGCACTTGGACCTTCAGGCTGCCAGCCCCTGTCCTCAGGTCTTTCTCCCAGGCAGCAGAAACGAGCAAGAGGCATGTGTAATAGGCTTAACTGCCAACAGAACCAGCACTTTGAGAGCGTTGTGCTGGAAGCCACACCCAGTGGCTTCCATCTGCTTCTCACTGGTCACTCCCATCTGCGAAGGAGACTGAAAAAAATCTTTTGTAAAAAATGTAATCTGGACAGTTACTTTCACTCATGTCCGTATGAAGAGACCACCAAACTGGCCTTTGTGTGAGCAACAAGGCTGTTTATTTCACCTGAGTGCAGGCGGGCTGAGTCCGAAAAGACAGTCAGCTAAGGGAGATAGGGGTGGGGTCGTTTTATAAGATTTGGGTAGGTAAAGGAAAATTACAGTCAAAGGGGGTTGTTCTCTGGCAGGCAGGGGTGGGGGTCACCAGGTGCTCAGTGGGGGAGCTTTTGAGCCAGGATGAGCCAGGAGAAGGAATTTCACAAGGTAATGTCATCAGTTAAGGCAGGAACAGGCCATTTTCACTTCTTTTGAGATTCTTCAGTTACTTCAGGCCATCTGGATGTATACGTGCAGGTCACAGGGGATATGATGACTTAGCTTGGGCTCAGAGGCCTGACAGTTACATTGCATCCTCGAGACTTAAGTTTAGCCTAAAGTTGCCTCCATACATATTTTAAGTTGTGCCTAAAGTTTTCTCTGTAAGTCGCAAACTATAACCTAAATGAAGGTGTAAACAGACTGTAATCTACTCTTGTGCCAGTCACTGAGTTATGGCCGATGAAAGGGGGCCAGCTGCTCAAACCGTGTTCAAATAAGGCAAACACTGACTGTAACCAATCCAGCTGTTGCTATACCTCACTTCCTTTTCTGTACATCACTTCCTTTTTCTGTCTATAAATCTTCCACCACATGGCTGTGCTGAAGTGTCTCTGAACCTACTCCGGCTGGGGAGGCTGCCCGATTGGTGGAATCATTCTTTGTTCAAGTAAACACTGTTAAATTTAATTAGGCTAAAGTTTTTCTTTTAACAGACTATAGGAGTTCTATTTGTAAGGGAGAATGAGAGCATAGATACTGGGTAGGGAAGGAGTTCAGAACACACCACCTCAAAACATGCCACTGTAGCATATTGATTCTTTTGAGTGAAAAGCACTTAAAAAGCAGCAGGTGCAAGAAGGGCACACTGGCCTTCCTTTTTCTTCCTGAAAGCAGAAGATGGAAGTCCCATGTGAGAGATGTCCTCACTACACCAAGAGGAAAGAAACATTCTTATCCCTAGACATGAGAAGTCAAAGACAAGAGACATCTGTACAAACAAAACTTGTTGTGCTTACCGGTATCTTCCTAGTCACTTCTCCATGATTCATTGCCCAAATCTAAGCCCCTTTTTCTTGTCATATTTTCACAATTTACTACTCTGTCCAATATGGTATATAAGCATTTAGCTCTAACTGAATCTTTGGGTCTTCATTTTTCTTGTGAGGATTCCCATGTACAAGTAAAAAAAATTATTAATATTGTATGCTTTTCTCTTGTTAATCTGTACTATTTCAGTTCTGGCCAGAGACCTTAGGAGGGTGGAAGAAAATTGTATCCGTCACTGTATAATTTCCTCATGTTATATCATCACATGAACAATTCTAGATTATTTATGAATTTCATATTTTTCATACCCAGCTGACTTTGAAAGAAAAGATTTTATTTTTATTTTTTGTATTTCTACTTTGTGCTTTTTCTTACAGCTAGGTGTCAAGGTTAACTTCTGGATGTCCCCAAGTCAGAATTAACTAAGAGCCTCATTGTAGAATTAGGATTGAGGATCTCTGTAAGCAACAGGATTGCATTTCTGGGCATTTTGGGAAACATTTATTCTAATGTTTTGACCAATGACAAGTGACCAGCTGGTCCAATAGGTTTTGGGGCAGCTTCATAGATCTCTGGTGCTGATAAGTCTTCATTCAGAAGAGGGAGGGCCCACTGAAATAGATGGGGTGCATTCTGAGATGCCTCACTGATCAGAATTGACCCAAGGCAGATTATATTTTTACATTTCCTATTAATCTACAGTCCTTTGGCTTGTTTTTAAGTCTTTTTCCAGCTGACATAATTAAAATCCATTGCATGTACTTGTAACACAGTACTCACTGGGATAATTTCTTAATTCTCACAAGCAGTCATAGCAGCTGAGACAAATCATTTCAGAAAATCAAACTCTTCCCTTTTTCAATGTCTCATGTCCTCAAATGATATGTAGTTCTTGTGGTGTTGGTTGATTTATTTGCTTTAAACCAGAGAAGAGAGGAAGAAGAAAAATGTCTTACAATTTTCCTGGTGTTCTTTCTTTACCATATTGAGTCTTTATCCAATATATACTTTTTTAGCATTGTAGTCAGAGCCCCAATTTCTGTGCCACCAGAGCTACCCCTAACAAAGGCCCAGTGCTCTGTAATATGAATAGAGGCAGGAAAGGAAAGTACTCAACATGCAAAACTTCTCGCTCCCTCTCTTTCTTTCTCAGTCTCTCTTTCTGATGTCGAAAATGACACCCATACATGAGACAAGGGAAGATGGAAAAAAAAGATGGAGACCTTCTCCTCAGTCATTAAATGGCTCTGTGAACTTGGAAAGTGGATGGTTTTTTGTTTTGTTTTGTTTTGTTTTGTTTTGTTTTTTTTCTGAGATGGAGTCTTGCTTCATCACCCAGGCTGGAGTGCAGTGGTGCAACCACGGCTTACTGCAACCTCTGCCTCCTAGTTTCAAGCAATTCTGCTGCCTCAGTCTCCTGAGTAGCTGGGATTACAGGCATGTGCCACCACACCCAGTGAATTTTTGTATTTTTAGTGGAAACGGGGTTTTGCCATGTTGGCCAGGCTGGTCTCAAACTCCTGACCTCAGGTCATCCACCCCCGTCAGCCTCTCAAACTGCTGGGATTACAGGCATGAGCTGCTGCCCCCAGCCCAAAAGTGGATGGTTTCTGAGATCACTTCCAGCTCAAAACACTAGGTTCTTTTTCTTGTGAAAAGTATTTCATTCTTCCTGTAGCCTGCTTAAAAAATATAAATATGTTGCTGTAGAAGAGATGGACTTCTAAGTTTAAAAGAATAGAGACTGCCTCACAGTTTTTCTTCCCCTACTTCTTAACAAGATGCACCCAAAATCAGTTTAAAAAAAAGAAAACCTCTCCCCAAAAAATCAATAATAATTGCCAACAAGGAAAGGGAGATAGTGGAATGCAAAACTTTAAAAAGTGATATCAGGGAGGAAAATGAAGGATTCTGGAGCACAGAGGATAAGTAGCCTGGCTCCTAATCACACACCACCCCTGAAGTCATTTGAAAAGCCCCATATCTGATAATTGAAACCCTGAAGATTAACAACTGGAAAATAGCCTTTCTTTTTTCTCTCTTCATAGCCATGGCTCTAATTCATTCTAGTTTCCCTCTGGGAAAATTACCTAAAGGTTAGGCATATTCCCTAAAGGGATGGACCACTCCTTGAAATTGTGAAAAAGCAGAACATTGGTTCAGGGCATCTAACAAAGAAAGGAAATGAAGAGGGAGGCAAGAAAGGAAGACCCCCTGCAAAGATTGATAAAGAAACTGACCTGGGAGAATACATGATTAAAGTAATAGTAATAAACTGTGTATTTGTGTATATACGTTATATATACATTAACTAATTTAAAATAAGACCTCATAGAGAAGAACATAAACAGCAGCAACAGAAACAGATAAATGGAGATCATCACACTTAAAAATACAAAGTGAGGATCCAAACAACACCATTCAACACACTGAAGTACAAATTGGAAGGAATAGAAAAGACACTACTGGAAGCTAAGTTAAAAGAAAATCTTAAGATCATAACAATACATGCAGCTGAAAAGAAAATAAATTAAAGCAAATACAACAAAGCCCACAGAATCAGAATGTAGAAATGATCCAACATGAGGATAATTGGTGTCCTAAATGCAAAGTGCCCCAAAATATGGAACAGAAGAATTCAGAAGATGTAATAAAGGGGATTACATAGAAGAAAAAAAATGAACCTCTAGATGGAGACACACATTGCAGTCCAGGAAAATTTATTAAGAGAGGTTTTATAACTAGAATATACAACTTAAAGAAAGAGTTACTTAAGCATCCAGGCAAAAAGCAAATTGGCTATAAATGGGGAAAAAAATCAGGCTGGACAACTGCAGAGTAACATTTTCCCCCCAACTTTTTATTTTGAAAAATTTCAAACTTACAGGAAAATGAAAAGAGTAGAATACCAAATATTCATACACCTTTCACTTAAAATTTTCAAATGGTAACATGTTGCAACATTGTGCTCCCTAGGTATCTACGCATATGTAGTCATGGTTTAAAAATGTGTCCACAAATTATTTGATGCCCTTCCATCAAGAGGTAGAGTGTAAGTCCCTTCCCTTTAAAAATAGGCTGCCCTCAGAGAGAAAGGTCAGGTTACCCACAAAGGGAAGCCCATCAGACTAACAGCGGATCTCTCAACAGAAACTCTACAAGCCAGAAGAGAGTGGGGGCCAATATTCAACATTCTTAAAGAAAAGAATTTTCAACCCAGAATTTCATATCCAGCCAAACTAAGCTTCATAAGTGAAGGAGAAATAAAATCCTTTACAGACAAGCAAATGCTGAGAGATTTTGTCACCACCAGGCCTTCCTGAAGGAAGCACTAAACATGGAAAGGAACAATTGGTAACAGCCACTGCAAAAACATGCCAAATTGTAAAGACCATCGATGCTAGGAAGAAACTGCATCAACTAACAAGCAAAATACCCAGCTAACATCATAATGACAGGATCAAATTACACATAAAAATATTAAACGTAAATGGGCTAAATGCTCCAATTAAAAGACACAGATTGGCAAATTGGATAGAGTCAAGACCCATCACTGTGCTGTATTCAGGAGACCCATCTCACATGCAGAGACACACATAGGCTCAAAATAAAGGGATGGAGGAAGATCTACCAAGCAAATGGAAAACAAAAAAAGCAGGGGTTGCAATCCTAGTCTCTGATAAAACACACTTTAAACCAACAAAGATCAAAAGAGACAAAGAAGGCCATTACATAATGGTAAAGGGATCAATTCAACAAGAAGAGTTAATTATCCTAAATTTATATGCACCCAGTACAGGAGCACCCAGATTCATAAAGCAAGTCCTTAGAGACCTACAAAGAGACTTAGACTCCCACACAATAATAATGGGAGACTTTAACACCCCACTGTCAACATTAGACAGATAAACGAGACAGAAAGTTAACAAGGATATCCAGGAATTGAACTCGGCTCTACACCAAGCAGACCTAATAGACATCTACAGAACTCTCCACCCCAAATCAACAGAATATACATTCTTCTCAGCACCACATCACACTTATTCCAAAAGTGACCACATAGTTGGAAGTAAAGCACTCCTCAGCAAATGTAAAAGAACAGAAATTATAACAAACTGTCTTTCAGACCACAGTGCAATCAAATTAGAACTCAGGATTAAGAAACTCACTCAAAACCACTCAACTACATGGAAACTGAACAACCTGCTCCTGAATGACTACTGGGTATATAATGAAATGAAAGCAGAAATAAAGATGTTCTTTGAAACCGATGAAAACAAAGACACAACATACCAGAATCTCTCAGACACATTTAAAGCTGTGTGTAGAGGGAAATTTATAGCACTAAATGCCCACAAAAGAAAGCAGGAAAGATCTAAAATTGACACCCTAACATCACAACAAAAAGAACTAGAGAAGCAAGAGCAAACACATTCAAAAGCTAGCAGAAGGCAAGAAATAGCTAAGATCAGAGCAGAACTGAAGGAGATACAGACACAAAAAACCCTTCAAAAAATCAATGAATCCAGGAGCTGGTTTTTTGAAAGGATCAACAAAATTGATAGACCACCAGCAAGACTAATAAAGAAGAAAAGAAGAATCAGATAGATGCAATAAAAAATGATAAAGGGGATATCACTACCAATCCCAAAGAAATACAAACTACCATCAGAGAATACTATAAACACCTCTATGCAAATAAACTAGAAAATCTAGAAGAAATGGATAAATTCCTGGACACATACACCATCCCAAGACTAAACCAGGAAGATGTTGAATCCCTGAATAGACAAATAACAGGCTCTGAAATTAAGGCAATAATTAATAGCCTACCAACCAAAAAAAGTCTAGGACCAGGCAGATTCACAGCTGAATTCTACCAGAGGTACAAAGAGAAGCTGGTACCATTCCTTCTGAAACTATTCCAATCAATAGAAAAAGAGGGAATCCTCCCTAACTCATTTTATGAGGCCAGCATCATCCTGATACCAAAGCCTGGCAGAGACACAACAAAAAAAGAGAATTTTAGACCAATATCCCTGATGAACATCCATGCAGAAATCCTCAATAAAATACTGGCAAACCGAATCCAGCAGCACATCAAAAAGCTTATCCACCACAATCATGTTGGCTTCACCCCTGGGATGCAAGGCTGGTTCAACATATGCAAATGAATAAACGTAATCCATCATATTAACAGAACCAAAGACAAAAACCACATTATTATCTCAATAGATGCAGAAAAGGCCTTTGACAAAATTCAGCAGCGCTTCATGCTAAAAACTCTCAATAAACTAGGTATTGATGGAACATATCTCAAAATAATAAGAGCTATTTATGACAAACCCACAGCCAATATCATACTGAATGGGCAAAAACTGGAAGCATTCCTTTTGAAAACTGGCACAAGACAGGGATGCCCTCTCTCACCACTCCTATTCAACATAGTGTTGGAAGTTCTGGCCAGGACAATCAGGCAAGAGAAAGAAATAAAGGGTATTCAATTAGGAAAAGAGGACATCAAATTGTCCCTGTTGGCAGATGACATGATTGTATATTTAGAAAACCCCATTGTCTCAGCCCCAAATCTCCTTAAGCTGGTAAGGAACTTCAGCAAAGTCTCAGGATACAAAATCAATCTGCAAAAATCACAAACATTCCTATACACCAATAACAGACAAACAGAGTGCCAAATCATGAGTGAACTGCCATTCACAGTTGCTTCAGAGAATAAAATACCTAGGAATCCAACTTACAAAGGATGTGAAGGACCTCTTCAAGGAGAACTACAAACTACTGCTCAACTAAATAAAAGAGGACACAAACAAATGGAAGAATATTCCATGCTCATGGATAGGAAGAATCAATATCATGAAAATGGCCATACTGCCCAAGGTAATTTATAGATTCAATGCCATCCCCATCAAGCTACCAATGACTTTCTTCACAGAATTGGAAAAAACTACTTTAAAATTCACATGGAACCAAAAAAGAGCCTGCATTGCCAAGACAATCCTAAGCCAAAAGAACAAAGCTGAAGGCATCACGCGACCTGACTTCAAACTATGCTGCAAGGCTACAGTAAGCAAAACAGCATGGTACTGGTACTAAAACAGAGATATAGACCAAAGGAACAGTACAGAGCCCTCAGAAATAGTATCACACATCTACGACCATCTGATCTTTGACAAACCTGACAAAAATAAGAAATGGGAAAAGGATTCCCTATTTAATGAATGGTGCTGGGAAAACTGGCTAGCCATATGGAGAAAGCTGAAACTGGATCCCTTCCTTACACCTTATACAAAAATTAATTCAAGATGAATTAAAGACTTAAATGTTAGACCTAAAACCATAAAAACCCTAGAAGAAAACCTAGGCAATACCATTGAGGACATAGGCATGGGCAAGGACTTCCTGCCTAAAACACCAAAAGCAATGACAACAAAAGCCAAAATAGACAAATGGGATCTAATTAAACTAAAGAGCTTCTGCACAGCAAAAGAAACCACCATCAGAGTGAACAGGCAACCTACAGAACGGAAGAAAATTTTCACAATCTACCCATCTGGAAAGGACTAATATCCAGAATCTACAAAGAACTTAAACAAATTTATAGGAAAAAATCAACCCCATCAAAAAGTGGGTGAAGGATATGAACAGACACTTTTCAAAAGAAGATATTTATGCAGCCAACAGACACATAAAAAAATGCTCATCATCACTGGCCATCAGAGAAATGCAAATCAAAACCACAATGAGATACCATCTCACACCAGTTAGAATGGCGATCATTAAAAAGTCAGGAAACAGATGCTGGAGAGGATGTGGAGAAATAGGAACACTTTTACACTGTTGGTGGGACTGTAAACTAGTTCAACTGTTGTAGAAGACAAGTGTGGCGATTCCTCAAGGATCTAGAACCAGAAATACCATTTGACCCAGCCATCCCATTACTGGGATTATAAATCATGCTGCTATAAAGACACATGCACACGTATGTTTACTGTGGCATTATTCACAATAGCAAAGACTTGGAACCAACCCAAATGTCCATCAATGATAGACTGGATTAAGAAAATGTGGCACATATACACCATGGAATACTATGCAGCCATAAAAAATGATGAGTTCATGTCCTTTGTAGAGACATGGATGAAGCTGGAAACCATCATTCTGAGCAAACTATCCCAAGGACAGAAAACCAAACACCGTATGTTCTCACTTATAAGTAGTAATTGAACAATGAGAACACTTGGACACAGGGTGGGGAACATCACACACCAGGGCCTGTTGTGGGGTTGGGGGAGGAGGGAGGGATAGCATTAGGAGATATACCTAATGTAAATGACGAGTTAATGGGTGCAGCACACCAACATGGCACATGTATACATATGTAACAAACCTGCACGTTGTGCACATGTACCCTAGAACTTGAAGTGTAATAAAAATAAATAAATAAAAATAAAAAGTCTGGCCTTAGTTCATCATTGCCAATGAATAGACTATTTCAAAAGCAATATTTTGTGAATTCCAAGGCTAGTTCATAGAAAATGGTACAGCTTACACCTCTCTCTTTATATTAGAACACTCAACTTTGTTTCTCAAGGCTTATGCTGTAGAATGAATGTTTATGTCCCTCCTCAAATTCTTATTTTGAAACCTAACCACTAAGGTGATGTTATTAGAACACAAGCCCTTTGGGAGGTTATTGGGTCATGCGGGCACACCTTATGAATGGGATTAGTGCTCTTATAAAAGGTACCCCAAAGAACTGCTGCACCCCTCTGCCATGTGAGGTCATTCTGCCATATACAGCCATCTATCAACCAGGAATCAGGCTCTCACCAGACACTGAATATGCTAGCACCTTGATCTTTGACTTCCAAGCCTTCAGAAGTGTGAAAAATAAATTTATGTGGTATATATGCCCCCAGTCTGTGGTATTCTGTTACAGCAGCCTGAATGGAATAAGATAGCTAAATTTCTGCTGAGTGTGGCCAAAGGTTGGGGACTCCCTTGTCTACCTAGCCCCTACTCGCAGGATAGAGGCTCTACCCTAGGCTTGGCAGAACAAGACTACCATGGTCCCAATCACCCCTGCTGCAGCTCACTCATTGAGCAGAGGTTCCATGCCAAGATAGGCAAGCTAAAAAGACCAGCAGCCACTATCCTCATCCAGCACCACAGTACTGGTTCAAACGTTCTGCCCATGAGGAGAGAGATAGCATTTAAGAACAGAGAGTCCTGAAGTTCTGCAGAAAGGAACTGACTTTGAGACAGGGTGTAGGGACGTTCAAGCCTAAGGGTGCCTTGAAAACAATGGAGATTTTGGTGTAAAGCAAACGAGGAGGTTGGTATCTCCTCTTAATTAATCAGAACAAAACCATCTAGTTCACCAGAGAGAAACAAGAGATAACCAAGAATAGTCCTCCTGGGATTAAAACAAACTTCAAATTTGTTTTAATTTGCCTGACAGATTGACTTCTGGCATGACAGCTTGAGGACCTCTGCTGATTCTATCCCCAGTGAAATTATTAAAAAGCATTAAAAGTATTAAAAAGCAATGACTTGAAGCCTCTGAAAATGGTCCTCAGGGCAAATAACAAACAATGAAACAGTTATCATATGGCCCCATTTTTACAAAAGTATTTCCTCCTCTCTAGGTATTTCTTTAATCACATACGTGATTTTAAAAAATGTTCTGTCAAATGGTGCTCAACTAATAACTACGATTAATTCTCAGCAATGGGATGTGGTGTGATTTTTATTTTCATTTTTGCATTTTTATGCACTCTGAGTTTTTATTTGTAAGCATCTATCATTTTAATAAGGAAGTAAATCAGCATGAATTTTTATAAAGAAGGAAGTTTGGGCTGGGTGCAGTGGCTCACACCTGTAACCCCAGCACTTTGGGAGGCTGAGGCAAGTGGATCACTTGAGGCTAGCAGTTCAAGACCAGCCTGGTCAATACAGTGAGACCCAATTTCTACAAAAAACAAAATTTAATAATTAGCTGGATGTAAAAAAAATTACCTGGGTGGCATGCACCTGCAGTCCCACCTCAGAAGGCTGAGGTGGGAGGATTGCTTGAGCCCAAGAGTTCAAGGTTACAGTGAACTATGATTGTGCCACTGGACTCCAGCCTGAGTGACAGAGCAAGACCTTATCTCTAAAAAGAAAAAAACAAAAAACAAACAAAAAAGGGAGTTTGGACAAGAAGTAAATATGCCAATCAGGTAACACACATTGCTATGACATTATAGGATGTTTTCTGTATTTTCCTTTTTAAAAATTATTTAATTACTTTATTTTTTATAAATAGAGACGAGATCTCACTGTGTTACCTAAGCTGGTCTCAAACTCCTGTACTCAAGCGATCCTCCCTCCTCAGCCTCCGAAAGTGCTGGGATTACAGGCATGATCCACTGCACCTGGCCTGTATTTTCAATAGACATAAGTGAGGCACACACTGTCTTAGCTCAGGCTGCTATAAGAAAATATCATAGACTGGGTGGCTTAAACAACAAACATTTATTTCTCACTGTCTTAGAGGCTGGGAAGTCCAAGATCAAGGTGCCAGCTGACTGAGTTCCTGATAAGGGCCCACTCCCTGACTTCCAGGTAGCTGTCATTGTGTCTTCACGTGGTGAACAGAGAGAGAGAGAGAGAGAGAGATCTTCCTCTTCATATAAGGCCACTAATCCTATAAGCCCCACTCTTGAGACCTCATTAACTTTAATTACCTCCTAAAAGCTGTATTTCCAAAGTCAGTCATGTTGGAAGTTAGGGCTTCAACATGTGAATTTTTGGGAAACACAATTCAGTCTATAGCACATACATATAATTTTTTTGTTTTACTATGAAAGGCTAAACTTTTATGTCTCCAGCTGTTAGTGTCTAGCATTTTAATGTGACAGAATGTGTTTAGAGAATAAGAGGATAAAATAAGGGGGGAAGGAACAAAGACACACACAACAAAATTTATTTAACGATGTCCAATTATAGTAAGAAAAACTTTCCTCCTTCAGGTTGCAGTGAGTTGAGATTGTGCCATTGCACTCCAGCCTGGGCAACAAGAGTGAAACTCTGTCTCAAAAAAAAAAAAAGAAAAACTTTCCTCCTTCTAGTTCACGTTAGAGGATGGCTGCTGCATAAGGGGGTATAAAATGTCCAACCCAAGCAATAACAATATCTGAATAATCCCACAAACCCTCACAGGCTATAGGTGCACTGACCTCAAGAGTGACTTAGAGACTGGGCATGGTGGTTCATGCCTGTGATTCCAGCACTCGGGGAGGCTGAGATGGGTGGATTGCTTGAGACCAGGAGTTTGAGACCAGCCTGGCCAGCATAGCGAGACCCCCCATCTCTATTTTTTAAAAAAATTTTAAAAAACAACAATAAAGAGTGATTCAGAGCTGACTGGAAATTGGAGCACTGCCTTCTGTTTAAAGAAAAGGAGGCTGGGTGTGGGGCTCATACCTGTAATCCTAACACTTCAGTAGGCCAAGGCAAGCTGATTGCCTGAGCTCAGGAGTTCAGGACCACCCTGGGCAACATGGTGAAACCCTATCTGTACTAAAAATACAAAAAAAAAAAAAACAAATTAGCCAGGCCTGGTGGCGCATGCCTGTAGTCCCAGCTACTTCGGAGGCTGAGGCACGAGAATCCTTTGAACCTGGGAAGTGGATGTTGCAGTGAGCTGAGTCGCGCCACTTCACTCCAACGCAGGCAACAAAGGGAGACTGTCTCAAAAAAAAAAAAAAAAAAAGAAAAAGAAGGAAAAAGAGATGTATTAACATAGCAGCTTTGTGGTACTGAATTGCTTGTTTTTTTTTTTGTTTATTTGTTTGTTTTAATAAGCAGAGATTGTATTTCAGCACCTTTTGCCCATGCTTCCTTTTCAACACAAAGGAAAAGAGTAAAAGCACTGTTACCATTCAAGGTGGAAAATTCAATTTGGATCACTGGAGGAGAATTTAATAAAAAGAAATATTTAAAATATATGGGTAGTTTACAGAAGATAGCAAATGATGATGGAGTTCTCTGGGGCTTGCAATCTCAGGGAACAGTTATTATTACCTCTAAGCACAAAGATTGAAGGTCATGGGGTGAGGGGTCTATGGAATGGGTCACCTGACAGGAACTATGGCCTTCAGTATCAATTCAGAGAACACTCATGGGGAGAATAAATACCTGCCTCCATTCTCCTCCCACCTATGGATCTTTTGCTGATAACCCTACACTGGTTGGCTGAACCCAACCTGAAGCCAGAAGGCAAAGGAAACCCTAGGTCAGCACCCACATTCCCCCACTGGGTCCAGGACTGGCTGGAAAACCACAGAGAGTGGATCTTAGGGGGCAAATGGAAGACACCAGCACAAGCCTTTAGATTATGCTGTTCACATACTGACATACTTTGTGAATTTGATAAAGTATTTATCAGAACAGTCATTAGTATTTTACATATAAATATTTGAAATCAAGTACTATAATAAGTTACATAAGTATATCTTTTATTTGATAGGGATTTTTCCCAATGCATTTTAAGCACTTTAAAGGATATTGTTACGTTGGTATTTACAAAGTGGGCAGTTGTCCAGTTTCTGAGATAGAGAAGTATAAGGCTTGCCAAATTTCCTAGAATCAATTAGTTGTGGAAGCAGCTGCCAATCTGATCTCTAATAACGGGCCACAGCAAAGCCAGACAGAACCATTTTCATGTCATTTACATCAATGTTTTCATTTTGCCAGATAGGTTTTAATCTCCCAGGCCAAGGCATTTTTCTTGCTTATCTCCTGAAAGTTATTTTTTTTAAGGAAAAATTTAACTATAAAAAGGAAAACACAGAATTTCATTTTATTAACTGCCATTATGATGTGCAAGTCTATATAATGTATAATGAGGCAGTTTTGGTGTTTTAGAAGTCCTCTATGTGGATACAACTAAGCATACTGAGGTACAGATTCTGTATATAACCTTTATATAAGGTTAAATTAATAACATGTACTTCAAAGATGCTTATAGTAAATTGCAAGATTGTAGATCTTTGCATCAAAGATTTATCATACATCATTAGAGCACTCCCAAACCTCCAAATAAACTTCCCAGATAATTTAGAAAATGGTTAAATTATGATAGGAATCTTTCACGTGACATTGCATCACTGTTATAGCAGAGGGGACAAACCTAGGCACAGTGAATTCACCTTCCCAGATGCAATTGGTGTTTGAGAAAAATTGAGGCTGCCCAGAATGAGTCAAAGCTGCAAATGAGCTCCCCAGAGCCTGGCTACATTCAGGGGAGTAGAATGTGTGCCCCTACCATGATGGTTGGTAGAGCAGCAAAGCTCAGTACTCTGTTCACCATGTAGTGGTCACATGCACATTCTGCAGTTGAGTGGATTGGGTCTCCCTTGCCAGACTTGATGAAGCTGTTCCAAGGCCCAGATTTTCACCTCTGCATTTTCGCTTGTACCCTGTTGCCAAACCATTCACTTCACCTCAGTGCCTGGGCAGGAACATCACCACTGTGATTCTACTTTCATAAGCAGTGACAAGTGTGAGTTCACTGTTATGACAAAGGATGTGGTTGCCAATTCCGAAGCTGCTGTGGATGGCAGTAAGGCAGGATAGAGTGGAAGAGGCAAGCTGGTCACCTCACCCCCGAGCCCCACTCCACACAATGCATTTCTTTTTTTTTCTTTTTCTTTTTTTTTTTTTTTTTGAGACAGAGTTTTGCACTTGTTTGCCAGGCTGGAGTGTAATGGCAGGATCTTGGCTCACTGCAACCTCCTCCTTCCAGGTTCAAGCGATTCTCCTGCCTCAGCCTCCTGAGTAGCTGGGACTACAGGCATGTGCCACCATGCTCAGCTAATTTTGTATTTTTAGTAGAGACAGGGTTTCTGCACATTGGTCAGGCTGGTCTCAAACTCCCGACCTCAGGTGATCTGCCCACCTCAGCCTCCCAAAGTGCAGGATTATGAGCATGAGCCACCGCGCCCGGTCCACCCAATGCATTTCTTAACTGTCTGTCCTCCTGACTAGGGTCTACACCTCTCTGCCATCCATTATACTTCACTGGTCTTGCCCAGCTCCTGGTCTTGCCTCTTCCACTCTATCCTGCCTCACTGCCATCCACAGCAGCTTCAGAATTGGCAACGACATCCTTTGTCGTAACAGTGAACTCACACTTGTCATTGCTTATGAAAGTAGAATCACAATGGTGATGCAGTTGACAGGAGGGCAGCCACACCTGACATTATGGTCAGTAGTGAGCTTGGGGGTGATGGCAGCTCCCTTTCTGAAATGCTGATGTGGAAACCCAGGCTTCTTTGCATGAGGCACACATCCTCTCTTGATTTGGCCCCTGCCTGCCTCATCAGCTTCATCTTTCAGCACCTCCTGCTTGGACGTTTATCTCACAGCAACAGCTGCCTGTAGGGTTGCTCCTGTGCCCCTGTGTGTGACCCCCCACCCCTCCCTCTGCCATCAGGACACACACAAGCCCTGCCAGCCCACCCATGTTGTCTGACCCCACTAAGTCTTTGGTTATGATGTTCTTTCTACACCTCTCATTATTCTCTATCTCAATCATCCATTCATTTTTCAAAATGTAGTGAACGAATCCCCTCCCATTGGAAGCCTTCCTTGATCCCTTCTTGGATTAAGTTTCCCTGCGAGTTTTCTTCTGATTTAGTTGGTCTAGGGGTGGGGTTCAGAATCAGAAATTTAAAAACTCCTTGGATAATTCTAATGTGAATCAGAGTTGAAAGCCATTGAGGGAAAAGAAAGGGAAGATGGGAGGAAACAAGACGGTGGGGCTTTCCAGGTTCCTACCTGAGGCTCACTGGTCTTCTACTGAAATGCAACACCAGGAGGGGTGTCAGGAGTTGAACTGTGCTCACCCCACATTCATATTTCAAAGTCCTAACCCCCAATACCTCAAAATGTGACTTATTTGCAGATAGGATCTTTACAGAGGTAATCAAGTTAAAATGAGGTCATTTGCTGGGCCCTAAACCAATATGACTATTGTCTTTACAAAAAAGAGGAAATTTGGACATGAAGACATGCAGAGAGGATGGTGATGTGAACAGGCAGGGAGAAGATGGCCATACAAGCCAAGGAGAGAGGCTTGGAGCAGACCTTCCCCTCAGAGGAAACAACCCCTGCCAATACCTTGATTTCAAACTTCTTACCTCCAGCGCTGTGGACAATAAAGTTCTGTTGTGTAAGAAGCCACTCAGTTTGTGGTACTTTGTTTTGGCAACCTGAACAAATCAATACAGAGGGTAACAATAAGAAAAAGCCCTACCAGCGTATTGCTTGAGCTCAGGAGTTCAAGACCAGCCTGGGGACCATGGTGAAACCAGGTCTCTTAAAAAAAATACAAACATTAGTCAGGAGTGGTGGCACGCACCTGTAGTCACAGCTACTCAGGAGGCTGAGATGGGAGGATCGCTTGAGCCCAGGTGGATGAGGCTGCAGTAAGCCATGATGGTGTCACTGCACTCCAGCCTGGTTGACAGAGAAAGACCCTGTCTCAAACAAATAAATAAATAACAAAAGAAAAAGAAAAAAAAAATTCTCCACCATCCCTGGATTCACTTGTATTTCCTATGAGCTAAGCCTGGGCTCTTCCTGGTGATGGATTGAACTTATCTTTGCATTGAGGAGATATTGTTTTTAAAAATCATGAGCTCTAAAGGAAAGGTTTTTGTGTTCAATACACTCTGTAAGAAATGAATAAGAATGTTCAGATAATCTTTATGTAGGTCCTTAAGAGTTAAGCTTTGAGTAGAGAGGCTGTTTCTTGATGATGCCAAAAGGATGAAGTATTACCATAAAGCAGAACACGTTATCTCTGAGTGCTATCAATAAAGCTCCATCCAAATCATAGCTTACTTAGAATGCTGAATATTTGTCATCTTCCTCAAACGTGAGAAAACAGATTTTGGCTTTATTGTAATGCTGGCTGGAAGGTTTACTTGCCACATGGCCACAAGGTGGCAGGGCAGTGCCATTCTTCTGGAAGCCACCAGAAAAACGCAGCTAGGACTACGTGGCCACAGGTAGGAAGTCAGCAGTGCTCTTCAAGTTTATGAAGTTGAACTTTCGCTCTCTTTTTAAGCACTCCCTTTTTCTGAAAATCAAAGTAGCACATGTTTTTAATTGAAAATGTTATCCTGGGCAACATAGTGAGACCCTGACTTTATAAAAAATTTAAAAATTAGCCAGCTGTGGTGGTACACACCTGTAATCCCAGCTACTCAGGAGGCTGAGGCACGAGAATCACTTGAACCCAGGAGGTGGAGGCTGCAGTGAGTAGAGATTGTGCTGCTGCACTCCAGCCTGAGTGACAAAGAGAGACCCTGTCTCAAACACACACACACACACACACACACACACACACACACACAGAAAAATATAAAGAATAAAACAAAAAATTCATTATCCCACCACTCAGAAACAAACATGGGATGTGTAGACCATTCCCAGCCTTCTCTGCCAATGCCACCTGCTTAGGATACCCCTCTCTCACCTGCTCTGCAACACCCCTCCTGCCTTATCTCTCTCACTTCCTCACTCTGCCTAACGTGCCTCTCCCCATCTTTCTTCTTAACACTCACTACTATTTCACAGCAGTTGTCACTGCCTCCTCTGCTAGTCCGTGAGCACCATGTGGGCAGATAGCTTGTCCTGTCAACCCCTACCACCAGGAGCAGCAGTCCCAGGATGTCAACCCACTGCATTGCAGAACTGTCTATTTCTCCCTTCAAGTCTGTCATTTTTTTGGCTTCATACATTTTGGAGTTCTGTTGTTTGGTGCATGTCTCAGTCCCTTTTGTGTTGCTATAAAAGAATACCTGAGACTGGGTAATTTATAAAGAAAAGAGTTTTATTTAGCTCATGGTTCTGCAGGCTGAGGATCTCAATGGCATGACCCTGGCTCTGGCAAGGGCTTCTGTGCTGAGTCACAACATGACAGAGAAGGGCAAAGAGGAAGCAGACGTGTGAAGAAAGAGAAACATGAGGGGTGACCTGGCTTTGTAACAACCACACTTGTAGAAACTAATCAATTCCTGTGAGAACTAATCCAGATCCAGTCTTAAAATAGGAAGAACTCACTGACTATCTTGAGAACAGCACCAAGCCATTCATGAGGGATCTGCCCTTATGACCCAAACACTTCCCACTAGGCCCCACCTCCCAACACTACCACATTGGGAATCAAGTTTCAACACGAGCTTTGGCAGGAACAACAACAACAGCAAAACCATGCCCAAATCATAGCAGTGCATATATGTTTATTATTGTTACATCTTCTTGATAAATTGACCCTTTATCAATGAATAGTGAATTTGCTTGTCTTTTGTAATTTTAACTTCATGTCTATTTCATCTGATATTAGTGTAGTTATACCAGCTCTGTTTTGGCAACTATTTGTGTGGAATATCATTTTCTGTCTGTTTATTTTCAGCCTATTTGTATCTTTGGACCTAAAGTTAGTCTCTTGTGGGCAGACAACATGCTTTTATTTTTTAATCCATCCTGCCAGTTTTTGTCTTTTAACTGGTGAGTTTCAGTTATTTATATTTAAAGTGATTACTGATAAGGAAAGATTTACTTTTGCTACTTTGCTCTTAGTTTTATATATTTGTTATGTTTTCCCCCCAATTCTTTCAATATTGCTTTCTTGTTTAATTGATTTTTTTCTAATACAAAGTTTGGATTTCCTCCTAATTTTCTTTTCTGAATATTTAAAAATTATTTTCTTAGGAGCTGCCATGTACTTTCAATTAACATCCTAACTTTTTTTTAAAATAATCAATAGTTATCTCTCTGTATCTATGGAAGGTTGGTTCCAGGACCTCCCTTGGACCCCAAATCCTCAGATGCTCAAGTCTATATATAAGATGGTGTAGTATTTGCATATAATGTACACACATCTTCCTGTATACTTTAAACCATCTCTAGATTACTTACAATGCCTAATAAAATGTAAATGTTATATGAATAGCGGTTATGCTGTACTATTTTTCAAATCCATATGATTTCTAGTCATATTATCTGTGTTGATTTTTTTCAAATATTTTTGACCTTTGGTTGGTCAAATCCTCAGGTACAGAATGTGCAGGTACTGAGAAATAATTACAATTATTATCATTATGAAGAAATTTCAATACTGTAATTGAAATTTGTATCAGGTTAGCTTTAATAATATACAAAAACTCTGCTCCTATACAGCTGTCTCTTCCTAAATTACATCTTTATACATTGTCTCCCATTAACACATATTTATAATAATTTTATGCATTTGTCTTTTAAATTATATATGAAACAAAAAGAAAATTTACAAGGCAAAAACATAATAGTGGCTTTTGTATTTACCAATGTAGTTACCTTTACCAGAGTAGTTCTTTAAGGAAAAGAAAAAAGAAAGAAAGAACTACTCTGGTAAAAGTAACTACATTGGGTTTTTTGTCTGTCTGTTTGTTTGTTTTTTAGGCAAGGACTTGCACCCAGGCTGAACTACAGTAGCATTGCATGATCTTGACTTACTGCAGCCTCAACTTCACAGGCTCAAGCAATCCTCCCACTTTAGCCTCCAAAGTAGCTGGGACCACAGGGATGTGCTACCATGCCTGGTTAATTTTTCTATTTTTTGCAGAGATGGGGTCTCCCTATGTTGCCCAGGCTGGTCTTGAACTCCTGAGCTCAAGTGATCCTCCCACCTCAGCCTCTCAAAATACTGAGATTATAGGCATGATCCACCATGCCCAGCTTTATTTCTTTGTATGCCTTCTAACTCCAATCTTACGTCTTTTCATCCTGGAGAACTCTTTTTAATAGTTCTTGTAGGGCAGGTTGGCTAGTGATGAACTCTCTCAACTTTAATAGGGATATCTTAATTTTTGCTTCATTTCTGCAGTAGAATTTAGCCACATATAGAATTTTTGGTTGACAGCTTTTTTTTTTTTATTTCAGCACTTTAAATATGTAATCTACTGTCTTTTGGCCGACCTAGCTTCTGATGATAAATTGGCTGTTAAACTTATCAAGGATCCTTTGTACATCATGAGTCAATTATTCCTTGCTGCTTTCAAGATTCTCTGTCTGTCTTTGTCTTTTGAGAGGTTTATTATAGTATGTCTTGGTATGTATCCCTTTGAGTTTATCCTTCGTGGAGTTTGCTCAGCAACTTGGATGTATGGACTCATGTTTTCTTTTTATCAAAAGTCACTACCTCTTAATATTGTTGAAGTTTATTGAGTTATTATGTTTAGAGAACTAAAACAATGCCTGGCATATAACACCATTATGAAATATCAGTGTCTGTTTTTTAGTGTCAATCACTTCTGTCTAAATCTGAAAGGATCTAATCAAAACTCTAGTAAATACATATCCTCTCTGTGTCCCAATTTTCTCATCCTCAAATGTAAATAACAATAATACCAATCTCACAAGGTAGCTGTGAGAATTAATTGAGTTAATACATTTAAGAATTTATATATCTGGCAAATACTAATTTGCTATTATTACTATAATAATAATTATTATTGGTTGTAAATTCTAGTATATAAAAATCCCAGATTGAAGTTGCCAGTTTGTCTTGTAAGGAGGTTGGAAGTTGTCATTCCCATTTTCACAACAAGTAAAAAGCTGAAAAAACTGAAAATTAACCATTTTTTGTAGCTCCATCAGATAATTGAGGTCACAGGGCTAACCACTGCTTCCCAAGTTGGGAGTGAAATCATTGCTGGAGCCAGTACCAGGGTAGGAAAACATAAACTATAATGGATAAATTGCTGGAGTTTCAGTGTGGACAAACTTGACCTCTCAAAGGTCAAGTCTTAAGGGGTCCCACACAATCGTACATTTTGTCTTCAGTATCCCTACTAAGTTCTCACAATGAGAATTAAAAAAAAATCTCCCCATGTTTCTGGCATGGGGAGGAGAAAGTAGTCATTCTGAAATGTACACAGAGAATTCTACGGATGGTTCAACTTATAATTTTTTGACTTTATGATAGTGTGTAAGCAATATGCATTCAGTAGAAATTATATTTTGAATTTTGAGTTTTGATCTTTTCCAGGGCTAGCAATATAAGACACAATAATCTTTCTTGGTGCTGGGCAGTGGCAGCAAACCACAGCTCCTGGTCAGCCACATGATCACAAGGGTAAACAACTGATACTCTAAGGTGTACTGTGTTGCAAATAATTTTGTGTTTTTGTAAACCATCATGTATACAAAATGTCCATCTGTGTCTCCTGCTTCGAAGAAGAAGAAGAGGAGGAAGAAGAAGAAAGAAGAAGAAGGAAGAAAAAGAAGAAGAAGGATAAGGAGAAGGAAGAAGAAAGAAGAAAAGAAGAAGAAAGAAGGAAGGAGGAAGAAGGAAGAAGACGGAAGAAGAAGAAGAAAGAAGAAGAAGAAGAAAGCAATTACCTTTTTTTTTGAGGCAGGGTCTAGCTCTGTTGCCCGGGCTGGAGTGCGGTGGGCGCAATCATGGCTCACTGCAATCTCTGCCTCCCAGGCACAAGCGATCCTCCCATCTCACCTTCAGAGTAGCTGAGACTACAGGTGCATGCCACCATGCCAGCTAATTTTTTTGTAGGGACAGGGTTTCACCATGTTGCCCAGGCTGGTCTCGAACTCCTAGACTCAAGCGACCTACCCACCTTGGCTTCCCAAAGCACTGAGATTACAGGAATGAGCCACCATGCCCAGCCACAATTACTCTTTAAGGTAAAATTTTACTTAATTGCCCAGCATAAAGGCATTAAGCCAGTAATGGCCACTGCACATGTTAGAACCTTCACAATTGACAATCTCAACCATCTTAAAGGATAAGAAGCAAATAACTAATGCAGTGAAATTATCAATATTGGTTAAATCCACTCTCATCACAAAGGAAAGAGCTGGGCTAACTGATTATATGAAAAAAAATTATTTGTCATCGGGATGGAAAACCAGATAGAGACGAACATACCATTTAACCTACTGATGATCCAGGCTAAGGCAAGAAGTCTTTTCAACACATTAAAAGAATATGCAGATGATCCTAGATATATGCAAATGTTTACAGCAAGTCATGGGTAGTTCCAACGCTTCAAAAAGTGTCATAATTTTCATAATGTGAGGCCAGTGGTGAGGCAGCAAGTGCCAATACTGAAGGTGCTAAAGCTTTTAAGGAAGAGCTGCACAGGATAATTATAGACAAGAAATATTTTCCAGAACCAATATTTAATGTTGATGAAATGAGGTTGTTCTAGGAGTATATGTCAGAGCATACACACATTTATGAAGAGTCCAAGACAATGCCAGGATTCAGCACATTCAAAGACCGTTTTGCATTCTGCTTTTGAGTGGAAATGTTGAGGAGTTCAAATTAAAGTCTTTTCTAACCTAACACTCAGATAACTCTAGAGCATCCAAGAATGTGAGCAAGCAGACATTTCCTAATTATTGTCATCATAACAAGGAAGCCTGGGTGACATCTGCATTGTTTGAAGACTAATTTTTGACTATTTCATTCTGCAGGCAAGAGACTATTGTAGGAAATACAATATCCCATTCAAGATGTTTCTGATCTTAAATATTGCTCCAGGGCATTCACAATGTATCAGTGACATGCATTCTGATATAAAGGTTGTATATCTCAACCCTGAACACAGCCACACATTCTACCAAGGGACCAAGATGCAATAGCTCCATTCAAAGCATACCATTTATTCCGAAGCATACTGTTTCCCCTTCCATTCAATCTGCACCAATGATGAGCCCTAGACACCATCTGCTATTCAAGAAGTTTGTTCTGGTAGAGCTCTTACAAGGATGATAGCAGAAGCAGGCCAGTGGCATGGGTTAGATAAAACCAGAGGGTCAGATGACTGATTGACTGGGAGGGTCTCTGTCCAGACAACATTTTCAAAGTTTAGGGAATCTTTCCCACTTTTTTCATATCTGTGTTCAGTCCAGGTTAATTACCAGATTATTCTTTCATAAAGGGGGTTTAAGCTATTTTTGTAAGGGTAAGTTTTGTTTTAAGGCTTCTGAAAGTTGTATCTGTACAGAGGTACCCTTGTGCTCTAGGCCTTGCCTTCTGGAAATCACCATATCAGGTTGGAAATCCCTGGTCAGTTTGCATCATACTGCTGAGTAACACATAGTGCCATCCCTGTGGCATGATTAAGCGGTCTTTACGGCTACCATTAATCTTACAATATGTTTTCAGGTTCTAATGGGAAAAGTAGGCAACATGCAAGAACAAATGGGTACTCTAATAGAGAGAGGGAAACTCTAAGGATCAAAATGAAACAGCAGAAATGAAAAACAATGTAGCAGAAATGAAGAATGCTTTGATGGGCCCATCAATAGACTGGACATGCCAAGGAAAGAATCAGTGCTTGAAGATACGTCAGTAGAAACTTCCAAAATGGAAATGCCAAGAACAAAAAGAGAATGAAAAAGTCAGAAAAGAAAATCCAAGAACTGTGGGAGAATTACAAAAGGTGTAACATACATATAATGGAAATACCAGGAAAAAAAAAGAGAAAGGAGCAGAATAAATATTTGAAGTAACAGTGACAGAATTTCCTCAAATTAATGTCAGATACAAAACAACAGATTCAGTAAGCTCAGAAAAGCCCGAGTAAGATAAATATAAAAAAATATACACCTAGGCATGTCATATTCAAACTGCAGAAAATCAAAGACAAAAAATTCCTCAAAGAAGCCAGAGGAATAAAACACCTTACCTATAGAGAAATAAGGAAAATAATTAAACTGGACCACTCCTCAGAAACTGTGCAAGCAAGAAGAGAGTTAATTGAAATTTTTAAGGTGTTGAAAAAAATCAACAATCTAGAATTCTGTACCCAGCAAAATCATCATTCCATGTGAAGGAGAAATAACGCCTTTCTCAGACAAACAAAATTTGAGGAAATTTTTGCCAGTAGACCTGATTGGCAAGAAATGTTAAAAGAAGTTCTTCAGAAAGAAGGAAAACATTACAGATGAGAAACTCAGATCTACATAAAGAAAAGAAGAACATTAGAGAAGGAATAAATGAAGAGAAATAAAATTTATTTTTTAATTCTTAAGTGATCTAACAGATAGCAATTTGTTCAAAATAACAGCTATATTTGGTAATTATAGCTTATAAATAAATGAAATGAATTATAACAATGTTATAAAGGATGTGAGGAAAGAATTGGAAATACTCTCTTATAAGATACTTGCACTACCCATGAAGTAGTAGTACATTATTTGAAAGCAGACTTGGAGTAGTTGTAAATGTATATTGCAAAGTCTAAGGCAACCACTTTTAAAAGTTTTAAAAGTATAATTAATATGTTAAAAGAGAGAATAAAATTGTATAAAATTCTCAATTAAAAACAGAGAAGGCAAAAAACCAGTGTCAGACAAAAAAAAACATACAAGGGAGGAGCCAAGATGGCCGAATAGGAACAGCTCCGGTCTACAGCTCCCAGCGTGAGCGACGCAGAAGATGGGTGATTTCTGCATTTCCATCTGAGGTACCGGGTTCATCTCACTAGGGAGTGCCAGACAGTGGGCGCAGGCCAGTGTGTGTGCATACCGTGCGCGAGCCGAAGCAGGGCGAGGCATTGCCTCACCTGGGAAGTGCAAGGGGTCAGGGAGTTCCCTTTCCGAGTCAAAGAAAGGGGTGACGGACGCACCTGGAAAATCGGGTCACTCCCACCCGAATATTGCGCTTTTCAGACCGGCTTAAGAAATGGCGCAACACGAGACTATATCCCACACCTGGCTCAGAGGGTCCTACGCCCACGGAATCTCGCTGATTGCTAGCACAGCAGTCTGAGATCAAACTGCAAGGCGGCAACGAGGCTGGGGGAGGGGCGCCCGCCATTGCCCAGGCTTGCTTAGGTAAACAAAGCAGCCGGGAAGCTCGAACTGGGTGGAGCCCACCACAGCTCAAGGAGGCCTGCCTGCCTCTGTAGGTTCCACCTCTGGGGGCAGGGCACAGACAAACAAAAAGACAGCAGTAACCTCTGCAGACTTAAGTGTCCCTGTCTGACAGCTTTGAAGAGGGCAGTGGTTCTCCCAGCACGCAGCTGGAGATCTGAGAACGGGCAGACTGCCTCCTCAAGTGGGTCCCTGACCCCTGACCCCCGAGCAGCCTAACTGGGAGGCACCCCCCAGCAGGGGCACACTGACACCTCACACGGCAGGGTATTCCAACAGACCTGCAGCTGAGGGTCCTGTCTGTTAGAAGGAAAACTAACAACCAGAAAGGACATCTACACCGAAAACCCATCTGTACATCACCATCATCAAAGACCAAAAGTAGATAAAACCACAAAGATGGGGAAAAAACAGAACAGAAAAACTGGAAACTCTAAAACGCAGAGCGCCTCTCCTCCTCCAAAGGAACGCAGTTCCTCACCAGCAACAGAACAAAGCTGTATGGAGAATGATTTTGACGAGCTGAGAGAAGAAGGCTTCAGACGATCAAATTACTCTGAGCTACGGGAGGACATTCAAACCAAAGGCAAAGAAGTTGAAAACTTTGAAAAAAATTTAGAAGAATGTATAACTAGAATAACCAATACAGAGAAGTGCTTAAAGGAGCTGATGGAGCTGAAAACCAAGGCTCGAGAACTACGTGAAGAATGCAGAAGCCTCAGGAGCCGATGCGATCAACTGGAAGAAAGGGTATCAGCAATGGAAGATGAAATGAATGAAATGAAGCGAGAAGGGAAGTTTAGAGAAAAAAGAATAAAAAGAAATGAGCAAAGCCTCCAAGAAATATGGGACTATGTGAAAAGACCAAATCTACGTCTGATTGGTGTACCTGAAAGTGATGGGGAGAATGGAACCAAGTTGGAAAACACTCTGCAGGATATTATCCAGGAGAACTTCCCCAATCTAGCAAGGCAGGCCAACGTTCAGATTCAGGAAATACAGAGAACGTCACAAAGATACTCCTCGAGAAGAGCAACTCCAAGACACATAATTGTCAGATTCACCAAAGTTGAAATGAAGGAAAAAATGTTAAGGGCAGCCAGAGAGAAAGGTCGGGTTACCCTCAAAGGAAAGCCCATCAGACTAACAGCGGATCTCTCGGCAGAAACCCTACAAGCCAGAAGAGAGTGGGGGCCAATATTCAACATTCTTAAAGAAAAGAATTTTCAACCCAGAATTTCATATCCAGCCAAACTAAGCTTCATAAGTGAAGGAGAAATAAAATACTTTATAGACAAGCAAATGCTGAGAGATTTTGTCACCACCAGGCCTGCCCTAAAAGAGCTCCTGAAGGAAGCGCTAAACATGGAAAGGAACAACCGGTACCAGCCGCTGCACAATCATGCCAAAATGTAAAGACCATCGAGACTAGGAAGAAACTGCATCAACTAATGAGCAAAATCACCAGCTAACATCATAATGACAGGATCAAATTCACACATAACAATATTAACTTTAAATATAAATGGACTAAATTCTGCAATTAAAAGACACAGACTGGCAAGTTGGATAAAGAGTCAAGACCCATCAGTGTGCTGTATTCAGGAAACCCATCTCATGTGCAGAGACACACATAGGCTCAAAATAAAAGGATGGAGGAAGATCTACCAAGCCAATGGAAAACAAAAAAAGGCAGGGGTTGCAATCCTAGTCTCTGATAAAACAGACTTTAAACCAACAAAGATCAAAAGAGACAAAGAAGGCCATTACATAATGGTAAAGGGATCAATTCAACAAGAGGAGCTAACTATCCTAAATATTTATGCCCCCAATACAGGAGCACCCAGATTCATAAAGCAAGTCCTGAGTGACCTACAAAGAGACTTAGACTCCCACACATTAATAATGGGAGACTTTAACACCCCACTGTCAACATTAGACAGATCAACGAGACAGAAAGTCAACAAGGATACCCAGGAATTGAACTCAGCTCTGCACCAAGCGGACCTAATAGACATCTACAGAACTCTCCACCCCAAATCAAAAGAATATACATTTTTTTCAGCACCACACCACACCTATTCCAAAATTGACCACATAGTTGGAAGTAAAGCTCTCCTCAGCAAATGTAAAAGAACAGAAATTATAACAAACTATCTCTCAGACCACAGTGCAATCAAACTAGAACTCAGGATTAAGAATCTCACTCAAAGCCGCTCAACTACATGGAAACTGAACAACCTGCTCCTGAATGACTACTGGGTACATAACGAAATGAAGGCAGAAATAAAGATGTTCTTTGAAACCAATGAGAACAAAGACACCACATACCAGAATCTCTGGGACGCATTCAAAGCAGTGTGTAGAGGGAAATTTATAGCACTAAATGCCTACAAGAGAAAGCAGGAAAGATCCAAAATTGACACCCTAACATCACAATTAAAAGAACTAGAAAAGCAAGAGCAAACACATTCAAAAGCTAGCAGAAGGCAAGAAATAACTAAAATCAGAGAAGAACTGAAGGAAATAGAGACACAAAAAACCCTTCAAAAAATCAATGAATCCAGGAGCTGGTTTTTTGAAAGGATCAACAAAATTGATAGACCGCTAGCAAGACTAATAAAGAAAAAAAGAGAGAAGAATCAAATAGACACAATAAAAAACGATAAAGGGGATATCACCACCGATCCCACAGAAATACAAACTACCATCAGAGAATACTACAAACACCTCTACGCAAATAAACTAGAAAATCTAGAAGAAATGGATACATTCCTCGACACATACACTCTCCCAAGACTAAACCAGGAAGAAGTTGAATCTCTGAATAGACCAATAACAGGCTCTGAAATTGTGGCAATAATCAATAGTTTACCAACCAAAAAGAGTCCAGGACCAGATGGACTCACAGCCGAATTCTACCAGAGGTACAAGGAGGAACTGGTACCATTCCTTCTGAAACTATTCCAATCAATAGAAAAAGAGGGAATCCTCCCTAACTCATTTTATGAGGCCAGCATCATTCTGATACCAAAGCCGGGCAGAGACACAACCAAAAAAGAGAATTTTAGACCAATATCCTTGATGAACATTGATACAAAAATCCTCAATAAAATACTGGCAAACCGAATCCAGCAGCACATCAAAAAGCTTATCCACCATGATCAAGTGGGCTTCATCCCTGGGATGCAAGGCTGGTTCAATATACGCAAATCAATAAATGTAATCCAGCATATAAACAGAGCCAAAGACAAAAACCACATGATTATCTCAATAGATGCAGAAAAAGCCTTTGACAATATTCAACAACCCTTCATGCTAAAAACTCTCAATAAATTAGGTATTGATGGGACGTATTTCAAAATAATAAGAGCTATCTATGACAAACCCACAGCCAATATCATACTGAATGGGCAAAAACTGGAAGCATTCCCTTTGAAAACTGGCACAAGACAGGGATGCCCTCTCTCACCGCTCCTATTCAACATAGTGTTGGAAGTTCTGGCCAGGGCAATCAGGCAGGAGAAGGAAATAAAGGGTATTCAATTAGGAAAAGAGGAAGTCAAATTGTCCCTGTTTGCAGACGACATGATTGTTTATCTAGAAAACCCCATCGTCTCAGCCCAAAATCTCCTTAAGCTGATAAGCAACTTCAGCAAAGTCTCAGGATACAAAATCAATGTACAAAAATCACAAGCATTCTTATACACCAACAACAGACAAACAGAGAGCCAAATCATGAGTGAACTCCCATTCACAATAGCTTCAAAGAGAATAAAATACCTAGGAATCCAACTTACAAGGGATGTGAAGGACCTCTTCAAGGAGAACTACAAACCACTGCTCAAGGAAATAAAAGAGGACACAAACAAATGGAAGAACATTCCATGCTCATGGGTAGGAAGAATCAATATCGTGAAAATGGCCATACTGCCCAAGGTAATTTACAGATTCAATGCCATCCCCATCAAGCTACCAATGACTTTCTTCACAGAATTGGAAAAAACTACTTTAAAGTTCATATGGAACCAAAAAAGAGCCCGCATCGCCAAGTCAATCCTAAGCCAAAAGAACAAAGCTGGAGGCATCACGCTACCTGACTTCAAACTATACTACAAGGCTACAGTAACCAAAACAGCATGGTACTGGTACCAAAACAGAGATATAGATCAATGGAACAGAACAGAGCCCTCAGAAATAATGCCGCATATCTACAACTATCTGATCTTTGACAAACCTGAGAAAAACAAGCAATGGGGAAAGGATTCACTATTTAATAAATGGTGCTGGGAAAACTGGCTAGCCATATGTAGAAAGCTGAAACTGGATCCCTTCCTTACACCTTATACAAAAATCAATTCAAGATGGATTAAAGATTTAAACGTTAGACCTAAAACCATAAAAACCCTAGAAGAAAACCTAGGCATTACCATTCAGGACATAGGCGTGGGCAAGGACTTCATGTCCAAAACACCAAAAGCAATGGCAACAAAAGCCAAAATTGACAAATGGGATCTAATTAAACTAAAGAGCTTCTGCACAGCAAAAGAAACTACCATCAGAGTGAACAGGCCACCTACAACATGGGAGAAAATTTTTGCAACCTACTCATCTGACAAAGGGCTAATATCCAGAATCTACAATGAACTCAAACAAATTTACAAGAAAAAAACAAACAACCCCATCAAAAAGTGGGTGAAGGACATGAACAGACACTTCTCAAAAGAAGACATTTATGCAGCCGAAAAATACATGAAGAAATGCTCATCATCACTGGCCATCAGAGAAATGCAAATCAAAACCACTATGAGATATCATCTCACACCAGTTAGAATGGCAATCATTAAAAAGTCAGGAAACAACAGGTGCTGGAGAGGATGTGGAGAAATAGGAACACTTTTACACTGTTGGTGGGACTGTAAACTAGTTCAACCATTGTGGAAGTCAGTGTGGCGATTCCTCAGGGATCTAGAACTAGAAATACCATTTGACCCAGCCATCCCATTACTGGGTATATACCCAAAGGACTATAAATCATGCTGCTATAAAGACACATGCACACGTATGTTTATTGCGGCACTATTCACAATAGCAAAGACTTGGAACCAACCCAAATGTCCAACAATGATAGACTGGATTAAGAAAATGTGGCACATATACACCATGGAATACTATGCAGCCATAAAAAATGATGAGTTCATGTCCTTTGTAGGGACATGGATGAAATTGGAAACCATCATTCTCAGTAAACTATCGCAAGAACAAAAAACCAAACACCGCATATTCTCACTCATAGGTGGGAATTGAACAATGAGATCACATGGACACAGGAAGGGGAATATCACACTCTGGGGACTGTGGTGGGGTCGGGGGAGGGGGGAGGGATAGCATTGGGAGATATACCTAATGCTAGATGACACGTTAGTGGGTGCAGCGCACCAGCATGGCACATGTATACATATGTAACTAACCTGCACAATGTGCACATGTACCCTAAAACTTAGAGTATAATAAAAAAAAAAATTAAAAAAAAAAAAAAAACATACAAGAAGGGCAAAATAGAAAACAGTAACAGATATGGTAGATACTGGTCCAATTATATAAAAAATCACTTTAAACATCAGTGGTCTAAATATACCAATTAAAAGACAGACAGTAGGTCAGGCGTGGTGACTTACACCTGTAATCCCAGCACTTTGTGAGCCTGAGTTGGGTGGATCACCTGAGGTCAGGAGTTCGAGACTAGCCTGGCCAATATGGCAAAACCCCATCTCTACCAAAAATACAAAAATTAGCTGGTGTGGTGGTGTGCGCCTGTAATCCCAGCTACTCAGGAGGCTGAGATAGGAGAATCGCATGAACCTGGGAGGCGGAGGTTGCAGTGAGCCAAGATTGCACCACTGCACTCTAGCCTGGGAGACACAGTGAGACTCCATCTCAAAAAAAAAAAAAGACAGTGTCAGTGAATGAAAAACCAAGACCCAACTATGTTTTTTACAAGAAACTGACTTTAACTATAAGGACATAGATTAAAAGTAAAGAAATTGGCTGGGTGTGGTGGCTCACACCTGTAATTTCAGCACTTTGGGAGGCTGAGGCAGGCAGATCACCTGAGGTCAGGAATTTGAGACCAACCTAGCCAACATGGCAAAACCCTGTCTCTACTAAAAATACAAAAATTAGCCAGATGTGGTGCCATGCGCCTGTAGTCCCAGCTACTCAGGAGGCTGAGGCAGGAGAATCTCTTGAACCCGGGAGGCAGAAGTTACAGTGAGCCGAGAGTGCGCCACTGCACTCCAGCCTGGGCAACAGAGCGAGACTCCATCTCAAAAAATAAAAAATAAATAATAAAAATAAAAAAATAAAAAAGTAAAGGGATGGAGAAAGATATGCCATGCTAACACTAATCAAAACCAAGCTGGAGTCACTGTATTAATTTCAGGCAAAGCAGATTTAAGAGCAAGGAAAATTATTAGGGATAAAGAGGAATATTATTTATTTAATGATAAAGATGTTGGTTTTCCAAGAAGACATAACAATTCCTAATGTGTATGAAGGTAACAACAAAACATCAAAATATGTGAAGTAAAAACTGATAGAACTGCAAGGAGAAATAAACAAATCCACTCTTATGTTGGCGAATTCAATACCCCTTTATCTGTAATTGACAGATCCAGCAGATAGAAAATCAGTAAGGACTTAGTTGAGCTGAACAGCACCATTAATCAACCATTGCTAATTGACATTTACAGAATATTGCATCCAACAACAGCAGAATACACATTCTTCTCAAGCTCACACAGACATTTGCCAATGTAGAGTGTATTCTGGGCCATAAAAGACAGCTCACAAATTTAATGGAATAGGAATTATACAAAGTATGCTGTCAGACTATAATACAATTAAACTAGAACTCAATAATGAAAAGTCAGAAAATCTCAAAATATTTGGAGATTAAACAACACACTTTTAAACACATGGGTGGGTCAAAGAGGAAGTCTCAAGAGAAAAAAGAGATTAAAATGTTCAATTGAGGAAAACTATTCATAAAAACTGTTATCTCTATGTGTTCAGAAAGTTTCTTTGTGATACTCAAAGTATAAGTGGAGAAAATAGTGGAATGTAAGAGTTTCAGTTTTATCAGAAAAAATTAAAGTCCACTTACTGTTCATTTTTGTCAATGAAATGATAGCTTTTCAGAGATACAAAGAGGATTTTCATTATTACTTTTAAAAGAGCATAGCCTATAGAGTGCATATGTGTGAAGATGCACAGTTGAACAAAATTGAACAGATATAAGGGAGGGTAAGAAAAAGATAGAATGATAATGAGAAGTGGGTTGAAGACAAGAAGGGAAAAGATTGTCAACATCACAGAAAGTAGTAGCAAAGACAAGTCTGGGACATCTATAGGGTGCCAGAGGTAGGCCTGAGAAGGTGAGGAGGCTCAAGGATTTCCTGTTGGTCAACCTGACATTTTCAGGTGAAACATAATTTCACTAGGTGTTAAGGGAGAGAGAACATAAACAAAATAACAAAATACAAGAAAACACATACAAAATGTAGATCACAAATACAGGTTGCCATATTTTATCAACTCAGTCCCATCAGAATGGTCAATTTTTTAAACCTATTTTCTGGCTTCCTTACATCCCCACTTCCCAGTCTGCACCATAAAGCGGATGGGTTTCCCTGGTTCTCCTCTGGAGGCATCATACATCGTCCCCATGTCCAGACAGAGGAACTATCTAAATTACCAAATTACCTTTTGATGCCAGTTTGTACTCAGTGACTGAAACATTCACTTAATGTTAAGCATACTTGTAGCTGCTCTCCACAGCAATTGGGCAAAGTACTTCAGGTCTGCAATGCTTGTTGTACAAATTTATACAAGGCAGAAAGACTTTCTGGCATGTTTCTTTGGTTGCTCACTTTCTAGAATCTGATAAACAGCATCATTGTTGACACTTCTCAATGGAGAGGTTCCCAAAATTCTATCAAGCAGAGTCTTGTTTTCAACATTTCTTCTAGTGGGCTGAGCTCCCTCCTTTTTAAGAGATGGAGATCAAAATCAGTTACCTTATTATGACAGAGTTCTAACTAGGCTTAAATGGCTGCAGACATAGTTCAAATAAAATTACCTCACCTGCCACCCGTTCTAATTTAACAGGCAGAAAAAAAGTTTTATTGAAACAGAAGCAATCATTTTTATTTTTATCTGGTGGTTTACAGATATATGTGTGTGTGTGCATATATATAATTTAAATGTCAGGGCATGTTTGTGCAGATGTAATTTAAATTTTATGTTTATATATATGTAATTTAAATGCTGGAAGAATTACACATTTTGTGTATTTATTTATTTATTTACTTTGAGACAGAGTCTCACTCTGTGCCCCAGGCTGGAGTGCAGTGGCACAATCTCGGCTCACTGCAACTTCCGCCTCCCGGGTTCAAGTGACTGTCCTGCCTCAGCCTCTCGAGTAGCTGGGATTACAGGCGTATGGCACCACACCCGGTTGATTTTTGTATTTTTAGTAGAGATGGGGTTTCGCCATGTTGGCCAGGCGGGTCACGAACTATTGACCTCAAGTGATCCACCCGCCTCGGCCTCCCAAAGTGCTGAAATTACAGGCGTGAGCCACCACTCCTGGCCAGAATTACATATTTTATACAGCACAAAGCAAGATGATAAATGGCACCTGATACATAACAAACTGTCTTGAAAGTACAAAGACAAAAGCAGGAAGACTCTTGATAAAATGCCAGGAAAGAAAAACTGCCACATGGTGATTGAAAACTTTTGTGGTGTGATAGGTGGCTCCTGGCAGAGAATAGGAAAAATTGAAGAGCAGCCTTGAGTAGCACGACTCTGATGGTGTAGACCGGATCCCTCCTCCTCCTCTGATTGTCCTCAAGGCCCACAAGACAGTGGGGACTATGGGGACTACTGTAGTCACAAGGTTCCTCAGGTGCTCCAGATGGCTTCGGGAGCACCCAGTGGCTCCAGCTTCTGACTCCCGGCTGGGCGGCAGCCTCCAGCTGGCCTGCGTGGTGGGTTTCTCAGCCTCGTGCTCCAGGTTGTGTCAAGGTCCCCAAGGCCCGTGACGCCCTCCCTGCCTTCCGTGAGGACACCGCATGGCCACTTGGGGGCGCTCCTTGTCTCGCCTGCCCTCGGGCATGGGCCTGAGAGGCCCAGCTCTACCACCTGCCGCCCTAGACGTGAAGGCGGAGGGTCGAGTTTTTCCGCAGTGAGATCGCCTTGGTGGTGGGCTCCTCCTGCCACCAACTTGGCTTTTCCCGCGACGGTGAAGGGCCGCGAGGCTCCCCTGAGGGCCATCCGGGCTGTGGGGCTTCCCGGGACAGTGCAGGATGGGCTACTTGCATGAGACAAAATGGCAGGTTCTAGTCTCTTTGGTTCCCATGGTGATGGGGCCCATTTCCGGTGGGCCTTCCCTCTCAGAGGATTACCCTTCTCCGCGTGGGGCTGCCATGACAACCAAACGGTTATGTCCTTCAAGGACCAGAAGTGTCCAGCCAGCTGTTTGGCATTGTGCAGCAAAAGCTGAAAGGTCCCACTCTCAATGTTGTCCTCATAGTAACAATGCCTTTGGGGATACACATGGGTCCCTAGGCTCAGCCTAGCTCAACAGTCATGGTTCCATTTAACATGAGAGGGTGACTAGGTACGAGTTGTTTGAAAGATAAGGAAAGCTTTTTCTCATCCACCATAATCAGCTTGACCAATCTTATAAATAAGTTCTCTATTTGGACAACCATAATTTGGGGTCTTGAAGGGCTCTCACTGTCCCAGACAACCCTTGGAGTGTCTCCTGAGATGAGGATGGGAGCATGTCACAGAAGGGTGCTTGTTTGGGATGCAGCACATCCATGGCCTGCTCCCTGTTTTCAAGGAACTTCTAATCTAAAATGAAAACAACTGGTGTGGAGTCCTAATTAGGGAAAAGGAGTCAAGCTGGCAGTACCAAGGAAAAGCAATAAGAGAAATCAGATAAGCTATAAGTCTGCCTTTCTTCAAGCCTTGAATTGGCTATGCAGTTAAGATATCTGGAACTCTCCCTCTACATTGTGAACCATCCTCTGTGGAAGGTGATTGGACTGTGAGCATTTTTGGTTTCTATATTATTACTGCTTTAAAGTTATCACCTCAATCACGGTGGGACTGGAAAATGAGCCTCTTGTGAGCCTGTCGGGGCTAACTGAACCGCACTTCCACGTGGGGCATCCCGTCAATGAAAAGGGTTCCACTCAGCTCTGCTGAGGCACTCAGGTGCACTTTCTAACGGGGTGTCTCACCTATTAGGAAAGACCAAGGCAGCTGCTGGGCGGGAAGGATGGGTGCATAAAAGGACTATGGTGGCAGGAGGCCAGGGAGATGCCTCTCCTGAAGAATGTTGATGTCCAGACAAGTCACATGAACTACTGACCTAAGGACCTGGATTCATTTGTTAGTGCAGACCAGTTCCAACAGGCCAGACTCCTCTATCCACACTTAGGCAATTAGAGTTATTGATCCAGCCCCTGCTCGGTGCAGAGCTCCATGGAGGCAGAATAGTGAATACAATGAGCCCTGAATAGTTTACCCTTCACCCCTTAGGGGCCTCCTCTCTGTTTTCAAGGAACTTCTAATCTAAAGTGAAAACAACTGGTGTGGAGTCCTAATTAGGGAAACGGAGTCAAGCTGGCAGGACCAAAGGAAAGCAGAAAGAGAAATCAGATAAGCTATAAGTCTGCCTTTCTTCATGGTCCAGGACACATAGCCCTCCTGCGCAAATAACTCACAATCTTCCCGTGCCCAGCTATCACCAGACTCTCTACTAATAGAAAAATTCAAGTTAGCTCACTGCAATCTTGGCATTGTCAGTACTGCACAAAGCCCTCTTCAGCACACAGAAGTACCATCCTGTAAAATCCCCAGCAAGGCTTTGTTTCCTTGCTGTCAGCTCCTCTCTTGCTAATCTGCCTGTTGCACCCTTACAACATATTTTCATACTTTCTCTAACATGTCTGCTTTTCTTTACCTACAGTTGTCTTGGTAAATTCTTAACCCCATGCCACTGGCCCCAGATAGTCGCTAATCATCCGTGACATTTTGGTGGCCCATATGGGGAACTCTCTTTATGGGGAACCCTCTCCTCTCTCTCTTCCTCT
This sequence comes from Homo sapiens, assembly GCF_000001405.40. Taxonomy (NCBI): domain Eukaryota; kingdom Metazoa; phylum Chordata; class Mammalia; order Primates; family Hominidae; genus Homo; species Homo sapiens. Next base: position 50,338,311 of record NC_000018.10, on the reverse strand, counting down.
TTCCCAACTTGCAATCCTCAGTGGACAGTGTCTAAACACAGAGACAGCTGTAGGTCCCTGGCTAGAGCTACACTCTGGTGGGACTGAAAGGCATCTGTGTGGAAGTGTCTGACCACCACTGCCCTTTCAGGTGAGGGACCTGAGTTTATTTTCTCTTTTCAGTCTCCCAGCAGCTGGCTTCTATTATCCCTCTGGAAATTAATGATAACTGGCCAGGGCCACTCTCCAGTGTTGCCTGAAGCCAAAGGGTGAACAGGGCTGGCTGCCTTGCCTAAAAGGGAAAAAGACTCTCCCCTTTCTTTTCTAGTAAAAAGTCCCTAATCCCTACCTGTGACATGACTGACAGTGGAAGCTCCTTAAGGGCAAATTCATACATGTTTTAGGTGACTTAGACCCTCTCCTTCTCACTCTGGATTCTCCTGTGGAGCCAAACTGTTCTGGGCATTGCTAAATCAAGTGGTCTCAAACAGCCTCAGAACAGTGAGTCTTCCTTTACCCACCCCCATCTCCTGGGCGGGCACCAGACAGACCTCTTCCTTTACCCTTTTTCCCCATAGGTGGGCTGATCACCCAGTGTAAGGCCCACAGGCAACTGAGAGGTCTTTCCTAATAGGTGAGACACCCCGTTAGAAAGTGCACTTGAGTCCCTCAGCAGACCTGAGTGGAACCCTTTTCATTGACGGGATGCCCCACGTGGAAGTGCGGTTCAGTTAGCCCCGACAGGCTCACGAGAGGCTCATTTTCCAGTCCTACCATGAGACAAACCCCGTCTATTTCTTCAGATTCACCTCTGGGTTGCGTCCTAAAACATTAAGAGAAATTTAACCCTGAGACTCTCAAAAAGAAATGTCTATTTTTCTTGTGTACTACAGCATGGCTCCTATGCAGAAAATCCTCTAATTAGCCTCCTCAGTCTTTTATAACCAAGAGTAGAACAGGGTTAGAAAGAAAAAAACAAATGCAGAGGCAAAACACAGACTCAACTGTTGGCTGCTTTACAAGCACCAGCCCCTTCCAGGTTTCCCTAAGAACACTCTTCCAGGTTACTGCCATCGGTACAGAAGGCCAGGCCACTGAAAAGCAAACTGCCCCAATAAAAGAAATGGAAAAAGCCCTGCATGGCTTGCCCCTCTGCCACAAGCTTGACCACTAGAAATAGGACTGTCATGAGAGCCAAAGGGCCCCCAGGACAAAATGCCAACACCTGATGGCCTTGAGCTGAAGGGGCTCTCTACTCCCCCTGTAAACAGCTCACCTTAACTAGTGACTTGCAGGGGTGGAAGGAATTTGTTCCACACTGTGTAGGTCTGGGGTGCTAAGGTTCTCTGTGACACGAGATAAACAAGGATGGCAGGGGTGCTGGCCCCACATCATGCAGTGGCTGAAAGGCTCACAAGCCCTCCTATAAAGCTTAATCTTTTCCTCTGCATTCCTTTCTTTTCTTTTTCTCTTTTTCTGTTCAATCCAGGAGCTCAGACTTAAAGGGAAAAACAGGCCGGGCATGTTGGCTCATCCCTGTAATCCTAGCACTTTGGGAGGCCAAGGTAGGTGGATCGCTTGAGCCCAGGAATTTGAGACCAGCCTGGGCAACATAGTGAAACCCCATCTCTGTATTTAAAAAAAAAAAAAGAAAAGAAAAGAAAAAACGGTTTCGAACATCCTATCTTCTAATTTTGTTGTTCCCTTTGAAACTATAGCTGATTACATATTATGGCTCATTTTTGTGTACATTTTAAACTGATAGGCAAATTACAAGAAAAATTCAGAGCTCAAATGGTTAACCTATGCCATAGACTTAAGTAGACTCTTTTAAAGCTCTCTATCTTCCTCTCTTTTTCTCTCCCTGCTTTAAATCTGCTGTTACTAAGCGGCTGGTACTGAGATAAGACATTATTTATGGTCAAACTAGAATATAAACATTAAAAACTCATTTAAAGTTAAAAAAAAGGTAAAAGAGGTTTTGTTAAACCAAAGAACTTAGAATTTTTTAACCTTACTTAAAGTTAATAAAAATAAATCCAATACTTCTTTTAGACCTTATTCTTCAAGCTGATTATTTTTATTCAATTCTATTAAAATTAATGGCAAAAGCTGCAGTTACTTTTGCACCAAGCTAATACTACAGGCTCTCAGTAATTATTTACCTGTCTCTCTCGAGCAACTTCACCCTCTTAATACTGATGCTTTTATAAGAGAGGTAGTATACAATTGATATTTTCAGGGGAACCTCCAAGACTACCACCCAGATGAAATTTTTTTATATTTATCCTAGTAATGTCATTTACTCCCACACCACAACATCAATGTGCTGAGGTACTAGGTGTTAGCCCTTCTTCTCTCGTATCTCCCTGAGTTTACTATATATTGTCATTTTCTTTAAATGTGGCTCTGTTTTTATTCTACCACGGCTAACTGTTGCCTCTATGGCTGGAGCCAGGCACTTACTCCTCCCAGTAATGTCAGGTTGCTGACATAACGCACAGCACTAACTGCTGGATATGCCCACACAGACAGACACTCGAGGATAACATTATACTCCTAGCAGTTCCGCTATCTACAGAAGAAATTATTAACAAGCCAGATACTCTGGATTCAACTACACCATTTACACGCACACCAAAAACACAGGTTTAGTAGGGGAACCTAGGCCAATTGATCCCTCGTGGCAGTCATCCACCGTGACAGAGCAGATTGGGAAGGCACCAGAGATGGCCTGTAAGGTTCACCTCTGCATCAGAAAATCTGAGGGATCCGGCCCTTTTCTAGGCATTTTAACACAAGCCTATTGCAATTCTACCCTCAATTATAATCAAACAAACTGGGAACGGGAGCCATATAATTAGACTCTGATGAGTTCAATGTGCATCCCCGCAGTTTTTCCTTATGATGGGGAAAGAAAAAGATAATGCCAGCAAAATTTATAATGATTCCTTTATGCCAATAAACAGTTCAGCAACTGGGATGGAATATATGGGAATAGGGGTCGAGACTGGACAACTTCTCAACCTCACTAATATGTCTACAGCTTTTTCTTGATTTTCTCTTATCTCATTGATATTTAAAAACCTTATCTGTCAGGCCCCACACTCACATAACACAACAAGCCAAACTTTTATCCCCTGTATTAGTCCATTCTTGCATTACTATAAATAACTACCTGAGACTGGGTAATTTACAAAGAAGAGGTTTAATTGATTCACAGTTCCACGGGCTGTACAGGACGCATGGCTGGGGATGCCTCGGGAAACTTACAATCATGGCAGAAGATGGAATGCAAAGGGGAATCAGGCACGTCTTATATGCCTGGTAGGAGTAAGAGAGAGAAGGGGGAAGTGCCACACACTTTTAAGCAACTAGAGTTCTTGAGAACTCACTGAGTATCACATGAACCGCAAGGGAGAAGTCACTTCCATGATTCCATCATCTCCCACCAGGCCCCTCCTCTAACACTGGGGATTACAATTCGCCATGAGATTTGGGTGGGAACACAGAGTGAAACCATATCACACCCCCTTATGCATGGATGACTACTTTTTGGGTCACCACCCATCCACATTTGATCCTTGGGGACCATGGGATCCCTCTATGCAAATTATACTGGAACCGAAACTAACCACATCTATGCCTGGTTACAAGGTCCCTCCTCAGGAGTTTTATTAAAAGAAACTGGGTTCTTCTTTTTATGCAAATTCAAAATGTTTCTAAACTTGCCTATTAAATGGAGAGGTACTTGCATTATAGTTGCAGCAATACCTGGGGTTCAAATATATAACTATTCAGACTTCATATCCTCTGGCCAAGTTCCAAATTTAGGATCCTTCATAAGTTGGGCCCTCCAAAGGCCATCAGGAGAAAGGAAACAGAAATGTAACTTAATCAACATCCTATCATTTGGTGTGCTTACCACTGACAATCCCACCATAGAGAGGAATGGTCTAAGAAATTCTGTAGCCCATGCAATTTTTTGGTTGGCAGGTATACCCATGCTTAAGTGCTGTATTCATTATCTCACCATTCTAGTACAGCAGTCTTGGGAAGCTACAGTCATAGCATCAAGGCCCAACAACAGGCCCTAAATTCGTTGGCAGGGGTTGTCTTGCAGAACCAACCCACTTTGAATGTGCTTACTACTGAGATAGGGGGCACCTGTATACTATTAAATGAAACTTGTTGCTTTTCCATCAGTACCTCAGGTCAGGTAGAAGAAAGTTTTAAAAAGATCAAAAAGAACATCAAGATTTTAGAGGGCCTTCAAAAAGGAGTTCTTCAAAATTCCTTTTTGACACAACTATTTCAAAGCTTCTCCAGCTGGGTTTGGCCATGGGTTGCCCCACTTCTCCCACCTATCATAATGCTCATGTTAGTTTGTTTATTTGCTCCATGTATTGTTAATGCAATATCTCATTTTGTGTCTTCTAGGATAAAACAATTTCAAACCAAAATGTTACTGTAGCAAGGGTATCAGCCACTGAGAGAACTTCATGACTCTCCTTTGGATGCAGCAGGACAAAATTTTAGGCTGCAAAGGCTCTTCCCCCATGGTCCCATAGCCACCCTGCCCAAATTAACTCCCAACTTAGGGATTTAGGCCCATGTAACCTCCTAACTAACAACAATCCTAGGTAAGGCCAACTCTACACCTCTGGTCAGCAGGAATCAGCTGAAAGACAATCACCCACATGCCAAAGATTTGTCATTGTTGCTCTGTCAGGGGGTTGGGACGGGGAAATGTGGAGTCTCAATTAGAGAAAAGGAGTCAGCCTGGCAGGACCAAGGGAAAGCAGAAAGAGAAAGCAGATAAGCTATAGATCTGCCTTTCTTCCTGGTCCAGGACAGCATAGCCCTCCTGCACAAATAACTCACAATTTTCCTGTGCCCAGCTATCACCAGACCCTCGGCTGATAGAAAAATGCAAGTTAGCTAGATGCAACCTTGTTGTTATCAGCACACAGCACCAGCACCACCCTATAAAATCCCTAGCAAGCCTTTGTCTCCTTGCATTCAGCTTCTCTCTTACTAATCTGCATGTTGCACTCTTGCAACACATTTTTATACTTTCTCTAATAAGTCTGCTTTTCTTTACCTACAACTGACTTGATAAATTCTTCTTACCCCAACACCACTGGCCCATATAGCTCCTACTCACCTGCAACAACTAGTTCATGCATTAAATCATTATTGATTAATGCAGTGGATAATGAAGTACTACATTTTCTGTAATGGTAGCTTTGGGAAGAAAAAAGAGCAATACTCAATTTTATGAAGGACAAGGAGCAATTGTAAAGGATTTCATTATGCTTCACCTTGCACATGGCACAATTAAGTCAACAAAGAGACCTTCCTCTTTAGATGCAAGGACTGTAGGACCTGAAGCTGGGAAGCATTAGACTAGAGGCTTCTGCAAAGTGTGGGATTAAAGTTGGTATTTATAGATAGGTTTCATGAGGGACAAAAAGGGATCTATTTTGATCAGATTTTATATTCATACTCGGGGATCAGCTTCCAGCCCAGAAATCAGAATCAGGCTCCAGGACTTGTAGTTGGAATCAATACAAGTGGGAAAAAAAAATCTACCAGTGAATCAGAAGTATAGGCCACCTCAATAGTTTGGATCCCTAAGGAAATAAAAGACAAAGAAGAGAAGGTCAGAGGAGAAAGATGGTGCATCTCTTCCTCCCCAGGGGTCTGAGAGTGTGATAGGAAATGTGGTGTTACAGATGCAGGTCTGAGATGAACAGTGAGGGTGAGGGTAGACTTTAAGTTGCTGAAAGAAGCTAATTCATTCTCATAAATGATTTAAATGAATGATGGCAGTTGGCAGTGGCTGAAAATGGCATATCCAAAATGAAAGGAAACTGTTACTTAATACTTTCCTCTTCTTGACCCCTTTATTTAATCCTCAGAACAGTTTTTGAGGCTTTTTGGTGGTGGTGTTGGTGATGTTTGTTTTCTTAGAGACGGGGTCTCACTCTGTCACCCAAGCTGGAGGAGTGCAGTTGGCACCACCATAGCTCACTGCAGCCTTAAACTCCTGGGCTCAAGCCTTCCAGGGAGCTGAGTAGTACAGGCATGTGCCACCATGGCCAGCTTAACCATCACCTCAATCTTGATAGGAAGATATTGATTTTGCCCATTTGCAGTTTTCAGTGACCTTGAAAATGCAAGGTAGATATTAAATCCTTTATTTTCCTGCCTCTGCCATGATTTAGAAAATGCCAAGGCTATTCCTGGATGGGCATCATTTTGTTGTCAGAACACCTGCATGTAATTCTCTGTCCATCTAGAAACTAGGTCCTTTCCAGACCAGCAGTTCTTGCTACACAAGATGCCAAACCCTGAAGGATATTCATTCTTAGTGGCTGCTGGCTTTGCCACTTGTCATGCTAACTTCCCTCCTTAGCTAAAGTTGTGATTCTTAGTGCTGCTGCTGCCCAGCCCATCTCTTCTATCCACATCAGCCACGTGACCTTGATGACCTATGGCCATGGTTCCTACTCTCAGCCCTTTTGGAGGCTGAGTTTCTGCTGTGAATCCCACCTAAAAACTCCACCCTGGTTCACCTAGCCTTTTTCTCTCTGGCCAAGTATACTGAAAATACAAAAACAATAAGAGGCAGTGGTGTGCTGGAGCTGGCTTGTTGCTGAGAGTTAATTTGTAAATTTTCAAGAATTTTATATGCCAGTTGTTAAGTACAGCCATGATTAAAAGGTAACTTATATGAAGATATAATTTTAAAACATGTATGTTGAGACAAAGGTGATATACCGTGTTTATGTATTACAAGAAGACTTACTATTGTTTAGATGGCAGTACTCCCCATATTGATCTACATATTCAATGCAATCCTTATCAAAATTCCAGCCTGCTTTTTTTGCAGAAATTCACAAGCCAATCCTAAAATTCATGTGAAATGCAAGAGACCCACACTAGCCAAAATGACCTTGACCAGAAAAAGTTGCAAGACAAAATTCCTGATTTCAAAGCTTATTACACAGATGCAGTAAGACCATGTGTTACTGGCATAAGTGTATATATAGAGATCAGTAGAAATTGAGACCTGAAATAAACCCATATATTTATGATTTTTGACAAGTTACCAAGATAATTCAATGGGGAAAGAATAGTCTTTTCAACAAATATGCTGGGACAACTAGATATCTATATGCAAAATAATCAAGTTGGACCCCTACCTCACACCATATACAAAACTCAAAAGGGACCATCAACCCAAATGTAAGAAATAAAATTATAAAACTTGTAGAAGAAAACATATAAGTTTTTCTGACTTGGATTGGATAGTGGTTTTTTAGATATGCCACCAAATACACAAGTGAAAAGAATATATAGAAAAACTGGAATTCAGCAAAATTTAAAACTTTTGTGCTTCAAAGGACAACATCAATAAAGAAAAAAGAAAATGCACAACATAATAGAAAATATTTGCAAACTAGGTGTATATATATATATTTTATATATATAAAAAATATTTTCCTTATACCTGCTATATATATATATATATATGGAACTTGTATCCAGTAAAAAAAAAATATATATATATATATATATATGTATATGGAACTTGTATCCAGTAAAAATAAAGAGTTCTTAGAACTGAACAATAAACAACTTAATTTTTTTAAGGCAAAAGATTTGAATAGACATTTCTCTAAAGAAAAGATGAACGTGGTTGGTAAGCACATGAAAAGTTGCTCAACATCATTAGTCTTCAGGAACATGCAAATAAAAACCACAATGAGATACCATTTCATTCCCACTAGGATGGCTATAATCTTAAAAACTGACAAATGTTGTTGAGGATGCAGAGAAATTGGAACCCTCATCTATTGCTGGTAGATTGGAAAGTGGTGCAGTCACTTTGGAAAACACTTTGGCAGTTCTTCAAAAGGTTAAACATAGAGTTAGCATATGACTCAACAATTCCAATTCACAGGATATACACCTAAGAGAAATGAAAATATATGTTTACATAACAATGTTTACATGAATGTTCATGGCATTATTCATAACAGCCAAAAAGTGAAATAACTCAAATGTCCACCACTCATGGATGTGGTATATCCATACAATGGAATATTACTTAGGAAAAAGAAGGAATGAAGTAATGTAGTAATCAAAACTATGTGGGACTGGTGTAAGGATAGACATATGGATCAGCAGAATAGACTCGAGAGTCCAGAAATAATCTTTACATTTATGATTTTCTTTTTTTTTAATTATACTTTAAGTTTTAGGGTACATGTGCACAACGTGCAGGTTAGTTACATATGTATACATGTGCCATGTTGGTGTGCTGCACCCATCAACTCGTCATTTAACATGAGGTATATTTCCTAATGCTATCCCTCCCCCCTCCCCCCACCCCACAACAGGCCCTGGTGTGTGATGTTCCCCTTCCTGTGTCCATGTATTCTCATTGTTCAATTCCCACCTATGAGTAAGAACACGCGGTGTTTGGTTTTTTGTCCTTGCGATGGTTTGCTGAGAATGATGGTTTCCAGCTTCATCCATGTCCCTACAAAGGACATGAACTCATCATTTTTTATGGATGCATAGTATTCCATGGTGTATATGTGCCACATTTTCTTAATCCAGTCTATCACTGTTGGACATTTGGCTTGGTTCCAAGTCTTTGCTATTGTGAATAGTGCCACAATAAACATACATGTGCATGTGTCTTTATAGCAGCATGATTTATAATCCTTTGGGTATATACTCAGTAATGGGATGTCTGGGTCAAATGGTATTTCTAGTTCAAGATCCCTGAGGAATCGCCACACTGACTTCCACAATGGTTGAACTAGTTTACAGTCCCACCAACAGTGTAAAAGTGTTCCTATTTCTCCACATCCTCTCCAGCACCTGTTGTTTCTTGACTTTTTAATGATTGCCATTCTAACTGGTGTGAGATGGTATCTCATTGTGGTTTTGATTTGCATTTCTCTGATGGCCAGTGATGATGAGCTAGCCATATGTAGAAAGCTGAAACTGGATCCCTTCCTTACACCTTATACAAAAATCAATTCAAGATGGATTAAAGACTTACATGTTAGACCTAAAACCATAAAAACCCTAGAAGAAAACCTAGGCAATACCATTCAGGACATAGGCATGGGCAAGGACTTCATGTCTAAAACACCAAAAGCAATGGCAACAAAAGCCGAAATTGACAAATGGGATCTAATTAAACTAAAGAGCTTCTGCACAGCAAAAGAAACTACCATCAGAGTGAACAGACAACCTACAGAATGGGAGAAAATTTTTGCAATCTACTCATCTGACAAAGGGCTAATATCCAGAATCTACAATGAACTCAAACAAATCTACAAGAAAAAAACAAACAGCCCCATCAAAAAGTGGGCGAAGGATATAAACAGACACTTCTCAAAAGAAGACATTTATGCAGCCAAAAGACACATGAAAAAACATTTATGATTTTCAACAAGGATGCCAATACAACAAAATGGGTAAGGCTATATACATGTCATTACATGGATGAACCATGGAAACAATATGCTAAGAAGCAAATCACAATAGACTTTGTGAAATGTCCACAAAGGGTAACTGTGCAATAGGCAGTGATCAGTGGTTGCCCAGAGCCAAGGAGGAGGGCACTTGGGGGTAAATGGGGAGTGACTGCAAATTTATATAATGTTGCTGCTTGAGATGATTAAAATGTTCTAAAACTGATTGTAGTGATGGTTACAAACTCTAAAAATATACTAAAATCACTGAATTATTTTACTTTAAATGGGTGAATTTTATGGTATGTGAATTATATTTCAACATAGATGTTTTTAAAAATCCCAGAGGTAATACTAAAAGCTCACCCTTCTAATTATTATACTACATTTTACTATTATTTGTGCTCTTGATGTTATTTTGTCTGTTGCGTCTATGGTGGAAGTGCTCTGTAATGCTGTACTACTGTGCATCTCTCCAATTCCACTCTTTCAGTTACATCAGATTGTGAACTTTAAATTTCCCATAGTGGGTATAATTAACCAAGGGAAAGTGTGAAATTCTACAAATCAGGGCTTCTTTTATTTCCATGGTATCATCTGTGGCCTGTTACAAACCAGGCTGCACAGCAGGACTTGAGTGGCAGGCAAGCAAGCGAAGCTTCATCTGTATTTACAGCCACTCCCCATCACCCACATTACCACCTGAGCTTCACCACATGTCAAATCAGCGGTGGCATTAGATTCCCATAGGCGCATGAAGCCTATTGTGAACTAGGTTGTGGGCTGCTTATGAGAATGGAATGCCTGAAGATCTGTCACTGTCTCCCATCACCCCCAGATGGAACTGTCTAGTTGCAGGAAAACAAGCTCAGGGCTCCCACTGATTCTACATTATGGTGAGTTGTATAATTATTTCATTAGATATTACAATGTAATAATAATAGAAACAAAGTGTACAACAGATGTAACAAACTTGAATCATCCCTAAGCCATCCCCTCCCGCCTTCCCCGGTCTGTGGAGAAATTGTCTTCCACGAAACTGGTCCCTGGTGCCAAAAAGTTGGGGACTGCTGCTCTAGGGAATTCTGATACCTTTTGGCCACATCTCAACTCTAACTCATGTAATGTACCTCTGCCATACTTCTGTGCCACCTTGCCACTCCAGCCCTGCTCTACTGAGTTGAGCCAGAGTTGAGACAGCTATATATGAACTTCAGCTTTCAGAATGCTGAATCTCTCACTAACTTCTGATGTTGATTTGGATAGTATAATGAGATTTTGACCCTCTATATGATAGATTCAAAATGCAATCCATCTAAACCAAATAGTCTCAAATTATAAAAAGATTCTCACTCCTTCACCTTCAGCAGGTTCCTCAGCCTTCCACTGAAAGATAAAATAGAGGCCATTGGGAGCTGAACTCTTGGGACTTCCAGAGACATACCTGGAAGTGCCTGTTCCCCCAAGTGCCCCACCATGAGGGACTCATTCTCCTCTGGAAAACAAATCTATCCCCTTTGGATAACCACCACTCTGATTTTATACAGGAATTTGTCCCCTTAGATTCTCCTTCTTAGTGAATCCAC